>NC_000002.12:156277496-156580527 GCF_000001405.40 Homo sapiens
CTTGATGCTTCCTTACCAGAATCTTTGCTAGAGGACAGAAGAAAGATTTGAGTTCATCTTTCTAACTTTTCTGTATTAATAAAGGAAAGAAAATGAGGTGTAAAAGAGGCACCCAGAAAGACATATCATCTGATAAGAAAGTGATTCTTCTGATTCCTCTACCTTGAACCACCTTCTTTATTAGTTCCTCCACTAAAAGTTGCTAACAAAATTGGTCCATGCATGAGACTTACATGACACTATAACTTGCTAATGGGCAGTCTGGCTGTACTTTAAAAGAAAGTTTTCATGACCTATGGATTCTCTTGCCGTCCTGTCTTGGACCAGGCAGCACCTGCCACTGGAAAGAAGGGAGATGGTAATCCATTTCTTTTATTCCATGTAACTGAATAGATAAACAGACTTAACATCCTTCTGGAATGCAACTAGAGTTGCCAATTTTTGCAAATAAAAATACAGAATTGCTAGTTAAATTTTAACATCAGATAAAGAATAAATAATTACTCGTGTAAGTATGCCCTGTGCAATATTTGAGATATACGTCACAGTGAAAATGTATGTATTGTTTATCTGATGTTCAAATTTAACTAGCTATCCTGTATTTTGCCTGACAACTACACACCCAATTATTTCAACCCTTCTTTTCTACTTTCCTTCTCTCTTTCTCTCCCTCTTTCTTTCCTCCTTCATCCCAATATCTTTCTTTTTGTGCCAGCATATACATCAAGGGTTTGGAGGTTCTAAGATCTGAACTAGGACCAAAAAAAAAAGAGTCTAAGAAATTCAAAGTGGACCTCAAGCCCAAGCACATTCTCCAAATCATCTTTAAGCAGAACTCTGCCCTTGGCATGGTGGTAGAAGACTCGTTATTCAGTTATTTTTAAACTTGTACTTTTTTTTTGTTTGAATAATGTTCCTCGACCACTGTAAAACTTCCTGATTAAGAGACAAGAGAGGAGAAGAGAGCAACAAAAAAAGATCCATACTTAGGGAGGCCCTGACTTAATGCCAACAAGTATTATCAAAACTTTATCTTTGAACTGTCATACATGCCTTGTGGAATGCACAATAGTACAGCTAGTCAGGAAAAGTTTGACAGCTTCTTATAAATTTACATATGCATATACTATATGACCCAGCAATCCCACTCCTAGAAAGAAAGTTGAAATGAAATCTCTTGTTCACACAAAAACCTGTGCACAAATATTTGTAGCACCTCTATTCTATTCATAATCACCAGAAACTGCAAACAGCCCAAAACGTTCTTCACCAGATAATGAATAGACTAACTGGTACACCCATGAAACAGAAGACAAGGGCAATAAAAAGAAACAAACTAGATAATGAGCAATAACTTGGACAAATCTCAAAGGCATTGTACCTGGTGAAAGAAACCAATCTCAAAAGGTTACACATTGTACAATGCTACACATATTACATTCTCAAAACAATACAAAACTATAGTGCCACAAAACAGATCAATGGTTACCAGGAGTTACAGGTGGGGACAGAGAAGACTTATAAACGGATAGTGTGAGAAAATGCTTTGGGGTGAGGAAACTGTTCTGTGTGTGTCTTGAGTGTGGTGGTGTTTCCAGTATGTATACGTAAGTCAGAACTGGTAGAACTGCACGCCAAAAAATATGCTATTTTACTTTATGTTAATTTAAAGATTTTCTCTAAGAGTGGGGGCATCTTAACATGAACCCATAACAACAGCTCAAAAAAAAAAGAGAGAACTAGCACCCTTAAATTATACTCTGTGTAACTAGAATTAAATCTGCTTCTTCATGTCCCTGCTTTTTACAGCTCTTCCCCTTCATAAACAATTGAATACGTGGATTTGGTGGAGCTACTTTGAGCCCCTGTACATAAATTGCTATTTTTTACAGATATGGGAATCAAATCTTAACTTAATCCAAAGCGATGCATCTTATGAATCTTTGTGTCACAGATTTCTTGCTGTGGCCTAAAATCAGACCCTAAAGATCCAGTACTGAATTCTAAAGTATAACACTACTACTCCATTGACATTGCAGATACAGCTTTGGGTAGCTAGGGTACCTGTTATGTGACCTCAGTGCAATGCTGTCAATCAGAGTTTGAGCTCCTGCTCCAGATATGATTAACCTGATTGTCATGCTTTTTTCTGAATGATATGATATGATCCTACACAATGTAGGCTGATTCATAAGTCAAGCACAAGGAAATGTAAAATAGATGAGTTGTATGTATGTGAAAGGAAGCAAGCTCTATGAAAAATCCATCAAGTTATCAGTACATGAGGGTGTTTTTTTTTTTAACACAATTTAGAATTAACAGAGAAGAAAATAGGAAAGCAGATTCAACAAAGATTTTTGTCAAAGCAACTGTTCAGTCCTAGGAGGCTCCGCCAGCTGTCTGGTTGTGTAAGGAATCCACAGCCATGGCTCGCTGGTTGCAAAGCTGGGAACGGAATCAGAACTGAAGCCTCATTGCCATAGGAACACTAACGTCTGCATTTTTCTTTTCTTCGTAAAACTGTACATGAGAACTGCTAATAAATTTCACATATCTTGGCTTTATAAGAGAAAAATCTCAAGATGTGCATAACTTGGCAATTTTCTTCAAGTTTGGAAGCTTGATGGAGTTTTCAGAGTATTCCTCAAGGATGTGTCCTAATTTATTTTTTAAAAAGATAGATGATATAAAAAAGTCACATACATTCTAAACTTCAGTGAAAATAAAAATAAAAATAATGCTCTTTAAAAAATATCTTAAAGAAACAGAGGGCTCTGCAGCCACATATATCTATCAGATTCCTTGTCATATGGACTCCTTGCAGATGTTTAATCATGTCATTCCTAGTGATCCATCTTTCTTTCTTTTTCACTTCTAGGTATTACAACAATCTGTTTCTATAAGGATGACCAATGACATTGTTTTTGATTCAACAAATATGTGTTAACACCTACCTTGTACCATGCCAGAAATCGTGCTAGGCATTGAGGGAAAAAAAATAGATGCCTAAGATGGAGTTCTTGTCATCGAAGAGTTCAGTCTGGTAAGGTTAACAGTCTGGTCAAGGAGACATCCAGACGAAAATATAATGAGGCAAATACAACCAGGAAACTGCCAGTCACAAGGCATTGTGCAAAAACTGATTAATTCCATGTTACCAAAAAGACGCCTGCACTCATATGTTTATCACAGCACTATTTACAATAGCAAAGTCATGGAATCAATCCAAGTGCCCATCAATGGTAAATTAAATAAAGAAAATGTGATACATATATATCATGGAATACTAAACAACCATTAAAAAAATAATAAAGTATTGTCCTTTGCAACAACATGGATGCAGCTGAAGGCCATTATTCTACGTGAATTAATGCAAAAATAGAAAGTCAAATGCTGCATTTCTCACTCTGAGTGGGAACTAAACAATGGGTACACATGGACATAAAGATAGAAACAATAGACACTCCCCAGTGTCCAAAAGGAGACAGGGAGGGGGAAAACGGCTATCTATTGGGCATTATGCTTACTCTTTGGGTAATGGGTTCACTAGATGCCCAAACCCCACCATTACAGAATATGCCCGTGTAACAAACCTGCACATGTACCCCCTGAATCTATACTTTTTTAAAAAAATGATAACTATCAGAAAGCAGAAGCTAAAGGCAAGGATGGAAACTTCCCCTGGGACTAACAACTGAATTCTGTATTGACAAAGCAAGAGTTGACCAGTTGAACAATGTAAGAATGAACATTCTTACCAGAGATGAGAATGTACAATGACCAGGTTGAACAAAAACCAATTCAAAGATTTAGTCAAGAACCAAGTTATATATATGCAGTATAGTAACAATATGCACTGTTTCTATCTTCGAAAACATTATTCTCTTGGCAATATGAGAGCATGTCTCATATTATTCTCAGTGATCAGACTCAACAGTGATCAGACTCAAACTTGGTTACATGTACATGTAAGGGAAATAAAATAAGCTTCTTATACGCTCATGATTCTTCTTCTCTATGGTATTTGAAATATGTAGGATATTGATAAAAAGAACAGACATTTCTGAATGTATTTAGCGACATATCATCATAACGAGATTACCAGAGTAATCATCATTTATCCAAAAATTTTTAAAGAATTTTTACAGCACTTATATATCAACTTTTCTATGTTCCCCATTCCTCACTTATATATCAACTTTTCTATGTTCCCCATTCCTCCATTGAATATGATTATCTTTTACAGACACAGTATGGTAAATATATTGTTGATTAAGATGGTATATATGTTATTTTTATAAATTGGGGATTTTTTAACCAAAGCTTTTGTTGTCATCTCACTTTGAATGAATTAACATCAAATATTCCTATTTTTACTAATTTGGAAATTAGGAACGTATAAAGAGATTTATGACAAACTCACCTGTGAATCTTGAAGAAAATGAATTTGCCACAAGCTACAAGAATTACTAGATGACTATGATTAGATGACAAAGGATAAAATAAATATGTTAAAAATAATAAATGTCATATATAATGAAATTTCATAATAAAACAAATGCCCTAATCATTAGTCTAAATTTTTAGAATTCATTAATAAATAAAAAAGGTGTGTTTCATATTAATAAACAGCATGTGGACAGCTGTAAAGCCAACACTGACAATTCTCACTAGCTAATGAAAGTGGGTTTACTTTAAAGAGCTTAATTGTGGCAAGACTCATTCCTAAGAAACCCCTCATACTTAGGCTTCAGAGAAGTTTTAAATATCTGATACCAAAGGGGAAAAAATGTTATGAGTTGGAGATTCAATTACCTAATTACTATTAAATTTGCTGGAAAGAATTAGTACCACTCTTCTCTTATAATGATGAAGCTAAAATGGCAAAAGCTAGAAGTAATTCCAGGATTTTCATTATGTTATCTATTGAACAATCTCTGGTATATCTCTACTCATGAATTAATATCTTGCTTAAGAGTGCCTTCTCTCCTAGCAGGATGAATGTTACCTTAAGTCAAATGCTATATTAAGTTGATATAAATTTGCAAAATCAGAGTTATAAAAAGAATATGTACTATTTTACTCAAATTATGCACCATCATTGAACAGTTCTAACACCTAATTTAGAGTACTTTGTTTTAATATTAGCATTATTTTGATAAAATTGCACACACCTTTTCTACATTATAATGTATGAAAATTCTATTTCTATAATATTTGCTTCTCTAGTTATAAAGTAGCTCCAGAGTCATGGTTAATATATTCATGCCAAGGCTTCTTTCATCATCTGTCTAAAGCGACATTGAAACTGAAGATTTTTTTTAATTTGGCAGTCATTGAATATACTCATTTTATGCAGAGCTCATGCAGTATGATATAGCTGCTCACTTAGTGCCTCAGCCTACCAAGAAAATTATATAATTATATAAAATGCATTGTTGGTCCTTTCCTCTGTGCACTCAGAGAAGAAAGATATTTCAACTTTGACTTTGCACCACCAACAATGGTAAGACTGGCAGAGCTGATATTTTTTTAAGAACTGCCAATTATACCATTACAAATGCAAATCTTCATTAGAAAAAAATAGTAATACCTTTAGCAAACAGACATACCAAAATAACTGTCAAATTGTTCAATTTGGTTAAAATAATCAGTGAAATATTAATAATTTACTAGTAGAGTAAAACAATTTTGGACGTCAAGAAAACTGAACAATATTCACAAGTCTGTAAATGAAACCACACAATATCTTCATGTGGGACATACACCTGTAATGTTGGTCATCAGTCTGTATTAAAATGTTATATAACATGGAAAATTTAATCTTATATGTTTTAAATTAATGATGAGATTTGCAGGCTGATATGACTGCAAAAGTGTGGTCTAGTAATTGTTTCCTAAATTCTTCACTTTTTTTTAATTATACTTTAAGTTCTAGGGTACATGTGCACAACGTGCAGTTTTGTTACATATGTATACATGTCCCATGTTGGTGTGCTGTGCTGCACCCATTAACTCGTCATTTACATTAGGTATATCTCCTAATGCTATCCCTCCCCACTCCCCCAACCCCACAACAGGCCCTGGTGTGTGATGTTCCCCACCCTGTGTCCAAGTGTTCTCATTGTTCAATTCCCACCTATGAGTGAGAATGTGCGGTGTTTGCTTTTCTGTCCTTAGGATAGTTTGCTCAGAATGATGGACTTTTTTATCCAGGCAAACTTGACAAATAGTATTCTGTTTGGTTTGGTTGGTTTGGTTTTACATTTGGCCTCCTCGTAAATTCCGGACCATCCTGTCACCTAATTTAGATGCATTCTCTCTGGGCCCACATAGGTTTTCAGACATGACTCTCATAGTACATTCCCCATCCCCTCACAGTTGGGGTTTATCTACTTCTTTCTCCCCAACTAGGCTGTACCTTCCTTGAGAACAAGAATAAGCAAGTCTTTCTTGACTTTTTATCCCCAGGGCCTAGGACTGTGCCTGGAACACAGTATTTGTTCAATAAATATTTGATAAGTGAATAAAGCAGCCAACTCAAGGGGAAATAAAGTTCAATATAATATGAATTAATATTAACAGCTTGCCCTTTTTCTTTATATTTATCCTTTCCCTCCTCCTCTCGCATTGCTCTCGGCCCCTCCTCTGCTCTTCTCCCTCCCCAAATTCTGTATATAATATTAACAACTATTACTTAAATGGTAAAAATAACATAACCAGTGTCTAGTACAGAGCCTGCAGTATAGCACATTCTCAACAAGTAATTTTTGAATAAAGGAAAGGAAGGAGCCACGAGGGGAAAAAGGAAGGATAATATTCAAAAACTCAGTAGAGATGCTACGTTGCAAGGCTTAATACAGTGTAAAGAAGGTTACTGCCTCACCCTTTCCTCCTTTGCCTTTGATACAAATTTATTATCTGCATATTGAGCTTTTCTCTATAGTTCATTTTGTCTAATTATAATTTTCTAAAAATTAAACATGATTTAAATGAAAGAGATAGAGTTCACATTGCAAAAGATCAACCCTGGTGATCTAGATTGTAGCCCATTTCTCTGACCAAGAAATAAATATGCTCCTTGTCTATCCGACTCTCAGTTTGTAGGGAAATCAATCACACCAAATGATGTTCGAAACCCCAGGAGTGTAGGAAAAGTCAAACCCACACCCACCCATCCACTTCTGGTGGGGACAAAATAAACAGCATATGGAATCTGCATTATGGGTTCAGTTTAATTCAATCAATGTCTGAATATTTGTTTAATTCAATCAATGCCTGAATATTTGTTTCCTGGATGTTTGTTAAATATTTGCATGAGGGAATCGGGTTAATTAATGCATAAAAGTAGTCTGACTTCAGAGTGACTTTTGATATAAGTAGGAAAGAGAAAGCTGGAAATGCTGGCTCTTTATGAAAGTCAATTTCTCTTCTGCGCTGACCAAATAACAGGAAAAATACAAGATTTTGGGTGCAAGGGTTTTTTTTAATTGACAGCAGAAGATATAAGTGGCATTTTCTGTGGGTTGTTAAAACTAATTTGTCAGTGCTAAGCTAGGAATTAATATATTTCTGTGATGGTTTTAGATGCACTTTTTAGTTTTATTTTTAGTTGACAAATAATAATTGTGTATATTTATGGGGTGTAAAATTATATTTTAATACATGTGTACATTGTAAAATTATTGAATCAAGGTAATTAGCATATCTATCACTGCAAATATTTATCCTGTTTGTGGTAACAACATTTACTATCCTCTATTTTAGCTACATTAAAATATACAGTACATTATTATTAACTATAGTCAGGCACTCTTTTTCAATCAATTTTTGCTATTGAAGTTGTCATTGTTCTCATTAAAATGTTTATATAATTGTAAAGAAATAGAGATATAATATTGGCAACTTTGTTTTTATGTACTTTTTAAGATAATTAAGTCCATACAAGCAAAATGCTTCATTTGAGAGGATTTAATTTATTAATGCTAAAACTCACCCAGTCCAGCAAAGTGTTCCAGTAAGTTTCCTCTATGAATTTGGCCACTTGAAGGGTGTTTTTAAGTTGTGACAATGGAGCAATATGTAAGATAGACAACGTGTCTTTTATTTTTCCTATATGCAGGAACTTAGGAGTTTATTCAAACCATTACTATCTCTAAAATTCTAGCCAATGCTTATTCCATAGGATTAGCCCAGGGCTGAGTAGGTCATCCCTGCCCCCTCCATAAAATATCTCCCTTGTCCTCATGTGCCATCATGCTTGAAATTCTCTTTAAAGATTCATTCATTTGGGTTAAACATTATCCTCTGATTAAAAAATGCAAATAAATGAAATAAAACTTGAAGCTACTAACCCATAAAAATCATAAATCACAAGACTGGAAGCAACCCTTGAAATCATCTATTCCCACCTCTGTTCTACAGAGAATCTGTGCCTGATGATAACCCCAGTTAAGCTATTAAAAAATATCAGGGAAGAAAGCAGGGTACAGATAGAGAAGGTAGAGAAGGCCATGAGTGTTGAAGGCAGGGCTCGTCTTAGCCACCATCGTGTGCAGAACTAACTGTTCTACTTAGTTAATGCTACCATATATCTTGTCATCAAAAAGATGGATTTCGAAGACAAAGAGAACCACTATCTTCTGGTGACGTAACTTAGGCAAGATTGTTTTCCCCTTCTCAGCTTTAATTCCTTATTATAAATAAAAATAAAGAAAATATGCCCTTCATGGCTGTTTTAAAGAGAAAATAAAGTAAAATTTTGTGATGTGCTACTTTATTCTTTTATTTTTCTTTTTAAAAAAAGTTATCCTCAAATGCTTGTTAAAAAAAAAAAGGAAAGAAAAAGAAAAAACATCTGGTGCCAGACTTTACCTGAGGGTAGCTTTTATCTAAAGTCAAGTCATTAAACAACCATGTCAGTGGCCACTCACCATAGCACTTCCAAGGGTGTTAATATACTACTCAATTTTATATCAGCTTGGATTTTTAAAAAGAGCTAAACCCACATGATTACACAGAACTACTAGTACGTATGTTCCACAAGGGCAGGGACTTTAGTTTTGTTCATAACTATATACCCAACACCAGCACATAATGGGAGAGCAAAAATAGTCATTGAATAAATGAAGGAATCCTTCTATTTCCCTACAAGATCGAGAGAGGCTTTGTAAGGAAAGAAAAAGAGATCACGACTACAAGTTAAGTTTATTTTATGTAGATATGCAAAGGTTGTAATAATGAAGAAAAATAAGAGAAAAAGAAAAAGCAGCCACCAATGTTTGTAGTGTACCTACTTGTACCAAGTTCTTTTAATCCTCACAAAACTTTCTAAGGTGATATATTTACTTGCCCCCATTCTAAGATAAGGACACTTACGCACAGAGATAGTGACTTCTCTAAAAGATAATACCGTTTGTCGTAACTTTAAAAAAAAAAATTTTTTTTTGAGATGGAGTTTTGCTCTTGTCACCCAGGCTGGATTGCAATGGCACGATCTCGGCTCACCGCAACCTCCACCTCCTGGGTTCAAGTGATTCTCCTGCCTCAGCCTCCCAAGTAGCTGAGAGTACAGGCACCCGCCACCACACCTGGCCAATTTTTCTATTTTTAGTAGAGACGGGGTTTCACCATGTTGGCCAGGCTAGTCTCGAACTCCTGACTTTATGTGATCCGCCTGCCTGAGCCTCCCAAAATGTTGGGATTACAGGCATGAGCCACCGTGCCTGGCGTGTTGTAACTAAAATTTAAACCTAGGATTGTTTGACTGAAAAGTCCATATACTGTTTACCGTATCATGTGTCCTCAAAAATCTAAAATAGAAAAAAAAAAAAAAAACCTGACAAGCCTAAATGCAGAGTGGGAAAATAAGAATAGTAGAATAGCAGAAGACACTTCGACCAAAAAAGAACATATATTCTTCAGTTTTAAAAACCGACATAAGTCTAGCATATATTTCTAGATTTAGAAATACAATAATGAAAACTCATACTATGTCTAAATTTCATTGATTTTAACTTTCAAATTACAATATATTTAACAGGTTATTGATCTGTTCAACGAGTTCACACACATTGATGATCACAACAGAGAAAACCTTGACTAGCAAACTCAATGTTTTCTCTATTAAAATTTTCAGGTGCCTTAGAGTATTCATCTCAATGGTTATAATTAATTTCAGTATCTTCTGCATTAATTCAGTGACTGCAAATTCTGGTAAAGTACAACTGGTGATTCAGTAAATGAATAATTAGGTAAGATAGGAGACTAAACCAGAGACTCTATATTGGCAGCCACTAGTGAAATGTGTGGTTGTGAGAGAAATGTTGGGGAAGTTCATCTAGGTTGCATTGAATGTGTCTGATCAGAGCTTTACCTCAACAGGTTGGGGAAAGTCACACTGTGCCCTGGGGAGAAATAAGCTAAACGGAACTGAATTAAAGTTTATTAGATTGATCAGACAGTATGCTAATAAGCAATCTACTTCCCAAGTTACACTATCTAACTTGATTGAAATGGACATGGCTGACACCTGCAAATGAGTTTTAGACACTTGATGTATAGACATAGAACCTATTTGGGCAAATCCAAACCAAACCAAACTAGGTTAAGCTGATGTGTAAGTCATGTTAATGTTATCTAGACCACATACACAGAATGAAACTCAATGTGATAAATGCAGAACACTGTGATATATGTATCTTGTTAACAAAAAAAAAAAGTATTTAGTTATTTATAAGTCAATAAACATTGTTGAACAATTATCACCAGGTCAAGTTGTAAAGGAAGATTGAACCAATGGAGAATTAAGCAAGATTGCTGAACGTGAAAAATTGGAAATAATAAATGAGCACAATAAAATTGGGCAAGCTTGATCATAAAGTCTAACATCCCTTTCCAACCTAAAATTCTAATACCTCCAGGGTTACACTTACTTTGATCTTTGAAAGATAACTACTTATTATATACCCCTCTGCCTACAAAAAAAAACAACTTGCAAATATTGGCAAAAAAAAGTGAAAAAAGAGAAATTAATAAAAACTTATTTCTGATTTCATAATACAGCTAGGCTTCTGTGGCTAAATTGGAATCTCATTCCCATTTTTGTGTGTACAAGAAGTGTTGTCTAAAAACGATGACCTTCCTCTGTTTTTGAACTAGCCTTACTGACGTATATAATTTGTAGACCACAAATGCAATTGTACAATTCTTTTTTTTTAGTAATGTACAACATTGTGCAATTATCACAACGATCAAGTTTTAGGACATTTCTATTACCCTAAAAAGATCCCTCATGCCCATTCACTGTGAAATCCTGCTCCCACTCTTAGCCCCAGATAACCACTAATTTGCTTTCTGTCTCTATACATTTACCTTTACTGAAAAGTTTATTTAAACAAAGTCAAAGAAGATACAGAAGATGGTAGTCTTTTGTATCTGGCTTCTTTCACCGGGCATAATGTTCTTGAGGTATATCCATACTGTAGCATGTGTCAGTAGTTTGCCCCTTTTGTGGCTGTATAGTATTCCATTGTATGAGTACACCACATTTTGTTTATCCATTTATCACTTGATGGACATTTGAATGGTTTCCAATTTAGGGCTCTTATGAATAATGCTGCTATGAGTATTTGTGCATACAAGTCATGTGGACGTATGTTTGCATTTCTCTGGGGTAGATATTAGGAGTAACATTTCTAGGACATAGAGTAAATTTATGTTTAACTTTTTTTAGAAACTACCAAATTGTTTTCCAAAGTGGCTGTACCACTTTTTATATTCCCACCAGTGATGTGTGAGAGTTTCTTGACACCCTCATCAAAATTTGATATTGTCTTTCTAAGTACACCCACTTTAATGGGTAAATAGTGTGCTGTCATTGTGATTATAATTTGCATTTCCCTAATGAGTCATGATTTTGAGAATCTTTTCACCTGCTTATTAACTTTTGGATATCTTCCTTGGAGAAACATCTATTCAGATATTGCACCCATTTTTTATTTGGGTTGTCTGTCTTATCTTTGAATTGTAGGAGTTATTTATATATTCTGGATGCAAATGCTTTCTTAGACACAAGCTTTCCAAATATTTTCTCCCAGTTATTGTCTTGTCTTTTCATTCTTTTAAAGGTGTCTTTTGAGGAGCTAAAATTTTCTTTTTATAAAGTCCAGTCTATCAATATTTTTTCTTTTATGGATCCTGCTCTTGGCATCACATCTAAGAAATGTTTGTCTAACCCAAGGTTGCACAAAGATTCTCTACTTTTTTGTCTTCTACAAGTTGTATTATGTTATCTTGTACATTACGTTTATGGTTTGTTGTTGTTGTTGTTGTTGTTGTTGTTGTTGTTGTTTTTAGGTGGAGTCTCACTCTGTCAGTCAGGCTGGAGTGCAGTGGTGCCATCTCAACTCACTGCAGGCTCTGCCTCCCGGGTTCAAGCGATTCTCCTGCCTCAGCCTCTTGAGTAGTTGGGATTACAGGTGCACACCACCACACCCATCTAATTTTTGTATTTTTAGCAAAGGTGGGATTTCACCATGTTGGTCAGGCTGGTCTCAAACTCCTGACCTCAGGTGATCTGCCTGCCTCAGCCTCCCAAAGTGCTTGGATTACAAGCGTGAGCCACCATGCCAGCCCATGATTCATTTTTATTTCATTGTGTATGTGAGTTAAGGGTTTATGCTTGCTTTGTACATATGGATATACCATTGTCCCAGCACAATTTGTTGAAAAGGCTATCCTTTCTCCCTTGAATTAGCTTGGCATTTTTGTTAAAAATCAACTGACTATAAATGTAAGGACTTCTAGACTATCCATGCTGCTCCATTGATATATATGTTTATCCTTTCACCAACACCATGCTGTCTTGATTACTGTTGCTTTAGAAAAAGTTTTAAAATTGGGTGCTCTAAGTCCTCCATCTTTTTATTTTTTCAAAATTGTTTTGGTTATTTCAAGTTCTTTGCAGTTCTATATAAATTTGGGGTATTCGTTTTTCAATTTTTACAGAAAAAAACTTTCTGGGATTTTGACAGTGATTGTGTTATATCTATAAACCAATTTGAGGATGATGCCATCTTAACAATACTGAGTCTTACAATCCATTAAATGGTCTTTTTATTTATTTAAACATTCTTTGTTCCCTTTTAGCAAAATTTTACAGTTTTTTTTAATATGTCTTGCATCCCTTGGTTTATTTTTGAATGTTTTTATGCTATCGTGGATGGAACTGATTTCTTAATTTCATTTCTTGTTTTCTAATATATACAAACACAATTTTTTTGTGTCCTGTGACCTTGCTGAACTTGTTTTTAAGTTCCAGGGGGTGTTTTGGGGTGGTTTTGTTTTGTTTTAGTTTTTGTACAATTTTTAGGATTTTCTACATACTAGATCATGTTGCTTTTTGTTTTGTTTTGTTTTTCTTTTTAATAATTTGCCTGGACTCAATCTGGGTAATCTTTCTTCCTCCTGCAGTGTAGGAACTGGTGTCTCTGCTCAATTTTTTTAACCTGGTTTCCCAGGGGTCACCCTGACTTCATAGCAGCCAACCAATACTTGAACTGAGAATGTGTTCAAACATCTTGAGCTAATAAAGTCTTCCACCCTTTGCTGATGGATCAGTGTGTGGGTTATAGAGCACTTTCTAAGGTTCCCCTGGCTTTTACTTTCAACAAAAATCTGGGTTATCGCTCAAGTGAACAGCCTCCCCATCACCCAGGGAGTGTGCAGAGCTTCTCTAGCCCCTGACTTGTCTCATTTCCAGGATCTCCTTATTAAATATTTGGCTTGTCAGCTGGTCTGTTTCTTGCCCTAAACAGGACTATAATATTAGCCTAGGAGAGCTGTGGGCTTTCTTCATTCATTTTCTTCCAAGTTTGTTATTTTTACTGACAACACCACTGGGCTTAAATTTTTTACCCTCCTCTCCATATTAAGCCAGCCTCTCTCACAGTGAAACTGATGTTTTCCACAGTTACTTCTGTCCTGGCTTTACCGCTGCAGCCAGGCTGAGGAAAGAGGGCCAGAGAAGGAAACAGTCCCAGGCAAGAACACCACAAACTCCCACTGTTTTTACCTGATATTCAGCAATTTTTATGAATAAACATTTCTCAATTTGTTGTTTCCCTTTGGTTGATTTCTAGAGGTTATTTTTTACAATTTTATCCAGCTTTACAGTCAGTTTTGAAGAGGACTTGCCAACCTCCTTCTCTCCACCATCAAGGGAAGTGCTGTCTCTAGCTACCTCTGTTTTGTTCCTTCTGTGATGCTCCCTGCTTAACTTGGTTGAATCATCTGAGCCCGTTTAGTGATTTTTATACTTTTTTCTTCACTGTTTTTAGCCATTGATATTATGCTTTTTTTTCCAGAATGCATTTTTTTCATTTTTATACTTGTGGTTTATTATGCATATTTTTCCTTTCTTTCAAGCTACTTAGCATTTGGAAATAATTTGCATCAGAATTTAACTTTGCATACAGGAATATAATGCACAGTTGTTTTCTTCTTTTAAAACAAAGGTAAGGTACCCATGTTTAATCTTTATCAGAATTTTATATATGTTCTTGTCATTTTGAAAAATTATCTGTAACCATCTTATTAGAAAAAAAATGGCAAACTCAAAGGAGCAATTGAAGGGATTTTAGTAAAAGGATCATTTATAAGGTTATAGCATAGTGGTTCTTAACTGGGGGTGGTGTTTTTTCCACTCAGACATGTGGCAAAGTTTGGAGACATTTTTGGTTGTCATGCTGGGAAGTTCCATTGACTTCTAGTGAGTCAGGGCAAAAGACGGTGCTAAACATTTTATACTACACAGCACAGCCCCCACCACAAAGAATTTTCTAACCAAAATATCAATAGTGCCAAGGTTGAGAAGCCATGATTTAAGGAAATCAACAAAAAATTATAAGTCTCTTAGGGCAGGGATCCCCAGGGCAGGGCTCCCCAACCCCAGGTCCGAGGACTGGTACCAGTCCATAGCCTGTTAGGAATCAGGCCGCACAGCAGAAGGGGTGCAGGGTGGGCAAGCTAGCATTACCACCTGAGCTCTGCCTCCTGTCAGATCAAATGGAACAGTTTCATGACAAAACCATCCCTACCCACTTCCCCCGGTCTGTGGAATAATTGTCTTCCACAAAACAAGTCCCTGGTGCCAAACAGGTTGGGAATTGCTGCCTTAGGGAGTCACAAAGGGTGATTATTACCCTTAGGCCCAAAGGATCAAGGTGAGGGGGCTGTTACCAGATCCCA
The DNA here is from genome assembly GCF_000001405.40 of Homo sapiens. NCBI lineage: Eukaryota > Metazoa > Chordata > Mammalia > Primates > Hominidae > Homo > Homo sapiens. The sequence continues at coordinate 156,292,746 of NC_000002.12, forward strand.
GTTAGAGTCACAGTATGGAGAGGGGCCATAAGACAGGGCTGATGCAGCTTGTATAGGGCTTAAGTTTGTACAGTTTCGAGGATTCTCTTTAAGAAAAAGAATATAAAATTATAAATATGAAATTAGCCCTCTCCCTCTCCCTCTCCCTCTCTTTCCATGGTCTCCCTCTCATGCTGAGCCGAGGCTGGACTGTGCTGCTGCCATCTCGGCTCGCTGCAGCCTCCCTGCCTGATTCTCCTGACTCAGCCTGCCCAGTGCCTGCGATTGCAGGCTCGCGCCGCCACGCCTGACTGGTTTTGGTGGAGACGGGGTTTCGCTGTGTTGGCCAGGCCGGTCTCCAGCCCTTAACCGCAAGTGATCCGCCAGCCTCGGCCTCCCGAGGTGCCGGGATTGCAGATGGAGTCTCGTTCACTCAGTGCTCAATGGTGCCCAGGCTGGAGTGCAGTGGCGTGATCTCGGCTCGCTGCAACCTCCACCTCCCAGCCGCCTGCCTTGGCCTCCCAAAGTGCCGGGAGTGCAGCCTCTGCCCGGCCGCCACCCCGTCTGGGAAGTGAGGAGCGTCTCTGCCTGGCCGCCCATCATCTGGGATGTGAGGAGCCCCTCTGCCTGGCTGCCCAGTCTGGAAAGTGAGGAGCGTCTCCGCCCGGCTGCCATCCCACCTAGGAAGTGAGGAACACCTCTTCTCGGCCGCCATCACATCTAGGAAGTAAGGAGCGTCTCTGCCCGGCCGCCCATCGTCTGAGATGTGGGGAGCGCCTCTGCCCCGCCGCCCCATCTGGGATGTGAGGAGCACCTCTGCCCGGCCCCAACCCCGTCTAGGAGGTGAGGAGCATCTCTGCCCGGCCGCCCCGTCTGAGAAGTGAGGAGCCCCTCCGCCCGGCAGCCGCCCCGTCTGAGAAGTGAGGAGCCTCTCCACCCGGCAGCCACCCCATCCGGGAGGGAGGTTGGGGGGGTCAGCCCCCCGCCCGGCCAGCCGCCCCCGCTGGGAGGTGAGGGGCGCCTCTGCCCGGCCGCCCCTACTGGGAAGTGAGGAGCCCCTCTGCCCGGCCACCACCCCGTCTGGGAGGTGTGCCCAGCAGCTCATTGAGAGCGGGCCAGGATGACAGTGGCGGCTTTGTGGAATGGAGAGGCGGGAGGGGTGGGGAAGGGATTGAGAAATCGGATGGTTGCCGTGTCTGTGTAGAAAGAAGTAGACATGGGAGACTTTTCATTTTGTTCTGTACTAAGAAAACTTCTGCCTTGGGATCCTGTTGATCTGTGACCTTACCCCCAGCCCTGTGCTCTCTGAAACATGTGCTGTGTCCACTCAGGGTTAAATGGATTAAGGGCGGTGCAAGATGTGCTTTGTTAAACAGATGCTTGAAGGCAGCATGCTCGTTAAGAGTCATCACCACTCCCTAATCTCAAGTACCCAGGGACACAAACACTGCGGAAGGCCGCAGGGTCCTCTGCCTAGGAAAACCGGAGACCTTTGTTCACTTGTTTATCTGCTGACCTTCCCTCCACTATTGTCCTATGACCCTGCCAAGTCCCCCTCTGTGAGAAACACCCAAGAATTATCAATAAAAAATAAATAAATTTAAAAAAAAAGAAATTAGCCATGAAGATAAATATTTTAAAGTAAAAAATCACAAATGTTTAAAATCTAACAAATACAAACAAAACAAAATCCAGGAAAATGGCGTAATATTTTATTAACAGACATAGCTTTGGAATACTTTTTTCCTTACATTTTCACCTGTTGGTTGCATATCCTGATTGCTTCTTTAGTTTTCTTTTGGTTTGGTTTGGTTTTTTTGTTATTTTTGTTTTTGAGACAGGGTCTCCTTCTGTCACCCAGGCTGAAGTGCAGTGTTACCATCACGGCTCACTGCAGCCTCTACTTTCCTGAGCCCAGGCAATCCGCCCACCTCAGCCTCCCAAGTAGCTGGGACCACAGACACACACCACCATGCTGGGCTAGTTTTGTATTTTTTGTAGAGACAAGGTTTTAACCATGTTGCCAAGGCTTGTCTTGAACTCCTGGCTCAAGTGATCCATCCATCTTTTGTTTGTCTGTCTGTTTGTTTGTTTGTTTCGAGACGTAGTCTCACTTTGTTGCCAAGCTGGAGTGCTGTGGCACGATCTCGGCTCCCTGGTTTAAGCGATTCTCCTGCCTCGGCCTCCCGAGTAGCTGGGATTACAGGCACACACCACCACGCCCAGCTAATTTTTGTATTTTTAGTAGAGATGGGTTTCACCATGTTGGCCAGAATGTTCTTGATCTCTTGACCTCATGATCGCTCACCTCGGCCTCCCAAAGTGCTGGGATTACAGTCGTGATCCATCGCACCGATCCGCGATCCATCCATCTCTTGCTAAGTCGCCCAGGCTGGAATGCAGCAGCCCAATCATGACTCACTATGACCTCAAACATTATAAATTTAAATGTGTTTTTTGTCATTGATAGTTTAGAAAAGTTTTTTACAGCTTTACAATTTATATTGCTGATTATCATACATTATTGTTTTGTTTTGTAGTCAAATTTAGGAAACCTTTCATTAAATTTTTTTCAAGTATCAGCTGTGAGATTACAGGGCATTTCAAGCTTTCTTGTGTAGTGACTAATGTTAAATACTCTGAATTGAACATTAGTCACTACACAAGAAAACCAGTTTGTTATATAGTATCTTATTGTAGGCTTGTAGTATCTTCATCAATGTCAGTAATTCATGTCAAAGCACTAACAGATTTATGTCTTTCTCCAATGAATCTGTATGATTCATTCCTGTTTGTTAATTTGATTATCAAACAATTAAAGAGCCTATTCATTCTTTTTATTCATAATTTATCTCTTCCTCTTAATGAAATTAAGCTTTTGGTAGGATCTGAAATAAACTTTATTTCTCAATATCAGAATAGTTTATATTAATTTAATTACTCAAATTGTCCCTTTTGCTTTATATTTTATTAATTATTTAATACAAATTATCTCTCAGGTGTTTTGTTTTGTTTTGTTTTGTTTTGTTTTGTTTGAAACAGTCTTGCTCTGTCACACAGGCAGGAGTGCAGAGGCACGATCTCAGCCCATTGCAGCCTCGACTTCCTGGGCTCAAGCAATCTGCCCACCTCAGCCTCCCGAGTAGCTAGGACTACAAGTGTGCTCCATGACACCTAGCTAATTTTTGTATTTTTAGTAGAGACAGGGTTTCACCATGTTGCCCAGGCTGGTCTCAAACTCCTGGGCTCAAGCAAACCACCCACTTCAGTCACCCAAACTGCTAGAATGACAGGCGTGAGCCGCTGTGTCCAGCCTGTCCGTCAGTTTTTAAATAAACATATAGAAAGATAATAAAAGAAAGTATCCTTCATTTATGCCCTAATCAGGAGTCTCAATTTTCTCACATGCTTTATTAAAATGTTCTAAAATGTCTTTTCAAATATACTTCTCAACTTCAGAATATTCTTTTCCTATTAACAAAAACATATGACCATGTGAACACACTGTTGGAACCTCTCTGTGGGCCTTGGATTGGCCTATACATGTGATGGGCTCTGACATGTAAATTTCATTCATTTCATGGAAATTCTCATCTAAATGCTGTCACTCCAAAATCTTGGTACAGATAGGAGAAGTCAGGGAAATAAATACCTCAACCTCTCTCTATTGCTGCTGCCTTCTATTGGCCAAACCCAACCAGAATTCAGAGGGTAAGGAAGATTTAATGATGCAGTTTGTCTAAGGCAGCCTCCTGGGTCATAGAGCAGGGCCAAGGATTAAAGACCAGGTCTGGAGGGCTGAACAGAGAATAAGAAAAGCAGTTAATTGTCTTTGAATAACTACTGTCTTCTAAAACTTCTATTTTGCAGCATTTATGCCTTATTTCGGCCTTCTGTGCTTGTGTTCATAGAGAAGAAAAGCAAAATAAAGAATATGATTGGCACTTACTCACAGAAATCACTTCCTCAAGAAGCACCTGCTAGCCTAAGTATGCCTGTGAATACTGTAAAATCTTGGTTCAGCAAAACATATTCATCCCCTAATACATTCACATATCATAATCATTTTGAAAGCTTCAACACATGTCTTCTAATGGTGTCACTCTATATAATGAGATATGCAAATTAGAATGTTATAGAGAGTCTTAATTGCATTATATCATTCAGAGTTGTAAATGTTCAGCTAGTTAAAGCCCAGGTAGGGCAATAAGAAGAAGAAAAGAAAAAAAGAAATATTCTTTTGGCTGTTTGACCCAAAAATGAAATAGACTTACATTGCTAATGGGCATATTAATATGCTTCTCAGACATCTATTGTAACAGTGGGTTAACAGGGATGGCCTCAAGAGATGTATCAGCGTTTCTTTATAAATGCTTTATGAACCCTGGCTTCAGTGTTTTGGGGCCCCCAGGCACTATTTCATATATTGTTTTAAAGCTTATTATAAACCCAAAGGAATTAAAAAGGAAAACTTAAATCAAATATGGGTTGTCAGGTAGAGTATGGTAAGGTATAAGCATATCTGCTACAAAGAAAATGTGTTCCTTCATATACTTTACATGTAACTAAATTATTTCTAAAATGTGATTTTTCCACAATTCTAAATTCTGATGTGATTTGGGAAGATATGAAATTGATCTTGGGAACCTTTCTCCATGTGAAAATAGGTGGATTCTTTCAGGTATTACCAACTTCTAAGCAAGCAAGGAATCTCTAACAGATTGTCATACAAGACCACAGTCACATGTCAATCCATTTTTATATCTATATCTCTGCCATGCACTACTCTATGTCTGCAAGATCAGATTCTAAGAACAGTAGACTATTGAAATAAATAATATCCCAGATAGCTCTGTTCTTCGTTTAAAAACTACTATCATCCTCTCCAATAACTACTCCCATTTCACTCCACCATCAAACTCCCATCACAATCACCACTATTACTATGCCTATTACTAAGAAGCCACTGTGCCAGGGCCATGTTCTTTCAGATTGCCTTTTTCTTGCTCACTTACTGTAGTCTTTTGGATGCTCTCTGTCTGCAATAACTTGTTTTCAGTCCCACACATGTCTATTCAGTCATGTTGAAATTAGTGAAATTTCCCTTAAGATAATACAACTGTATAATTTGATACTTGAAAAAAAGCATGCATTTGTTCTCTTACCTAATGAGCAGTAACACTTGGTTGTTTCACCATTATTTCACATTGAATGCATTCAAAATGATCTGATTGGCTTTCCAAGACAAGACAACTGAATTGAGTCCTATATTTCTGTCAATAGCATTATTTTCACATTTGTCAAATCTCTTAATTTGTTATTTGTTCTTTTTTCCATCTTATTCATGCTCCATAGCAAATTAATCCATAGGTTACATTGGAGTTTCTCTCTAAATGTTTCTCACATTCCATTCCCTTCCCTGTCATTCCCTATCAAGACCAACATGCGCCATTTCATGCCTAGTTTATTGCATGAGTTTCATAAATCACTTCCATTCAATCTATTCTACAAATTGCTTCCAAATTAGTATTCCAAAAATACAATTTTTTTTGCCACTCCTCTGCTGAAATTCTTTCGTGGATGTCCAATAACTAAAAACAATAGTTCAAACTCCTCAGTTTAGAACATGTTTCACTTTTTCAAAATCTATCCCATGTCAGAATTCTCTCATTCCCCTAACTGTCCCAGGATTGGCATGGGCAATCTGCACCAGAGGCAAGTCAGAGTACAACAAATAATGCACTCAAATTCAGAGGGGCAGGAATCAAAGCCAAAGACACAAAAATTTAGAGTTTAAACCCAGTGGAGAGACACCTACAAGTGGATCAGAATCAAGGAGCAGTTCCTAAGAATGAAAGACCTTATTGATTTACATGATCAAAGCCAAGGAAGATGGCCCTAATCCAACCTTCAAATCTTCACTTTCATATGCTACCCAATATAAGGTTTCCACTGAGGGCAGCAGTGGTTCTCAGACTACCTACAATACTTGATAAAACAGATTTCTTGTTAAAACTACCTATCTACAATACTTGTGTCTCTGAACTACCTACTATACTTGTTAAAACACGTTTCTTCTTAAAATTCCCAGAGTTTCTGATCCAACAGATGTGGGGTCAGAAAATTTGCATTTCATTTCCAAACAAGTTCCTAGGTAAGGCTGATGAAGCTAGTCTGGGGAGCATACTAGCTTCAGTGTGAGAATCACTGCCCTAGGTATACACATTCTCTGCTCTCTCTTAAATGTAAAGACCCATTCTGAACTCCTACAAACTGGCTAGGATGGCCACTCCACTTCAACCAATATACAGCCTACTCAGACTACAATCTTACATGTAACTCTCTTTTCTTCTGGTGCTTACATATTTATTGTTTGTGTCTCTAGCACTGTTTTGTTTTGTTTTGCATTTTAAGAGACACAGAGAGAGAGTTATTGAAAGTACACATGGTAAACTTGGATCCTAATCTTGCCTCCTTGGACTCTTATCCTGTCTCCAATGCTGTGATTTTAACCAAATAATTTAAGCTCTCAAGGTCTCTTTTCTCATTTGTGAAACAAGGATAATAATATACCTTTATTTTGTGCAAAGATACCAAAATTTTGTTAGTTTTTCCACCTCTACTAGTTACTTTCCAGATACATAGTCTTGGTATTATGACTACCATTTGGAGCTTTTCCCTGCCTTCCCAATTCTGGAGGTCAACATAGCCACAAAACATTTGTTTTATGGGACCTTATAAACCCTAGTTATAAAATTTCCAAAGTAAAAATGCTCTGGTGATCGTTAAATGTAACCACTTCGTTTGAACTCATTGTCAGAAATAACAAATTTGGTACATGATATATCAGACTCAATGCACTTTTTCGATCCCACCTTCTCAGGTAAAAGCTTTCATTGAGGTGAAAATGTTGTTGACATGGTGTGAATTGGTGTAGTTAGTGGAGAAGGCGGTAATTTGGCTAAGAAAGTCAGAGAAACACCACACAGGAATTCTTCTTTAAAAATATAAATTCTATCATTACTTAGCCCATTATTATATCTTTGCTTCTCTTAGTCTTAAAATTCAGTGGCCCTGGCAATCTATTGCTCAGTAGGAAACTTCTTAACAATCATTTTATTATGCTTGTGATTCTATGCATCAGGAAATCTGGGCAGGGCACAGCAGGAATGGATCGTCTCTGTTCCATGATGTCTAGGATCTTACCTGGGATGGCTCAAATGGGTGTATTATAGATGGCTGGGATAATTCAATTGGGACTGCATGTCTGGGGCCTCATATTCTTAATGTGGCATCTGCTGGGGCTGGAATGTTTACAATGAGTTTCTTCACTCACATGCCTGGCATTTGTGCTGGGGTCACTAATCAACTGGGGGCTTGTCTGCATCTCTCTCTCTCTCCACACATCTTTCTGCATGACTAACTTAGGCTTCCTTCCAACATGGCTGTCCAGGGTTAACTTCAAACATTTCTGAGCAGTAACAATTCATCTCTTCTTCACTTATGATGCAAAGTTCTCACATGCTCCTATAAACACACGCTTTTCTTTAGTCCATGTTTTATTTTGTGTTATGCCTCTCACTTCTTAACATCATATTAAATCCTACTTATATGGTCTGAATGTTTGCATACCCCTAAAATTCACATATTAAAACTTAATCCCCAATGCAATTGTATTAAGAAGTGGGGCCTTTAGGAGGTGATTAGGTCATGAATGGGATTTGTGCCCTTATACAAGAGAGTTGAGAAAGCTTGTTTGCCCCTTTTGCTGTGTGAGGACACAGCAAGATAGTGTTATCTATGAAGCAAGAGAGTAAGCCCTCACCAAATATTGACCTTGATCCTGGAATTTCCTGCCTCCAGAACTGTAAGCAATAAATCCCTATCGTTTATGGGTTACCCAGCCTAAGGTATTATGTTCTAACAGACTAAGACACACACTGTGCATTGAATCCCAAAACCAGCTCTGATAAATACCACTGTAATATCATAGTAAATATTTGATCAAAATTAGGCAGCACATCTACTATAAGTAATCACAGTACTTTCAGAGGCTCACACCTGTAATCCCAGCACTTTCAGAGGCTGAGGTGGGAGGATCACTTGAGCTGGGAGTTCGAGGCCAGTCTGGACAACAAAGGAAGACCTTATCTCTTCAAAAAATAAAAAATAAAATGTTTAAAAATAAGACAGGCATAGTGGCACACATCTGTATTCTCAGCTATTCAGGAGGCTGAGCGGGGAGGATGGCTTGAGCCTGGGAGGTCAAGGCTATAGGGAAACGAGATCATGCCACTGCACTCTAGCCTGAGTGACAGAGCAAGATCCTGCTTTTTTAATTAATTAATTTTTAAAAACAAACAAACTAAAAAAGGGAGCAATAGCTCTGGTCCCTAACTACCAAGTGTCAGTGTCAAATCCTGGCTTCAACACTTGTTGGCTGGGTGATTTGGGGCAAATTACTTACTCTCACAGTGCTTTAGTTTCCTCACCTCTAAAATGAAGAATATAAACATACCCTCTTTACAGAATTGTTCTGATGATTAAATGAGTAAATGCACATAAAGGATTCATCGTAAGCACTCCATCAATGATAGTTGCAAATAATTACTCATTGATTAATAACTGGCCTGTTCTCAAAAGGTTTAAACAAGCCAACTGAATAATAAGACGTTATACATGTAAACTAATTTCATACTTATGATATTATCTTTCTAGGAATAGTAAACAAAGCAAGTATCTCCTGAACAAGGAAAAACAATGATTCTCATCTGTAACTACTATCAACTAAAATCAAATTTTTTAAAGACTCACTACTGAGAAGTGACAGCTACTGGTGAGAAAAAAAAATTCAACAACTAAAAAAAAACACAACAGTGTGGATTCCCTGTTTAGTTGTCTATATTTCCCACTAGATGAGCAAGCACTATGTCTATCTTTTTCATTTTAATTCCTGCTCTAGCATATTGCCTGGCACATACTAGGTGCTCAATACATTGTAAAATGAAATAACACTAAAGTCTTGAGTAGCAGAGTTGATTGTACAAAATAATAAATTCATATTTGTCTCAGTAATTTCTTTTGTGGAGTGATTTTTCAATATAGTTATTCTACACATCAAATTATATTAAGTTCTGACATATGTTTTAGGCCAACTCAAGACAATGAAAGTAACAAGGCCATGTATGCAATGTTGTTTGCAAGTTGGAAAAGGGTTGTACACCTTGTGAAGATTTCGTACACACATATGCAAAGATTAGAAGTATTTTTAAATAACTTCTATAAGCTTCATTTGTCTGGAAAAAAATTATATATCCAGATTTTTTCATTTTACAACAGTGTGAAATAAATATGCCTCTCCCCTGTGCATACTTCCTTGCAGGCACTGCTCATGATGTAGTGTCTCTGTTGATTTTTTCTGAATGCTTCATTAGACTAAGAGTCTATGTCTTTCATGTTTGTGTCTCCCGGTATCTGGTATACAGAAGAAATCTATACGTTATTTGTTTAATTAATTCACTAATACCTTATTTTCTATATGAATTTCCCCTTTAGGCATATTTCACCACAGAAAAAAATCATATTTATGTAAATCAACATCTTCAAATAAGAATGAAAATGACTCGGTTTTCATTGTCAGTGACCACCCATGGCCCTCCAGATAACGTTAACAATATTTACAGGATCTTGTGTGATTTGACTCCTGCTTCTGTCTCCATACCCATTTTGTGCCATTTTCTACCTCACAATGTCTCTCAGACTCCAAGTGGGATGTGTTTTATAAATTGGCTAACCAGGAATTCCTTGAATTGGATCAAAAAGAAAAACTTTAAGTCTCTAGCTAGCCTATTATTTTACAAAGGAATTTGAGGTAGTAATTTTTTTGTCTGGTAGGGATCAAGAAGAAAGAATGCAGCTTACTCTACAAGGGCTTCAGTGATGGCTCCTTTCTCTGATTTTTGATTGTTCTAAACATGATATTATCTCGTCCTTGAATTATAATTTATTTTGATTAGAGATTGATTCTTTCTTTAGTAAGTTACGTATAACCTTGAAATAGATACATGGGCAGCTACAAATACATGATTTTTAAACAATAGACATTACATTTGTTTTTTACCATAAAATTTCAATGAAATATAAATGGCATGATTTTCATGGACATATTTGCTTTTTTCTAGCCATAGTTGAGTGCTTTACACACCTTCATGCAATAGCAATTTACCTATCCTTGTTTTAAAGGATGAAATCTTCACTTTTGTTCAATCTATTGCATTGTCTAATTCTTTGAAAAACAAATGCTTATTTTTAATATGAGCTAGATTTTCATATGTGCCAGCATTCATTTGCTCTTCCTCTTACATAAAAGATCATAGTTTAAATATATGAATATTTTCATATAGCATTTGTGTTTTTCTTTTCTCTAAGAAAGATTGAGCATTTACATTACGCTGCTTGAAAAAAAATAGCATGAAATGGACACTTTTTGATGTATAAATAAAATAGTTTTTGGAATAACACTGACGTTTCTCTTTCAAAATCCCTTACCCCTGATTTTTTGGTTTACCTTTACAGAAACTTCAAATGAACAATTATGACATGCAAAAATAATAATAATAATAAAGTCACATTCTACAAACATCTGCCTACAGAAAAATTCATAGCCTTCAAGTGGACCATGCAATCTGATGCTCTGAAATGTGACCCAGACACACAAAAGCTGCCTTTAAAACAGAACACATACCGGGCACAGTGGCTCACGCCTGTAATCCCAGCACTTTGGGAGGCCGAGGCAGGTGGATCACGAGGTCAGGAGATCGAGACCATCCTGGCTAACACGATGAAACCGTGTCTCTACTAAAAATACAAAAAATTGGCCGGGAGTGGTGGCACGCACCTGTAGTCCCAGCTACTCGGGAGTCTGAGGCACAAGAATTGCTTGAACTCGGGAGGCGGAAGTTGCAGGTCACACTAAGGCACTCCAGCCTGGGAGACAGAGCAAGACTCTGTCTCAAAAATAAAATAAAATAAAATAAAATAAAATAAAATAAAATAAAATAAAATTGGAACACAGTAACACTTTGTGGCTCCAGGTTATCTTTTGCAAAAGATTTGCCAGCAGCAAAATACATAACGAATCTGAGTCTGAACTTAAGAATCTGAAACTAACAGGTGATACAGAGAAGCCCAAATGGACCTCTTCATAAAGAAACCAGGGAGAAAATTTTTGCAATCTACCCATCTGACAAAGATCTAATACTTAGAATCTACAAGGAACTTAAACAAATTTACAAGAAAAAAAACAAACAACCACATCAAAAAGTAGATGAAGGATATGAACAGAAACTTCTCAAAAAAAGACATTTCTGTGGCCAACAAACATATGAAAAAAAGCTCATCATCACTGGTCATTAGAGAAATGCAAATCAAAATGACAATGAGATACTATCTCATACTAGTTAGAATGGCAATTATTAAAGTCAGGAAACAATAAATGCTGGCGAGGCTGTGGAGAAATAGGAACGCTTTTACACTGTTGGTGGGAGTATAAATTAGTTCAACATTTTGGAAGACAGTGTGGCGATTCTTCAAGTTTCCAGAGCCAGAAATACCATTTAACCCTGCAATCCCATTACTGGGTATATACCCAAAGGATTATAAATCATTCTACTATAAAGACACATGCACACATACGTTTATTGCAGCACTATTTACAATAGCAAAGACTTGGAACCAACCCAAATGTCCATCAATGATAGACTGGATAAAGAAAATGTGGCACAAATACACCATGGAATACTATGCAACCATAAAAAAGGATGAGTTCATGTCCTTTGCAGGGACATGGATGAAGCTGGAAGCCATCATTCTCAGCAAATTAACACAGGAAAAGAAAAGCAAACACCACATGTTCTCACTCATAAGTGGAAGTTAAACAATGACAACACATTGACACAGGGAGGGGAACATCACATACTAGGGCCTGTCGGGGGGTGGGGGACAAGGGGAGGGAGAGCATTAGGGCAAATACCTAATTCATGCAGGGCTTAAAACCTAGATGACAGGTTGATAGGTGCAGCAAACCACCACGGCACATGTATACCTATGTAACAAACCTGCACCCTGCACGCTCTGCACATGTATCCCAGAACTTAAAGTAAAAGAAAGAAAGAAAGAAAGAAACGAGGCAACATAAGGATATTTTCAAAGAACCAAATGTTATCAGCTACCAATTTGTAATGACAGAAAAGAATATCAAAATCCTTTAAAACCCTTGTCTTCTCAACACAGGTCAGTTATGCACAGGTTGTTTGTTTTTTTGTTTTTTGTTTTTTTTTACATGAACCATTATTGAACAAGTTTGCATTCTTTACAGCAGTACATATTTTTAGTTTCAATATAATTCCTCATTATATGAGCAAACTTTTCTCATTTTATAAAGTTTTCAAGGATTTAAAAATTTAAAGTCTTCATACACTATTTATTCTTCCACAATAGCATTTAAAAAAAAACTAAGTCATTCACATGGGAAAAACTGGAACTCTTGATCCTAGGTTGAGTCACATGTGTGGAGCTGATTTATTCCTGCTTCTCTCTTCTCACTAATCAAAACTGATTATTAGTCATTCCTTGAGACTTTCATAGCCAAAGGCTGTTGAACCAATCTTGATAGATTTTCTTTATACTCTGTACTTGATGCATTCTTCAAGAAAGGCAAAACATGTTAGAAAATAGTAAGTGACAAATAGGTTTTCAATTAATACATTATAAAACACTCAGAAATAAAATGCTGCTTGTTGCATGATTATAAAACCAATTCTTAGGATGATCATCATTTTTAAAATATAGATTACAGTGGTAGAAAATATTCAGAAGCCACAGGATTAAAATAAGGGATGAGTATCAAAGCTATCTATAGATTCAATGCAATCCCTATTAAAATCCCAATACCATTTCTTACAGAAATATAAAACATAAGTCTAGGCCAGGCATGGTGGCAGGCGCCTGTAATCCCAGCTACTTGGGAGGCTGAGGCAGGAGAAATTGCTTGAACTCGGGAGCTGGAGGTTGCAGTGAGCCGAGATTGCACCATTTCACTCCAGCCGGGGCGACAGAGCCAGACTCCATCTCAAAAAATAAATAAATAAACAACAAAAAATAACACACATTCTAAAATTCACATGGAACCACAAAAGGCCTTGAATAGCCAAAAAAAAATTTTTTTGAGAAAGGAGAGAAAGAGGAGAAGAGAAGAGAAAGCTGGAGACATCACAATTCCTGATTTCAAAACATATTGTGAAGTTATAGTAATTAAAGTAGTATATGGCCAGAGATGGTGGCTTGGCCAGGCACAGTGGATCACAACTGTAATCCCAGCACTTTGAGAGGCCAAAGCGAGCAAATCACCTGAGGAGGTCAGAAGTTTGAGAGCATCCTGGCCAACATGGGGAAACCCCATCTCTACTAAAAATACAAAAATTAGCTGGGTGTGGTGATGCATGCCTGCAGTCCCAGCTACTCAGGAAGCTGAGGCATGAGAATCGCTTGAACCCGGGAGGCTGAGGTTGCAGTGAGCCGAGATTGCATCACTGAACTCCAACCTGGGCAGCAGAGTAAGACTCCATCTCAAAAATAAAAAATAAACAAAAGTAGCATAGTACTGGCATAAAGACAGACATACAGACCAATGGAACAGAATAGGGATCCCAGAAATAAATCTACACATACATATATACAACTCATCTTCCACAAGGGCACCAAGAATACTCAGTAGTAAAAGGACAGTCTCTTCAACAAATGGTGTTAGGAAAACTAGATCTCCACATGCAAAAATTGGACCCTTATCTTACACTGTACACAAAAATCACTATAAATGGATTAAATATTTCAACATAAGACCTGAAAGTATAAAACTTCTAGGAAAAAATTTAGAGGAAAAGCTTCATGATACTGATCTTGGCAATTTTTTCATGGATATGACCCCAAAACCTCAGGCAACAAAAGTGAAGATAGACAAATGGGACTAAATCAAACTAAAAAGCTTCTATACAGCAAAGCAAAAAACCAACAGAGTGAAAAGGCAACCCACAGAACAAGGGAAAGTATTTGCAAACATATACCTCATATACCTGATACAGGGTTAATTTCCAAAATATATAAGGAACTCTTACAATGCAATAGCAAAAGAAAAAAAAAAGACTGACAACCCAATTAAAAATGAGCTGAAGACTTGAATAGACATTCCAAAGACATACAAATGGCCTACAGAAAAGATATTCAAGGTATTAATCATCAGAGAAATGTAAATGAAAACCACAATGAAATCCAACAGCCTCACACCTATTAGGATAGCTATTATCAAATATAAACAAGAGAAATGTTGGCAAGGATGTGGAGAAATTGAAACCTTGTACACTATAGGTGAGAAATCAAAATGGTGCAGCTGTACCTGGCACAGTGGCACACGACTGTAGTCCCAGCTGCTTGGGAAGCTGGGGCAGAAGGATTACTTGAGCCCAGAAGTTCAAGCCTGCAGTGAGCTATGATGGAAGTACTGTACTCTAGCCTGGGTGGCAAAGCAAAATCATGCTGAAAAGAAAAGAAAAAAAGGAGAGGAGAGGGAGAGGGAGAAGGGAAGAGGAGAAGAGAAGGGAAGGGAAGAGAAGAGAAGAGAAGAGAAGAGAAGAGGAGAGGAGAGGAGAGGAGAGGAGAGGAGAGGAGAGGAGAGGAGAGAAGAGGAGAGAAGAGAGGAGAAGAGAGGAGAAGAGAGGAGAGGAGAGGAGGGGAGGGGAGGGGAGGAAGGGGAGGGGAGGGGAAGGTGAGCTACCTTGAAAGGATGGAGGAAATTGAAATGAAAAGAAGGAGGGGACAGTAGAAATAGCTTGGAAGACAGCCTATTTCTCAACTTTCATAATGAGAAGTAAATAAATAATGTCCAAAATTGAGAAATCAAGAAATAAAAATGTAATCAATATGTTTAGAAAAACCACTGAAAGTGATTCCTTCTAGGAAGAGAGACTAGGAAATGGGGAGAGGTAATGTCAAGAGACTCCTGTACTTATAAGCGTTTACTAATGATTTAATTTATTTAAATCATATAAATATACTGCTTTAATTAAAAATTAATTCATATATTAGGAGAAAAGTATATATTGTATGTATTGTAACAGGAGTAAGGAAAAGTTCTTAGGTTCTTGAAGTTCTTACATTGCCTGGTGTAGCACATAGATGAAAAAAACCAAGATGAGGTATTTAGAGTTTCTAATAATTAGTCTGTCTCCACAGCATCTATTGCCACCATCCTAATGCTCAAACCTGTGTAGCCAGAGTGATTTTTATAAAAATATAATCAGTTTTATTTCCCAATTCAAGGTTCATAAATTGCTTCCTATTGCCTATCTGTCAAAATATAAAATAAACTCCTTTATATGGTGTCTTAGTTTATTTTCTGCTGCTATACCAGAATCTGGGTTATTTATGAAGAATAGAAGTTTATTTTGGCTCATGGTTCTGGAGGTTAGGAAGTCCAAGGGAATGGCACTGGCAAGAGTCATCCTGTAATGGAAGGCATTACATGGTAACCTGTCAAGAGAGGCAGAGAGAGAAAATGGAGCCAAACTCATCCTTTTTATCAGGAACTCACTTCCAAGTTAAATAATTTACTCCTCAGATAACAGCATTAATCCCTTCATGAAGGCAGAATTCTCATGGTCTAATCAACCCTTAAATGTCCCTTCTCTCAACACTGCTGCATTGAATTCAGTTTCCGACACATAGACTTTTGGGGAGCACATTTAATCTGCAACAAATGGCTTGCAGAATCTAGGTTCTTTATATCAGTCCAACTTCATTTTCCATTAACACCTCTTGAGTTTTATATACACCAGTATTTCCCAGAAAAATCCCAGATCTCATATCTTTATGCCTTCAATTTTTCATTTCCTTCTTATCTAAGAAGCAAACTCCTACCTTTACTACATCCAACATATGGCTCATAGGCCCCCATTAGAGTTCTTTACATATTGTGTTGAAAGTGTTTGTTTTCATGTATGTCTCCCTTACAAGGTTGTAAGATGGCTCAGATAAGTGACCATGGATTTTATTTGTCTTCCCAGTATCCCTACCCTCTCACACATAGAGAATTTGCCATCAAAATTGATCAAATAAATGAATCCAAAAGAGGATCTTTACATAGAATAGCAGTACAAACCAAGAAGTACAACGGGAGAATCAATAAGGGGGAAAAGCAGAATTGAAATACAAAGTAATTGTATTCTCAGAGCCCAATAAGATTGCAATAATCAAAGTAATAATAGCTTACCAGGAATTAATCACTAATCAGGCATTGTTCTAAGCATTTTCTACATTTAAACCTCGCAATTACCCTAAGAGAAGATCATATTTTTATTTCATTTACTGATGAAGAAACTGAAGCATAGATAGGATAGGAAAATTGCCCATGGTAACAGTTAGTAAGTGGCAATGCCCAATAAACATAGATGTTTGGTCATTTACCAGTTGTATTAGTCCACTGTCACACTATCTAAGACTGGGTAATTTATGAAGAAAATAGGTTTAAATGACTCACAGTTTCACAGACTGTACAGGAAGCATGGCTGGGGAGGCCCCAGGAAACTTAAAATCATAGCAGAAGGGAGAAGTTAAAGCAAGCACCTTCTTCCCAGGGAGGAGTGGGGAAGGGGGAGAGAAGAGGGAAGTGCTACAACACACTTTCAAACAACCAGATCTCATGAGAATTCTATCATAAGAACAGCAAGGGAGAAGTCCAACCCCATGATTCAATCACCTCCCACCAGGGCCCTCCTCCAACACTGGGTTCAACATAATATTTGGGTTGGGACACGGAGCCAAACCATATCACCAATGATGCCTAGTTTTACTTCAATGCTCATACAAAGTGCCAAAAATCCCAACCTATCTTATAGGTGATACGATGCATTGCATTATTGAGTTATACAGTAACTACTATTTTGCATTTGGTCAACTTTCACATTCATATCCAAATCTTTGGAACTGTTCCCCTAGTACTCCAAAAAGATTCTAAAGCTACCATTCCACTGGAGGCTACTTCTTTCATTCTTTGTAATTAAAATAAAATATGTAATTTTCAGCAAGGTGACTAATTAAATTCCCAAAGTGCTCCTAATATAAACACAAACTAGGCTGACCCTTCCCTTGAAAACTCCAAACTGATCAAGACAAAAGGGAGGAAGATATGTAAACAGAGTCTGGTATACACTTATGGAAAATAAAAAGCTCAAAGACAAGAGTTCGCCCTACTGAACATGCCAATTCCTATTTCCACATGCCTCAAGACCCTGGACCCTCAATGGGAGTTCAAAGTCCTCAGAATGATGCAAAGCTGGGCACTGTGGCTCTGTCTACTTGCTTATGTTTTATCTCTCTGACCTGGCCTGTTTTAAGCAGATGAACCCTGAACCTGCAAATAAAGTTTTAGTTTAATTATGAAACAAATGTTTTGCTTGTCTTTGGTTAGGTATACCATTATTTATGCCCTAATTAGTGTCAGAGCAATTTAGTATCTGTATATATAATAATATATGTTGACTGCCTCAAGCATTTTTTCTGCATTGTGTGCATCCTTAGAACATGTCATTATTTATAAATCCACCAAGAAAGTGTTAAGCAACAAAGCTCACCATTGTCAAAAACTCTCACATTCATATCAACTTAAATATTTCTTATTCCTTGGAAAAAAATCAATGGAAGTTATTCACATATGTTAAAGAATCATCTCAAAAAACTACTTTTTCTATAAATAAATACATTTTGTATAAGTAAGCCAAATGTACATAATGTAATTTAGCTACACTTGGCATCCTAAAAACACTTGGGAGAGTATTCACTAAATCATTCACTAAATGCTATAATATTCTGTCACTGTATCATAATATTTTATATGCAAAATATGCCCTTCCTAAAGTGGGCCTAAAAACAGTCATTTCTGAGACGTTTATCTGGAATATAAATGTGTTAATGCACTACAGGGTAAAACACTGGAGTGCCTAAGAATTTCCACTGAGCCCCAGAAATTTATCAAAAGATAAATCTTTCCTTCCTTTTAATGGGATATTCAAAGTAGTTAGCATCTAAATATTAAAGTGTTCATAAAAATTTTTTCAAATTCCTATCCCTTGACAGGTTACCCTTTGTTTAGTTGGAGTTAAAATGGAACATTGTCTGTGGCATCCAAGGGAAGCAGGACAATATTGGGCAAGAGAAAAAAGATAGCCTTAGTCAACCTGGTGAGATCACTTCAAGCTTTATCATTTTACAATTCAAGAAACAAACAAGTGCTTATCTTTCTAAGAAGATAACAAATGTTAACTGCTTCAAAATGAATAAAATTCACAAAATAGGCATTATAAATATTGTGCAATGATAATAATAATAATAATGTTTTCAATTAAAAAACTGGCAACAAAAATCAACCCCCCTCCTCTCTCCACATTGGAAGTTTTAAATTCGCAAATAGTTACAGCAGAAACGTTTCATGTTAGAAAAGTTTATAATTAGTCTTATAAGAAAAAGTCAATGATTGCAGCTTTCTTTAATTAATTTTTTGTGCAAAAGTAAGGTCATTTTTCTATCGAATCACTAAGACAGTAACACAAGTAAAGCAGTTTAACAAATATAAACGTTTGCTTACAGCATAGTCTACCTGTGTAATCTCTTCTCTATCACTTTTTAAGACAGAAATGATTAAAGTAAATATCTGGGCTGAAGAGTTTGCTAAAATAAAAACAGAAATTATAACCATTTACAAAATGAAGAAAATACATACTGAAATCTTACAGCATCTTCTCCACTTAATAAAACTGTCTAGTAAACATCATTCATTGACTTTTACTAAGACAATGCAGTTTTTAAAACTGATTATTTTTTAATAGATAATAATAATAAATAAAAACACTTGGGATCTCTTACAGCAGAGTAAAAAGGTACCATGTAACATTTTGTCAACTTGAAACTAAAATTATGTGGAAAGTTTTGGTATAACATACACCTAATAGAAATTTAAAGATAGTACAAATAGAACCAGTTAGATATAACTGACCATAAACCGTCACATATGTACTGGCTAACACAACAACAATAATCCTTTAAAAAAAATAAAAACAAACGTTGGGATTTTTTTTCTTTTTTTCTTCCAATCAGTACAGTAAATGCAACAGAATTCAACGTTCACTACCTAACTTAAGAGAAAATATCTATGTGCACCTCCAAAATGATACCTCACTGTTAGAAGCTTAAATTATAAGTACAGGAAGTATCAGTTCAAATAAAGACAGACTATAAGTCAGTACTATCATGGAATCATACGCAGGATCCTATCCAGAAATAATTACACTCAGCCTTCTGCAGCATGCACACCCTGGAAGCCTGCATATGTTGGCTTCTCAGCAGCCTGACAGCAGGCAGTTTCCAATTGCATGGAGAAGTGGAGAGAGCTCATGTTAATGAGATTCTCCTTCTGCATCTCTCTACCTCACATACTGCATCTTCTAGCACAGGAAAATCACTCTCCTACTACGACAGAGAAAGCAGGAGATCCTTATGGGCCTTCAGTTCACTTACATTTTTTCTTTTTCTACCATTAATGTTTTTTAAGGCATTTATGTTCCTCCTTGACACTAGAAGAAATCTTTTCCTTTGCTTGGCTTCTAAGATAGGATGGTTTGTAATATCCTTTCCCTCACTTCTATGCTTATATAACTTAAAGTGGCCACTTCATTTCATTCATTCTTTTTCCTTCCTAGTTGAGCCATGTTTCAGAAGGACAAGACAGGAAAAATAGTAATCAAGGACAAATAAGAACACTTCTCACTTCTTTTATCAATTTGATAGTGAAGATTGTCCCATCAACATCATTATGAGGACAATTGCTTCATGAGAGGAATATTTTATTAAAAGAAAACATTAGAATCCTCTTATTACACTGACCAAGCTAAGATTACCCTACTATAGAATATATGGTTGAGAGTACATGTAATGCTAAGAAGAGCTGGGAAAGCAGGAATGGTCCTATTTTTAGGACAGCTTCATTTAACATTCACTCTGACCTTTATTGGAATGTGTCATATTTAATTTAAACTACATAGGAAGCTCCTCACATTCTAAATTGAAGTAAACTATTGGGTTTTCCTTTCTTTTCCTCCTTCTCATCTGAAAGTTTTCCCAGTAGTGAATAAGCAGTTTCTTTTTGCATTTTGAAAAACAGAATAATAATAAGCCAATGCAGTTTACCAATTCCTCAAAATTGCTTCCATTATTTTTTATAAGTAACATCACTGCAAATTATGTTTTCATAATCTACCAAATTATTCTTTACTTATTTCTTTCCCTGTACCTCAAAGTTATTGCCACTTTGGACCAATCTAAACAATTCATCTCCTACCTTGGTATTTACACTCTTCAAGTGATCATACCTGGTTTTCTTGTCTCTCCTCCCCACTCTGCTGCCCGTCTTGTTTGGGTGAGCAATACATAATTGGTTCTTTTAATCTATCCTCATAAGTCAATTGCACCAGCCCCTTAATCATTTTTGTTGTGCTTCTCTGAAATCTGTCCAATTTGTCAACATCGTTCTGGTGCTGGGACATTCAGAAATGCATGCAAGATTCTGGTACTGCCTCATCAATGCTTTATACAGAAAAAAGATGATCACCTCTCTTTTTCTCTTGGTGAGAAGTCTCTGGGCATGCAGCTTCAAAAGCATATAAGATTTTTTTTGCTATAAGTTTATACAAAATATTTCCAGGTAATTTTTTTCTCTAGCCTTCATTTCAAGCATTATCATTTTACAAATATTTCTCTTGAACTCATACTTTGTATTTCAAATTTGTACTGAGATGTGTATTAGATATATTTGCTTTCGTCTTTCTCAGCTGAGAAATGCTTTATTTTTTCCATGTATGCCTGACCTCTCTTTGTGCCACTGTATTTCTCCAGCACCACCAAGATCTCGATTCAGTTTCATTTATGAGTGTAATTAATATGATCTTTGCCCATTATAAGGGTTATTAATAATACGGTTAAATAAAAACCTTATAACAGCACCCCCACTGAATCACTCCACACAAGTCAGCTTATTGCAGAATAACAGTTCATTTTATTTACGGTCTCTCAACCAATTTTCAGCACATGTGACAGTGGCCATGTTAATATGAATAAGATTTGAAATAAGGTTTTCTGAAACTGTATCACAGGTTTCATATTCCTTTTAGTCACCGGTTTTGATCAAAAGGTTGATAAGTTTGACTGCTGTGGTTCAGTCTTCAATTTTGGAAGTTACTGTTATTAGCTAGAGGAAAAAAAATGATTAGGCTATTCATAGTACCAGAAGATTGATTTCTCTAAGTAAAAGCCATAGGAACACAGACTTTTAAAAATAATAAGCATTCATTGTAAAATCATATACATTTAATAATATGCCTAGTTTCCATATTTATGGTCCTGTTTCACTAAGTTATCATCAAAATTTATGAATATGTCCACGTAATGCAAGTATTTGTATTCAAGTAACAGAAAGGAGGAAAAGTGCTTATTTATAGCTTCTTGTTTATAGTACCTGCCTTTCTCTCATACATTGCTACTTGCAATCTAATGAATGATGCATTTCTCACCCACACCAAACTTTCCTATAATCATCAAATTCTATAACTATTTTACATGATGCTACATTGGAATGCTTATTTTGAATACATGTTAAGGGAAATTAACTCAAGGAAAGACAAGCACTTGATTTTCTTTTTCTTGCTTTTCAGTTAAGTACAGACAAGGAATGTAATGAATGAATCAACAGTACATATTTTGATGAAAGCAATGTTGAGCATACAAAACACTGCACATTCAAGAAAAGCCTTGCATTTTTCCTAACTCATAACATTGAAAATGAGATTCACAATCTTGTTAGTGTCAGACTATAATCATTCACATTGCTCTACAAATCAAAATAATATTTTTAAAAGAGCAGCACTGCACTTTCAATGTTAAAGTTTTATGTTGTTTTGTGTTTTATGAATGAAATTTTACTCAAGAAGATCCTCAAAGGGATGTGAGAGACATTGAGGCTTTGTTAGTCAAGAACAGAACATGAGAAGGTACTCTTAGATAGTGCATGCAAGTTGGTCTCTTGATACCATTTGAATTGTAAGAAGCAATTAAATACTTCTGCTTACTGAAAGTAAACTTATGCTATCCTGGTCAAACCCCAGGCCACAACTGCTACATGTGTCATGGAGGTGATGTGTTAGTCTCCAGGGAAAGGGTACAAAGGAAAGTGCACATAAAACTTCCGCTCCAGAGGAAAAGAGCCCTGACACCCTGGACAAAGAAAGTTGCCCCTCTGTCCTCCCACCTGAAGGTACAGTGCTGTCCTGGCATGTGACAACAAGTGGAGATTAAAAACAGGAGAAATATCTGGGACAAAAAAATGTCAAAGCCTCAGAGTCACTTACAGTCTTAAAGAGAATAACATTTAAAGGGAAGCCACATTATTAGTAACATGGGCTTTAAAGAGGGAAAAGGTAATTAGCAACATCTTAATTCTGAATTATGAAACTTTCAGCCAAATCTATCATTAGTCAAGTTAGGATAGAAATTAGAATAGACTGTATAGCATTCGGTTTTATCACAAAGGAAAAAACGTGATAGTAAAAGCTTTTCAATCAAAATTTTTGCCTTTTCTAATACTCAAAAAAAGTAGTATCGTAGTCATAAATTTGAAAAATGCTTCACCAAGGATTAGTTTTACACTCACTTATTGAATTCTACCTAGAGAATTAATATAGAAGATGATACGAAAGGAGATGACCACAGTATCAAACATATATCCTATTCAGTGAACACTATTGACATCTGATTCTACATATACTTAGGTATGTATTTTTTACATTATATTTACCGTCCACCCAGATTTTCAGTTCAATTGACAATTCTTTACTAGGGACCCTTTTGTCCCTTCCAAATATAAATGGAGGACAAATTTAAATGCTGCTCAGACAGATTTTTAAAATCTATATTCACTACCCAAGATTCAGGTGCACAAATTCCTTGGCTCCAGAGAGCATAATCATTCCATAGAATTGCTTTTCCTTATTTACTAACTGAGGACCACTGCAAGTTGGAGATATGTGGCACTTATCGAATATATTTTATCATATATTGCTTCTTTTAAAATCAAAATTATCTTTTTTATGAATTCCTCTTTTATGCTTATAGTGTAAAAATCAATAGTAACCTAATTCATTAAAACATTATT
The DNA here is from genome assembly GCF_000001405.40 of Homo sapiens. Taxonomy (NCBI): domain Eukaryota; kingdom Metazoa; phylum Chordata; class Mammalia; order Primates; family Hominidae; genus Homo; species Homo sapiens. The sequence goes on from NC_000002.12 coordinate 156,316,030, forward strand.
CGCATAAGTAACAAGCAAATCATTCATCCAATAAGCAGACTTGGAAACCCCAAATATAAACACCAAAAGCTGAATTTTAGTAAGAAAATATGCACTATTGGGGAAAAAATGCAAGACAGACAGAGCAGTGCACCATACATAAAATGTCAAACATGTCAAAACACTCATGAATACCAACATCTCCCACCACACCACGACCAATTTTAAAGGTTATTTAGGGCTCACACATCTACAAGTGCAGATTTTACAGCAGCGGACTTTATTTTTCTCAGATATATTAAAAATAAGTCACTGATGTGTCAAATGTTTTCTATGTCATTTCCACACATGTGGCCCATGTAGAGAATTCTGCCCAGCATTTCTGAGAGCAGGACAATTACACAGAACACAGACTCCTGGCACCGAATAGATTCATTATGGATTTGTTAGAAGCTTGTTTTTAACTGTATCAATTCAGTATGCAGGGAGGATAATTAGTCAAAAGACCAAGAAAGCAAATGTAGCTATCTTCATTCCTCAAAAATAGAAACCCCTGTTAGGGTCTCCATAATTCAACTTTTCAGAACTTCATTTCAGAAAGACACTTTGAGAACATGTCACAAGGCTTCCTTGTCCCTAAATCACTGATTATGAATTATTTCCGGATAACTGCAGACAAGTAAGTCTTATAAAACAAGAAGCATAACACATGCAGAACATACTTATCCTACTTCCAGCCCTCAGATAAGTGAAGCTTAAATTAAATGTCAAAAGACGAACAAAATCTATTGTATAAGCAAACAGCTGATCTAAATCCACTATGTTTTGTCTGTCAAGTATGTATATTCTAATAAATTTTATAATATAATAAGACTATTTTTGCCACCCTTTGACCACACCAAGTTAGATGCAGACAGTCTTCTGAATAAATATTACTCTCTGCTTGACTGTCTAAGCAAAATCTATTTATACCATTTGTTAGACTGTGAGAGTAGCTCTTAAGAAAATGTTAATAACAGCTAAACACTGTCTACCACAAATATAGAAGAAGTAGAAGAAAGAATAAAAGGTTCATGCATAGCCAGCTTTTCATTTTTACAAAGTGGCCTGCTCAGGACTGTGAACTAACTAATATGCAATTTGGTTTTCCTGATAGGAAACCTAGAAGCTTGCTGAAAACTCACATGATTAATATAAGGGAATTCAAACAGCTTGAGGATGAAAAACAGTTTTCTTTTTTACTACTTTTAATATGACTTTCTCAATGGCATAAACACACGCAGCAATCATTCCCACTCTTTTCTTGGGCAGCAAAGCAAGCAACTCAGAACTCCTTCACCCATAAACTACGAAAAGCAATGAAAATAATCCCTTCTTTAAAATTTCAGCGAGAAGAAGATTATGCTATTATCACTTACCCCACTGTGGTTTCAGGTCAATGCTCCCCTCCAGAAGTCTGAACATGCCTGAAGCAACATCCTCAACTCTCAGCAGGTGAGAAAATCTTTAGTTAGTTTCTGGAGAAGCAGAAAGGTACAATCCTTCTGGGACAGGCAGTGCTAAAGCAAGGCACTTGTAAGTTCATATCCTGGCTCTCAGTTCGAATTCCAACTCTTCCATGTACTTATAGGCCAAGATAATAAACGATACCTCTCAACCTCATCTCTTCATTTGTAAAATGGAAATAACAGTGCCAACGTCATATTTGGAGTTGAGATGATTATATGATATGATATCTGGAATTGCAACATGTAGTAGACAGAGTTATTGTAATGGAGGAATGTCAGAAACCATGGAATGTGTCCTCCGTCTGCCACCTGCTTCTGCCCTTCACAATGACCCAAATCTTTGAAGGAGTCCACATCACCCCTGCCTAAAGATTGCAGCACCTCTTAGGAAACAAGCTCTCTGACTAGAATGGAATTATAGGAAATGCAAGTTTCCATGCCAATGATTTTGTTCCTTTTGACTCCTTTATGACACCTTGAAACATCTGTGTGGTCCTCATTAGCCCAGAGCTTCCCATACTTAGAGCCACACTCTCCTAACATAGTCTTGCTATGGCCTCTATATCCAACTTTCACCTTATACCTACCTGCCTGCCCAGCACCCAGCATCCTCCATGTGCCCTTTTTATTCACTTCCATAGATCTCTTCTTACTTTAAACTCATTCACATTATTGTTGGCACCCTGGCCATTTTAGTCCTCTCCTTCTCATCTCTGCCTTCAACTCTAGGACTCTGATTAAATAAATCCTCTAAATTGCCTCCTCCTCTTCCAACTTATCAGTCCCTGCTCACCTGATCATTCACAGTATGGTTCATTATCTTTATCCATCCCTATCTCTACCCATTTCCCCCAAAAGCTTTTGCTTCCTCCTTCTTGTTTGGCAATAGCATATAAATGAGAAGGCCTGTGACATGGACAATGGGACATTCACTACCATCCCTTTTCTCTAGCTTTCCTCTATGCCTTTTTTGCTGTTCACTCTCTTCCCAGGTACCAGGTTGCTGAGGAAGATGAAAAGGGGGTGGCTACATGTGCTTATGTGCTTGTCCCCCTGGCCCTTCCTTATGACACCCACCTGGCTTCAAGCAGATAACAGGCCAGAGGATAAAGAGATACAGAAGTCCATTGGAGTGGTGACCAAAAACGAACAAACCAGAGTGAAGAAAGAGGACTGGCCAGAAAACCACAGTAGTAGGCCAGGCATGGTGGCTCACACCTGTAATCCCAGCACTTTGGGAGGCCAAGGCAGGTGGATCACCTGAGGTCAGGGGTTTGAGACCAGCCTGGCCAACACTGTGAAACCCCATCTCTACTAGAAACACACAAAAAAGAAAAAAAAAAAAGCTGGGTGGGGTGCCCGCACCTGTCAGGGAGACAGAGGCTGCAGTGAGCTGAGAACACACCACTGCACTCCAGCCTGGGCGACAGAGCGAGGACTCCATCTCAATCTCAAAAAAAAAAAAAAAAGAAAAGAAAAGAAAAGAAAGAAAGAAAAAGAAAAGAAAAGAAAACCACAGTGCTGAGATTCCCTTATCAGTATCTCTCAATAAAGGCAGCCCTTTCTCTCACTTCATGTACAATTGGTCCTCAGTAGTGACACTATCAACCTTTTTAACTGAGACCCCCCCATAAATATATTTCATAGTGTCACCCAAGAAAAATTGCAGCAAACAATGCTTAGACGTCTTATATTTTTGCTATCCTGCAAAGCCCTCATAATTTCTATTCTATTATTCTTTCATTTCTTTAGAAGAAAATTCTGATGGCAACCCAATATAATATCTTTGAAAACCACTAATGGGTCAGGACCCTCAGTTTGAAAAACACTGGCCTATTTGCAGCTTATTGATGAGGAGTCCTCTCTCTGTCCTTACCCTTCTCGAAATCCCAATTTAATTTGAGTCTGTCAAAACAATCCTCTTGTCCAAGCTTCCAGAGCCAAGAAATTGTGGTAGACTCAATCCCTCTGGAAGTCCCTCTAGTACCCGATGAAAGACTTCTCACACTCGCAGCAGCCGCCCTCTACTGTACCAGGGACGTCTCTAGCAGAAACTTGGGCATTGTATCTGCTAGAACGGGTGACACATGTCCTGGAAATCCTAGTTTATCTAAACACAGGTTGAGATAGAAATAAGAAAAAATGGGAGTGAGAAAGATTAAGTGTGGGAAGAAGAAATGAGGAGAAAAGCGTTGAAGTTGAGCTCTGCTAGGATCCAGGTGCCGGCTCGGCGCTGTGTCTAGTTAAACTCGGCGCGACAGGGTTCAGCTAAGCCGAGAAGAGGGCAGCGAGCGGCCCGCAGTCAGCATCTTGTAGAGAAGAAGGAGCGCTCCCAGCCGCGGGAAGATAAGCGTACAGGCGGCCCCAAGGCCCCTACAGGCGCAGCCCTGATCTGGCCACTTGACTAGACGCTCGCTCCAGCGCTCGCAGGCCTAGGGCTCATTACATGCGTTGCGAGGAGACCTGAAAGCAGGGCGGGAACGCACAATCTATCTTCAGAGCTTTGGGTCGTGAGCACACGTGTGGAGCATGGTTGTGGCATGGGCGTCTGGGCCCCTCTCCTAGACCTCCACGAGGTGCGGACGCGCCTCTGCCCCGCCCTTTTGTGCGCCCTCACCACTAGAAAAAGAGTTTTCCCCAGTGTCGCGTGGGAGGTCGCCCCAGTCCAGCTCAGCGTTCCAAGAGACCAGAGACTGACCGGAAATCGTTGGGTGCAGGGAGAAGCAGGAGACGCGCTCCGCCTCCTGTGCTCGTGCCCTAGCGCAACAGACGCGACCTAGAGGCGACGGCAGCCTGTTGCAGCCTTCGCCCTGAGGGTGGGGGGCGGGGGGGTGTAGAACAGCTGAGGAAGACGCAGGGAGCAGCTGGGGAGGAAAGGGAGGGACACCGAGGAAACAAAGTTCACCCAAGTGAATGCGTCCTAATTGCTCCAAGGCTCTCTCCGCAAAGTCTACGACTGCAAGCCGCAAAGTCAAACTACGTCTCCAAAACGCAGTGGGCAGAGCAGGAGGGCTTGTGTCTCCATTTTCGCCGCAGGGCGGATCGCGGACACAAGTCCTCTCCAGTAATTCCGAAGCCTCGAAATAAGACTATGCTGGGAGGAGGGGTTGGGGGGTGACTAATAAGAAGGCGTGGGGGTGGGGGTGGGGAGTACGCGGCAAGAACCCTGCTTTCTGGAATTCTCCCGCCACTGTCTGCAGGGCCCAGAGCGCACTTCGCGGCTAGGGAACAAAATTGCCGCTCTCTTCGAGCGCCCCCAGCGTGGGGTGGGGCCCTGCTTTCCCGCGTCAGGACCGCCCCACCAGGCGCCCTCCGACGGAAGCTGGACTTTTCCTAAGGAAAGGCAAAGTCAAAGTCGGAGGAAAGATCTTTCTTGCGGCCCCAGCTGTCGCTCCTAATGGTCTCGGGGAACATACTAAAGGAAAATGACTTTAAATCACAGTCTTGCCATCCTAAATAGTTATGTGCAATATTTTGGTTTCTAGCAAAATTTAAAAGTAAAATGGGGATTTCCATATGTTCATTTTATTATTAAAAACGAATTACTAAAAAGTGATGACCTGTTTGGAATTCATATCTTGCTTTACGAGCAGTCAGCCAGTATCGACTGAACACAATAAATGCAGGGGTGCGAAACGTGATTGCTCGGGTTCGAGTTCTGTCGGATGCACCGATCTAAGCAGAACCTTTCCCGAAGACTTGGAATTGGGTGCGCTTTTTTTTTTAAGTTGTGGCTGAGCCCTATGGGGAAGAAGGGTTAACTGGGCGTCGGCTGAGACCCCAAACCCTCTTCCTCCTCCATGAGACTCCAAAATTGAGTCAGTCCCAGCCCATAGTTGCCTGGGAAGCTTGGAATCCTGAGAAATTCCGGGGTGCGGCCACTATGCAAGCATTCCTATTCTGACAGCGGGGACAAATGGAGAGGGGACCTTACAACCTCCTTTGGAGAAGAATATATGAGAAACTCACTTCCAGACCTCTATTCAATAGTGAAAATAATACTGAGAAAAAGTTTTAAAATCTCCAAGAATAGATACTCTCCTTTCCCCTTCCACCTTGAGGGAAACGGTCTCCATTTTTGACCTGGATTTGAGAGCATCGGGGCTTGAGACAAGCGCGTCTTCCACAGAGAGAGGCGAGGCCCAGGCAGGGAGCCCCCCAGCCTTTACTCTCGGCACCTCGGCGCTGCCGCGCGGCGGATACAAAAGGAAACGGACGAGCGTGCGACGCGAGGCGGGGAACTGGTGGCTCGAAGACGCGCAACACGCGCGATGCCTAGAAGTGCTCTGGTGTCACTCCCCTGTATAGGACCTGGCGAGATGGAATTGTATCCTGTACTGGAAAACTCTGTGATCAAAATATTGCAATGAAATTAAACTTTTCCCTCACAGATCTGTTTGTATCTTGGAAACATTTCTGCAATGCCGACGCCTAGGTTTAAAATACAATTAGATAATTTGATATTCTCGGTGACGCACTGACACCGAGAAAGCCAAGAGATTCTCCAAACAAAGTGAAATTGAACCTTCAAATGACATTCTTAAGTTTGCAAGAATATCTATATCTCCTTGTTGTGCTCCTTGCATGCGGAGAACCAGTGGCCCGTAAGACTTATGACCGGTGTTTTTTAGGGGAGGAGCCACCTAAACTATCTAGGAATGGAGTCCAGTGCCAGAAAGAAATACACAAGGTCGTTGGGTGCCGCTGTCACTGCAGGGCGCCATCGGCTCCCTGGGCCTTACATATCTCTCTTGTGAGAATCAGTACCCCAAATACTCTCTCTCTCTCTCACACACACACACACACACACATCCACCCATCCACAGCGGAAGGCCAGCAGGGCACCGAAAGAAATTGTGGCGGTCGCCTGGACCGCAGAAGGCAGACCTCAGGAAGGAGCAGGCGACAGCGCTGCTCACTGCTCACTCGAGCTTTGAATTAAGGCCATCTTTCCATAAACTCAAAATGGGGCTAGATAGCAAAGACTTAAAATTAGACCTTCCCTCAGAGCTGAGAACTGTATGGTCATGTCTTCGGAACAATGATCATATATTTTCCATTGCTGGAACGATACACAATAACTGAAATGCTTAAGAGGACGCGGGAATACGAGGGCGGTATGAAGCCCTCATTACAAAGTTTAATCTCTTTCTGAAGAAGGTAATGCAACGTCTGGCTTTTGGCAATGCAGCGTGTCTGCTGTTTTTCCTCACTTTACTCCTAGAAACATTAGGACAAGAAAAGTCCTCAGCTGCATCTGGAAAGATGCAGGGGCAATGCATGCGACGCTCTTCACCCGAGCAACTCGGTGCGCGGCCGGCCGGGAGTTTGACAGCGACTCTGTGAAACAGAAAAGGCACTAGCCAATTTGCAACTTAGGAATCACAACTGAATGTTCCGCGAGCCGGTGCAGTCGGCACGCGGACATGGTGGAGGGTCATCTCTGCCTCCTTTGACCCCAAATTCCCGGGAGGCGAACTACCCGACACCCCCTTGGCCTTGGGTGTTGCGCAGCCGCTTCCTTAAGGGAGAACCAGTCACAGAGTTCGTTTCTGGGTTCAACTCTCGGGGATTGTGTGACGGAATGTCATTGTCTCAGGGCTGCAGACACCTGGGAGGGAGATGAGTGCTGAAGGCTCTGCAGATTCCCAGCATTTCTAAAGAGCTTTTCTCTTTCGCTTTACTTACTGCTTTGTGGCTTTACTTGGGCATAAGATGTGAAAACAAAATGATATGGCTAGTCTCATCCTTTCAAGAAAGTCAAGAAATTGAACATTTCGTTATTATTTAATCTCTTATGTGGCCACCCTATTTGTCCCTCAGTTACCCGGAGAAAAACGCATCTCGTAAAAATAACCTTATATTACCACCGACACCTGCATTCTCTCTTTTTGCTGACCCGCAAAACGTGTCTTTTAAAAAGAGGGGAAACAAACAAAAGAAAACCTGAGCGCTCTCGTGGCAATTTACAGTTCTAACTCTGCATTTTAAAAACAATAACACTCTTCATAAATTTCAGTGACCCAAAGGCCATCTGTAATTCACTAGGGTCAGCGAAGGAGACCGTCCCCATCTTATGCTCTCTATGAATTCACAGCTGCCCTAAGGTGAAACTCGTTGGACTTCATTTGCCCAAGGACAAGGGTTCTGAGTGGAAGCAGCTTCTACAGCATCAGTTTCCTTTCTTTTTTGAAAGTTGGTGCTGGGTGGAATCCTAGAGGCCCGGATACAACTTGCTTATACTAGGCCCAAGACCCAACACATAGATATTTTATCATGTACCTGAGAAACTTACACGGGAGAAATTCTATTCTAAAACTACAAATTGCACCTCATCACCATCCACTGAATGAGGAAAATAAAGAGTTGTAAGAACTACCTCTACTGAGTTCTGCTCTGTGCCAAAGTGACCCAAGGCCCAAAGGGCCTGAACTGCTTTGCCCTTTCTCCATGACCCAACAGTTGTAAATTGAGAAATTGGAAAATCGGAGATTACATACAACACTCCTCAAATCCATGTTGACTTCTTGAGTCTTAAAAAGATACTTCCTAATCACTGTGCAAGACAAGTACTTGACTAGACTCTGACCTTGCTCAAGTTCAAAAGCTTTTGGGTCTCCAGAACTTCTCTCCTGAAAGCTACACTTACTTGCAAAGTTAACAGAAGAATTGAGATATTCTAAATTGATCCTAATAAATATTGGTCACCAGACTGGAAAATTCTGGTTAAGAAAAAATATTTTACTGAATTATCTGCATAATTATTCTGGTTCACCTGATTTCTTTTGCCAGAATAGATTTAGGCTGTTTAAAATTCAGATATTGAATAAGTGACCTATCCCAAATTAATCTCCAACTGTGTATGTTATGTTGCTGTTTAGTCATTATTTTTTCTGACCCAAAAAGAAGACAAAATTCTGTTCATTTACATGGTTTATTGTTGTAAACATTAAAATTGTCTTTCTCAAAGAAAGAATTTATCAGAAAAAAAATCAGCATCTCTAACTGTCATACACCATAGAAAAAAAGGCAGTGACTCATATCATGTGCCATACTAGAAATATACAAAGAAAAATACTACAGAATATGGCAATATTAAAATTCTTACTCAAACAAAATAATAAATTAACTGACAATTTTAGACATAAAAAAAATTCAAAGTGCTCAGTTATTTCCAGGGAGTTATGTATATTATAAGCACTCTGGAAACAGTCAAAAGCTGCTGCATGCAAGTTTTGTTTAGCTTTAGACAACAAAATAATCAAGATATAAACTTTCTTTTTATCAACATCAACGGTACATACAACACTTACAAACAAGGAATGTTGGACGGTGTTACAAACACTATGTGTCCCTTTTGTCAGGATTTTCTGATGTGTAATACTTGTGCCCACCTATTTTACAATTGAGAAAATGTTTAAGCTCAGATAACTACCAATCTTTATAAAATCTAACAGACTACATAGTGTCTGAAATACTATTTATATAATATAGACATTACTGAAGTAGCAAGTGCCTATAACATTTTCAACCTAGAATCAACATGCTTGTCCCTTTTTTATGTATTTATTTTCTTTTTTTTTGCAAACACACTTATCTTTTAGAATTTGTAATATTTATTCATAAATAGGCACAAAATAATTTAAAAAGCCAAACTGCATTGGGTAAATTTACAAGCCTTTGCCTTCTTCAACTCATGCCACCCACGCAACATTTAGTTTTACTATATATTACAGCTTTCTTTACAGCAGAAAACTTTGAAGTCTTGTTAAAGGGCAATACTTGTGGGTCCCCTTAAGATGTGTCTCTGTGTGTGTGTGTGTGTGTGTATGTGTGTGTGTGTTACATTTGTCTGAACTGCAACAACCAAGCATGGCCAAACATTTCCCATTATACATTATAGCAATCTTTCTTCTGAACAACAAACTGATTTTTAAACTGAGAATAAAAAGTTTATACCACTGTATTGTGTGTAGTCCATGTTCTAAATCCAGGATGCCCCGGAGCCAAAATGCCCTTTCAGGTTCTGCCTGCAGGTTAGGAAATAGCAACAGTTTTTGTTTGTTTGTTTGTTTTCTTTAGGGATCAAGGGGGCTAGGAGGGTTACAGAAATGGGGGGCAGCTTGAGCTGAGACTGCTCACACGGCTATCTCTGCCCATGTGACTTGCCCCCTCTTGACAGTTTCCATTATCATTCCAGTTCCTTTGAAGTGCTTGGGAGGAGGTCTTAGAAAGGTAAAGTGTCCAGGAAAAGTTTGTCAATTATTGCTGGCGGTGGCACCAAGTCTTCCAATTTCAGGTAGAAAATGCGCTGTAGCCCCTGTGTGCAAAGGGTACGAAGTTCTGGGAGCTTCCCCAACAGTTTGGACAAATAATTGGGGCGGTTCAACCCCCCATTGTTGAAAGTCACGTGGTCTTTGAGACAATTTACAATCTTGTTTTGCAGTTCTTCCACTCTCTTGGGTTCCTTGAGCCCGTGTCTCTCTGCAGAAAACATAATCAGAAACAAAAGAAGAATGTACAAGACAGTTAGCTAGTTGGCAAAACCAAGGAGAATCTGTGACAAGGGAAACTCAGGACAAATCCTGCTAGGCAGTTCTGGAGGGGAAGCGCCCTGCGCCTGCAGTACTGACCTGTGACCATAGCCAGGGCAGCAATGCAGGAGAAGGCAGAAATGTCGATGTTCATATTCTGCAAGTTGGAGGAGAATTCAACAATGGAATCAATCCATTCCCCAAAGCCACGAACGCATTGCAACCTGTGCAAGACCACCCCATTGCAAAAGATGAGTTTACCCTCCACTGGGTTGGACCTGCAATTAATACCAAAGAGAGAGAGGGGAGAAAAAGAGAGAGAGAAAAGCTAAACAACTAATTACTTGAAGAGCAATAAATGAGGGATTTAAGAGTCACCTAATTACTGAAGAGTTAATAAAATGTAGACCAGTGGACCTTGAAAGGGTTTAATTTCATAACAATCAAGAACGCCCCCTATCCCACCTCCATTCCATTCATCCAAGGCTTCTGGGCTCGCTTCTTCTCGTCTTTTTTTGTTTTCTTTCTTTTTCTTCCTTTCTCCGACTTCCATTTCCTATTCTGTCTTTTTCTCTACCCCACCCTCTGGTTTCCCTTCCTCCCTTTCTTTTCCTTTCTTGATTTCTCTCACAGCCTCCCTGGATTGTCTCCCTCCCTCCCTTATTACCTGTATGCTAATCGAAGGACAAACAGTTCTAAGAAAGCTGATTCAAAAAGCAGGTCTTGGTCGGCTTTGGGCAGGTCTGCGAAGCCAGGGATCTTCTCTGCCCAGCCCCGGATGATCTCCATGGAGCCAGTCAGGAGATCATAGAATTGCTGGATATGCTGGGTGTCATCTCCACTCATTTGATAGTCAGGGTTCGCCTGGAACTGGAATTTCATTTTAAAAAGCACTTAATGAGGTTCTCTAAAATATATAACCCGTGAAATTGCTAACCCCGTTTCTAATAGGGGAGCCAGGTTTTTATAACAATTAAACCTCTCTCTGACCAGTAAGGAAATTAGATGTTCCGGGGCAATTAATTCAATTAGGGATGGTGCTACGAGGTCGCTGCTTTAAATATGTAAATTGCCATTTCCATACAGACTAAATACAGTGCCATCCAGCCCTGGGAAACGTTCACTCTTATCTCCACAAAACAATTGACATGTTAGTATTCATGCTAGTCCCAGAGTGGGCCTCGAGCTGAGACGCCCTTTTGCAAATCTTAATAAAATTGCAGTCCCTACCAGGTTTGCTCAACATACTTCCTCCAATTAAAGCCCGCATATTTTTCACAGCTGGAGTAAAAAGGATCTGACCACTTGATCCCCCACCCCACTGGCATTCTTTACACCCTCTCCTTCCCTTCCCTGACCCCCAGACAGGCCCCCACATCCTTCCCCAGCACAGTGCCAGGAAGGATGAGGATTAAAGCATCTATCTCTATGGAGGACTGGGAATAAAGTAGATTGGGAAGGGGGAGAGTTTGCACAGCCCCTGGATTTCATGGTAGAGGCACTGGTGTATATGGAAGAGGAGGGGCGATGGGGTAGTGGGGTAGTGGGAATTCACACAGCTTCAAACCCTGTGGCGTGTCCCTCTCCTCCTTCCTCCATCCTGTCCTCATGTCTATGCCCCCAGCTACATGGATTGTCTGAAGATCTGAATCTTGAGGCCCTGGCCAGAGCTGCGAGGCATATACAGCCTTGCTTGCCTTCTTTACCCCCGTTGAATCTGAGAGTTAATGACGGATGTGGGGAGGGGTCCTGCCCATCTGTCGGTTTGTCCACATGATATCCCCCCCGCCAGCTTCTTACCCTGGAATAGTCCAGGCTGGTCATAGCCGGGTTGGAGTCGACATGGGCCCTGACGAGGGCACTGATCAGACTCACCGGGGGCGAAGGGGGAGAGGGCTCCTGTGGGCTCTTCGGTTTCGAGGGCAAACGACCTCTCCGGCCTTTTAAACTGTCTGTGCGAACCACTGCAAAGGAAGAGCCCTGTTAGCGCCGCTTTTCCGAGCCCAGGCCCAGCTGCTGCCTCGGTCCCTCCCCGGGGAAGGCCGCAGCCGCGGGGCACCAGGCTGAGCGGCTGAGGGCCCCAGTGCTTGTAAAGCCTTCACTGACTAGAAGCATTAAAAAATGCGGGGTTATTTTATGTCTTCCTCCAAATGGGTCGTATAGTTAAAGGAGAGAAGGGCCTGGCGGCTTTCTCTAGGGAAGGCCGGGCAAGCAGGCAGCTGCAGGGTCCTGGAGGCCATACTGAGGGGGAGTCGGAGATCCCCAGCACCGGGAAGTGGAACGTGATGCTGGAGTATGAGCAGTGGTTTCCTAAAGGCGCAAACTGGAGGGTCGGCAGCTCCCCTCAGCCTACCTTCTTTGACCATCCCAACAGCCAGGCACTTCTGAAATCGGCAGTACTGACAGCGATTCCGGCGACGCTTGTCCACTGGGCAGTTTTTATTTGCTAAACACACGTATTTTGCATTTTTTTGCACTGTGCGCTGCAAAAGGAGACAATATAGACCAACATTTTTTTTCTTCTTTTGAAAATCAGGCAACTCGGAGAAAATTTCTGTTATGTGACTGGGGTCTACGATTCCTCCCCACAAACAAACACATACACACAATTCCATTTTATTTTTTTCTCTTCCTTTTCTTTCTTTCTTTTCTTTTTTCCTCCCCCAGGGCATTTAACAGAAGAAAATTGATAGCGTTAACATTTGAGCTAACCTTGCCGCTCCTTGCTGTGTTTTATATGCCAAGAGAAGGAGAAGGAGACGCTCAGTAAATACAAATCCGTGGGCATTCATATTATTTACATTCCTTGGAGACCTTCTCTATTTAAAATGATAAGATTATTCAATCAGGATGGCGAAATAAAGAGATCACTTAATTTGACCATAGGGAATTCTGTTCCACTTGGTTAGCTCAGACACGGTTCTCTGTCCTAACCAATTTCATTCTGAACAGGGAAGACAGCTCCTAGCACATGCAAATGACCCTCTTCCAACTCCGGCTCCAGCAACTTCGGGCGGGGGCCAGCCGGGTCGGCTGAATGCGAGGGGGATGCGACCCTGGCCTCCCAGTCTTTCTGCTTCCCTTTCTCAGACACCCGGAAGTCCCCGCCGCAGCCCATGGTCTCCTGCAGGGCAGCTTCGGCGGACCCCGGAGAGCTGGGCAGTCCCGGGAGAGCTGGGGCTGGGCTACTGGCACCAAGGCAGAGGGCACACTCCGAGGTCCCGGGCACTAGGGGCTCCCTACCTGCCTACTCCGCTCCCGCCATTGCTCACCTTAAAGAAGCCTTTGCAGCCCTCACAGGTGCGCACGCCGTAGTGTTGGCAGGCCGCGTTGTCCCCACACACAGCGCACAGCCCCTCGTTGGAGGGGGAGCCCCGCGACGGCGGTGAGGGCACCTGCGTGTCGAGCAGCTGAGACGCGTGGCCGATCTGCAGGCCCGGGAAGCCCATGGACGCGGGCTTGCGAATGGGGTTGGGCACAGCGAAGGTCTGCCCGTCCACCACGTGGTGGCTGCCGGCGGGCTCCGGGTTCATGGGGACGTGCAGGGGCCCGTCGAAGCGCATCTGGCAACTAGACACCGGGGTGCCAGGGGGCGATTGCTTAAAGGAGAAGAGGGAGAGGCGGGAGACTGGCGTTTTCCTCTGCTCGATCATGTGCGTAGTGGCCACGTAGTTCTGGTGGAAGTTGTGGAGAGATCCCGGGTCGTCCCACATGGGGCTGTGCTGCACCTGGAAGCCCGGGGTGGTGGGCGTCGGGGGCGAGGAGGGCTTGTAGTAAACCGACCCGGAGTGCGGCATCATCTCCTCAGACTGGGGGGGCAGGTGGCTGTGTTGCTGGTAGTTGTGCATCTGAATGTCTTCTACCTTAATGGAGGACTGCTGTCCGGACAGGGGCATTTGGTACAAGCAAGGTGGCTTGACGTCGTAGCCTGTGCTGTAGTTGTCCATAAAGGTACTGAAGCTGGGGAGAGAAGTGGTGGCAGTGATTTCAGTGTTGGTGAGGTCCATGCTAAACTTGACAAACTCTGGAGTTAAGAAATCGGAGCTGTATTCTCCCGAAGAGTGGTAACTGTAGCTCTGAGAAGCGGGGCTGGCTCCTTGAGGCGAGGACCCATACTGCGCCTGAACACAAGGCATGGCTGGAAATGAAACAGGGTGATAACACACTCAGCCTGGTCAACTGAACACTTTCTCCCGGGCTCGGGTACACCTGGAGCTACACCGGCAGCCCGCGGCAGTCAGAGAGCATGTAGGGGCGCGAGAGGAAAGGCAGGAGAGAGAGAATGCTGCAGAACAACAGTTTAGGGCGTGGAAAGACTAACCAAATAAAGACCCAGAGCTAAAAAGCTACTGAGGGTCTACACTCCTGGGTATTTCCAAACATCTCCCTCATACCCCCCCACTCATCCCACTCAGATGAGCCTCTTCTCTGAAGCTCAGATTCAGCAGTCTCTTTCTAGAAATGACCATCTAGAAATGAAGTTGAATTTCACAATGAGAAAGTTGTTCCCGAAGGCGATGGGTCGGGCAAACCTTAAGTTACAGGGTTTGCCTTGTCCTGTTTCTTGATGTTTGGGGAGCTCTGGAGAGTAAAGGAAAGAAATGAAGTTGCACTAACCTTCAGCCGAGTTACAGGCGTTTTCGAGGAAATTAAAGGTGGACAGTGTCGTAATTCAATGAAGGACAAAGTTTCCAAGATTTTTAGAAAAGCAATGGGGAGTCCAGCCTGTCCAATCTCCTCCCTGAAATACAGACACAGGAAGCTTCAGGGTTTCTTCCCGACAGAGATTCAGCTGGGCATATGTAGACTCACCAGGCAGGCCCTTCCATGCCTTCCCTGTTTGTCTCATTGGAAATGAGTGGGAAGCCTTTACCAAACATAGCACTTAAAATGAATGTATAAAAGAAATGACTTGAAACAACAGAAAATACCACCCATTGCACTGTGTAAATCCTTGCAGAGAGAAGATCCTGCAAGAGGAAAGCTAGTCCATGAACTCATTTAACATTTATGATGTAATGAACTGGCCCCTTTGCTACAGTGTAGGTGGAGAGGTCATTTCCATCTTAGGTTAATTCAGGACCTGAGTATGAAGACTAGAGTATGAAAATACAGCATTGGAACCTTCTCTTGCATTTTTTTTTCTTGTGGTGAAATTGCCTTTTCTTTTGGTAGAGGGGAAGAAAGTAGAAGTCAAGAATATAAAATGAGAAAACAATCTTCCCCCTTACAAAATGTTAGAAAGGCCTTGACTGAGAAGGCAAGTTGAGTGGAAGCATCCGCACTTCTAAAGTGCTTTTGACAGAGCACTGGGATTGGAGCTACAGATAAATTGATGTTCACTTTTCCAGAAAACTTGTCTTTCAGCATCTTTAATGGTCACAAGGCTTAATGGTCACAAGGTGGGAAGAGGGGATCTACTTTTCCAGGAGCTTCTTAGGTCAATTGCAGAGGGGGGACATACTGCTTATATGGTATTGGCACCAATATTAGAAGTGTTTCCCAGCACAGCAAGATGAACACCTTCCCCATAATGCCTTCCACAATCTGCCTTTCTGGAACAAGGCATTCTTGTGTCCTAGCAATTTTCAGATGTTCCCACTTGGAAGACATTCTAGAGCACAGACAATCTTATTACTAATGAAAAAAGAAAGCCAGTATCCTCTCTTTTTATTCTTTCCCCTCCCCCACAATCTTGCTTCATAGTGGTGGTGGGGGTGGGGGGAAGATTACCCAGAAAAAGCAGAAAGGAGACTCGAACCCCACAGCCCTTAGAGATATTCCTGTGTTGGATATTAACCCCCTGGTAGCTCCACAGTTTCATAACTGTACTCTTTACATATTCATATTCTCGCTCTGATACATTCGCAAACCCAAGGACAGCATATGTCAAAACCAGAAATTTCAGGCAACTTAGTAACAGGACACGCTACCAACACCACCCTTACTCAACAATACCCGGGAAACATCGCGCGCTGGCCAGCCGCGGAGACACAGTTCCCAAGCAACGCATAAACTGAAGAACTTCCTCTCCCTGTCAGTTTGTGGGCAGCTTCCCTCGTATACATAGGACTTGGAGTCTCCGTGTTCACAGGCCACAATCAATTCCTCACTAACAGCAAACTTTGCGCACATTTCCGCGGGCTAGTCCTCAGCTCCCAAACTGTGGAGTCTCCCTTCCACGTCCACCAATGAGGAGCCTGGAAACCTCTGTCGAGAGCCAACTCCCCACTAGTGCCAAAGCCGGAGTTCGAACAAATGCCCCCCGGTAACTGCGCGCACGCACTCCCCATCCTTCGGTCCCACTCTCACTAGAAGCCTCTGGCTCCCACTTCCAGAGAACCTGTCCCACACAAGTGGAAAGAAGAGACGTGCAAAAGAAGGAAAAAGCATAAAAGAAGGCGAACTGCATGGGCTGCATCTACTCACTTAGGAGTTCTCCGCGTCTGTCTTCATTCATTCAACTCTGCCGAAGTGCAGTTCCCTCTGGGAGCCCGGGCGCCGGGGTCGGGTAGGGGTGGGAGAGCTGGGCGAAGGGAACCCGGACACCTCACGGAGGGAGGGAGCAGGGACAGGCGGCCGGCTGGACAGGCAAAAGGGACCGCGGAGCCGTGCGCGAGCCGCCGGGCGGACTGGCCCTGGCCGCCAATGTGCCTTTGTTTATGTGGCTTGCGCTGCCGCTGCCAACATGCACCTAAAGTCTCCGCGCGTCAGCGCGCGTCAGCGGCCCGCCGCCCAATCGCCGCGCTGCCGCGCTCCCTGGACTCCTGGCCCGCGCTCGCTTTGGTATATTTCCGACCTGACGTCACGAGCAGGGCCGATTTTAAGGTGGGAACCGCTCTGCGTTCACCTTGGTAGCCAGCTTGGGTGGTTTTTGGTGTTTTTTTTCTTTTCTTTTTTTTTTTCCGAAAGAGGTGTGACCTCTCCCAGGTCTGCGCAGCCCGCAGCGTCGCGACACTTCACTTTCCCCGAAGCCCCTGCGCCCGCGCAGCGGCTCGGCCGCTCACATGTGGGGAGGGTGCAACAAAAGCACCGGCGGAAGGCAAGGCCGGCGTGGCCAGGTAGTACGCACCTGGAGCCGCACGGAATGGGATGTGCCTTGCAGCGCCCTAACCTCTCCCACCCACCTTCGTCACCCCCTTAGCGGAAGAGCGTACAGATGTCCCATGACACGAGACGCTCAGAGGGCTCACGCAGTTCGGGTGGGATTTCCCTACCCGGTTCATCCCCTTTTACTCCCTTTTCCTGTCCCAGGCCTCCTCCTCTTCTGGCATATATTCATTCTAATTATCTCTCTCTCTCACTCTCTCTACCCCACCCCCACCCCCCACACTCCCATCTGAAAGGGAATGGGAGTGGGGGTAGGGCTTATTTTTCTATGTTTCCTTATTTCCATGCAGTGCCCACGTTCGATGGAGGACGTGGTGCTTGCGGGGGGGGGGGAGAGGAAGGGGAGAGGGTAGACAGTGACCGTGACCCAGCTCTTTAGAAACCCCAAAAGTCAGAGTGAAGCGTCGCCCCTTTTCCTTTCGCAGACAATGCAGCCGAGCAGCAGGCAACAGGTGCGCCTTCTGCAGAAAGGTACTCTGATTCCCACCTTCTGCAAACTCTAATACTTTCGATACTCCTCTGTGCCCACCAACTCGTACCCCTTCCACGAGTTTTAAGGGAATAAATCGATCTTCGTTTGAAACACAAGGTCTATCACAGCCTCAATCTTAGAGCCCAGAAAGACTGGACAAGAAAAGCGAAGCGGGTGGGGATTGGGGGCAGCGTCTCCGCAAAGCGTAAGGTGTGAGCCTACAGCCCAGCCAGGAGAGGGGCCCGAGCTGGCTCTGGGAGCGTGTCCCACCCCCGCGGCCGTCCAAGTCGCCGCCGCTTCTGCTTTGCAAGTCATTTCCCCTAGCCACGCCGAGAGCGCAGGGAGCTTTCTAGCAAAGGAAACGCCGCAGCTCCGGAGGGCAAGCCCCCTCCCCGTCTCCCGGCCGGAGCTGGGAGGGCTTCCTAGGGCTTCTCCCGCGGGGCTTCCAGCGGCTGGGCCTTGGGAGGGAGAGTTCGGAGCCGCCCCCGCTTTTCTACTCGCGCAGAGCGTCCCAGCCGCCCCTCCTTTCTCGGTGTGGCTCGTTTCCAGGCAGCCGGGACCCTTTTGCAACTTGCCCCCCTACTCGTGTTCTCAGTACCGGCCGATGGCTCCGTGGAACTATTCGGGATCCCGGGCTGCTCAACCCTAATCTGCAGCCCCGCCTTTGCCTACTCCCTGCTGCCCCCAGCTCGCCGGCGGCTGGGGAGGCGTTGCCATCAGATGCCCTGCGGCTGCCCCAGGAAGCCGCGGGCTCTTTTGCGCCGCAGCCTCGGGGAAACCTACGTGACCACCTTAAGTTTCCCCCAGATGTTGCGGCTGCCGCTGCTGCTGCCGCCGCCGCCGCTGCTCGGCGATGCCCTAGCGGGCGCGAGAAAAAAAATAAAACCAGGAAGTGGGTGGGGGGGGCGGGTTGTGGTGGCGGGTGAGGGTGTGTGAGTAGGGGGATGAGGAGGGGAGGGCGAAGAATAGCATATTAGCATGAGCTCGGTAGCGTCAGCGCCCCGTGGGCAGAAGCGATTCCATGCGAACGAAAGGGAAAAAGTGAGAGTTTGGAGAGCTGGGGAGAAGGAAGGGGGTGGGGGTGGCGGTGACGCAGGGGCGCAGGCATTGACGCACCGGCCAGGCTGGGCCCAAAATAGCAGCAACTCCAGCTCAGAGGCGCCCTCCCGGGTTCCCTTCCCCTTCCGCGAGGGAGCAGGGCGCGGCCACGGGAAGCTTTCCTTGATCCCCGCGGTGGGCCAGGCTCCCGGCCGCTATTTTCAGGCAGTCGGAAACTCAAGCACAGGCACGCCGGGGTGGCAGTTATTATTTTTTAATATAGTCCTAGGAAAACGGGGGCCGGGAGAACTTGAAGGTTGTAACCACCAGCCTCCATACACATACTCCCGTCTAAGTAGATACATTCACTCTGCACGCTTCCCCCTCCCTCATTGCCATTAAAAACACATTCAGTTTAGGTTGGGTTGAGCCTGGGACAATTTGAAAATGCCTCCCCAGAGAGCTGAAAAGTGTCCTGGAGTTCTTAAAGTGAGCTCCAAGGAAGCCAAACATTGTAATATGATGCCTTATTCTTTAATAACAACCTGTCGAGTGCGGCTTCCTGATAACAGCCTTTGTCCAAGTCTTAATGCAACCAAGAATGAAGGGTCGTTTTCACAGCAGCTTATTATAACAATTATTATTAACTGGGAATATAATTAAATATAAAATTAAATATAAATTAAAATGAGAGAAAGGGGAGACCTTTCTCATCTATTCCATCATCTGTGTAAGAGTTCTCTCCTCTTCAAAGTCCTATTCTGGTTTCTGGGAAGCTTTTACTGTTTCTTAGGAAGACACGCCGGATGTAAGACTGTTAAACTCGTTTAAACCAATTTTGAATAAGCTACTTCTTAGGCTAGGGTTTCTGTAAGGCCCGGATGAGATGGGTTGGAAAGGATTCAGCATATAGATCAGAAGTGTTTAAAAAAAAAAAAAAGGCCACGCTCAAAACCCCAGACTAGTTTTCCTCACCAGATTCTGATGGGACGATGTCTCAGTAGCACCGCCAATGTGTGTGTAATTGACTGATCCAGTCAGTAGGGGGCCTGACTCCACAACGTTCAAGAGAATCACTCACACACACACACACACACACACACACACACACACACACACACACACACAAGCTATTTACTACCTAAGCTAAACCAAAGAGAATGCTGCAGGCCCAAATATTCATATTGTGCTGGAATTCATAAATAACTAAAAATCTTTGATTCTCTTCTATTTTCTCCAAAAGGGAAACAGTTTTAACACATGGGATTAGGTTCACAAAAGATTTTCTTTATTTCCTCCTGCTCATGCTTAACTCACTGTTAGGTCACAGAAGGAAAAAATCAAACTGGTAATAAAATCTCTCATTTTATCACCAAGAAGTTCAAATTGGCATACAGTTTGGAAAAATGAAAGCATGTTTTAAAATCCTATGATTACATGTTAAATAAATTATAGTTTAGAAGGAGATTCCTGTGGGTATATTTGCTAGTACATAAGAGAATGCTTTTGTGCATAGAGATTTAATTACACATATGGAATCAAAATGTAGAATTGAACAACCTTTCAGAAAATGTTAAAACGATGCTTTAGGCTAAAAGAAACTGAAATTCTGCATTTATATGACTGTAACCCTTCAAGATTCTTGAACATAAATAGTTCAAATAAAGTATTTTATAACTCAATTAAAATGACAATAATGGCTTTTTCAGGCCCCCGCAGCCGATATAACTTTAAACTATTGCCATGTATAAATGTGTAAAGTTACCCCACAATGAAGGTCTATTTTCTTAACAGTTTTTAAAATGAGTGGGAGTAAAAATTGCACCTATCCTCTTTTGAAACCAACTAAAATAAATTAAAAAGCATTACTATTAAGAAACACTATTGGATGACCACAGAAAAACATTTAGGAAAGTAATGTTACTATATTATCTTTTATGACATTAACCAATATTAGGCAGAACATATTGGTACATGTAAACATATTTTCATTAAAAATCAACATAAATAATACATATACTCACATCTAAACCAAAGTAGTTTATTTTATGCATGGCTAGGCAGATTATACTTAATAAAATTGAGCTTTTGGCATAATTTAGAAAGCAAACATGAATGTAATCCCATAGGATTTTCTATTTTAATGCATAGGAAAGAGGCCTTTAGGGATTTATTTCACCATTCTTCCCAAATGAATTCAGAATAGACCTTACAATGCAGATATAGTGAAACAGACATACCTGTTATGCTTTACGAGTTGAGGCAACTTTAAGATTTTTCATAATAAAATTACTTTGTAGAACCTATTTTTAGCATTACAAGATATATATTTTAAATTACATTTGGACAAACTCATTCACAGCATTTGTTGCCATTGGGCAGTAAGTCACATTACTGATACAAGAAATAAATTTTCACTTTGAAAAAAATCTGTTTCTGAAAATACAAAATTAGTTTTTACTTCTGAAAGTGTTTTTATTGTTTTGCTTTTGCCATTTCATTTGCATTGACAGGATAGTAATTGACCAAATTGTTTGTTCCTTTCTCATAGGATGGTTAAAGAACAAGTCAATTGCTTTGTTAATATTCACATTTTGGATAGTTGTAGCTTTTATTCAGTATTTCTCAGCCGATTTTTACCAAAAACCACTTAACACAAATACTTTTAAAATTATTTCTTTCTTTGATACAGAACTCAGTACTAGAAATGTGTAAAGATGTGCAGAAAAAAAACAGCATTCTTTTTTCTGGAAGCATCTTCTTGTAAATTGAAATTATAAAACTGAACATATGGTAAAACCTCATGCCACTCAAAAAGTATTTTGCATAATAAAAATCCTTCATTTTTTGTTAATACTTGACACCCAGTAACCATCTCCTAAATACTTGCTTTTAAATTAACCACTTAATATTTTCTTATTTAAGAACTATTTTTTATTAGGCAAAGAAGAATAACTTTGGTTTTAGATTTCATTGCTAATTTTAGTAAACATAGGCATCACTAAAATGTACAAAGTCCTAAAAGACAGTTTAAAGATTATGAAAATAAGTTGCTACATGCTAAGAAAACATCAAATATCTGCAAATTCTAAAAGTAGTTAATAGCATTATAACACTACCAGTATTAGATAGCATTTATTTAAATTTAGATAAAATACATACATTTTGCAAGTTTTTATATGTAAATCACAAGCTGGCTAGTTTTTGTTCTATCTTTAATGATAAAATAACCACTTTTGATTTTTTCCTCAGACTAATTGGTGGATGGAATGTCTCAATTTAATTTTAAAAATGAAGGTATTGATAATATTGCAACAGAGACATATATGCCCTTTTTCTCATCAGAATTCTGCAATTATCAAGCCTACAATTTTAACACTACAAAAGTAACTTAAAGCAAGGACCCTTATAGTGATAAGTAATAAATCTAATTACCATATCCTTTGAATAGATGTAATATAAATTTCATTGCTCACTTAAAAGTTCTAAAGTTAACAGCATAAACTTGAAGTTGAGTAATTAAGTAATCCTTATATAGACACTTATTAAAGTATTTATACATATTATCTTAAATCTACATCTATCATTTTGCCAATTAAAATTAGGACTTTAATTGCAATTAAGTAATTTAATTGCCAATTGAACAGCAAAATTGCTAAGTGACTAATTTTAATGCCTATTTTAATTACCAATCATGACTGGGGAGGGAGCTAATCAAGTTACATCAAGCAGCACCAGAGTAATGATGTGAAAAAAAAAAAAAGGGTAGAACAAACATTCAAGGCTACATGCTTCAAAAAAAGAAACATAAATTAAATAAATGCAAACACAATCCTATAAATGTATAAAATACTGTATTTCAATATCTCAATACAGAACATGAAAGGAAACAAGATTAATTAAAGAAACCCCTGTCAATCTTCAAAGTAAGGACAACCAAAGTCAAATTTTATATGGTATTTACATGGCACCCATGCTAACCCAGATAAAAACAAAAGCTGTATACAGTCGAGAATAAAAGGCTGTTTCCTGCTTGGCTGGTTAAATATTTACAGACTGGCAGTTAAAAAAAATTCTTAAATGAAATACCATAAAACAGAGAAACAAGTTTCCAAATGCAACAACGTGGATTTTGCATTTGAAAAGCCAACAGGGCAAGTGCAATGGGGCACTATACTCTTTCCTGGTTGTTCCTCTCAGCCACACTCACTTGAATGAAGAGTTCTATGAGAGGCCTAATGCCTATCCATAGCTGTCCCATGTTACCCTGAGAAAAACAGACACCTGGCCAATCTTAAATATTTTAAATTTATTCGGGAGTAAAAATAAGAAAGCGGCTAGGATTACATCACAGTTAAAATTATTTGGCATGGGGAATATACCTAATTCAATAGTCATTCTTCATTCAGTTAGAATAAACATGCCCACTCAAGATAAAGGCTGAAAACCAGCAGGCAACCAGAAACACTGGTGAAATTTTTCTTGGACAACACAAACATATTTTCAAAAGTTTTCATATTCAGACTAATTCTCAGATTAGCAATATGGAGGGGCACTATTGAAAGGAGGAGGTGAAGTTGAGAACTCAAAAAATAGAAAGTGATTCCCTGTAGATAGTAACAATTCTAGTACTTTCTGACTGTAGGGTTTCCCTTGGCAGCCAGCCACCTCATTTAGAGTAACAATGGACATCCATCAAATCTTCATTTAAAATAAAAGTCATGCTGCAAGATACATATTTTATTTTTGTTGCCATATATATATACCAAAAATATACCTACTTATGTCTACAAAAGGGCCCAAGATTATTAATGAAATATATGTAAGCCTATAACTTGAGGAACAGCAAATCGTGCGGCTTGGGATTTTATTTACTAATGGACTTCAATTGTGAAATGAAGCACAGCAGGACTTTCGGCCTGGCTTTTGAAGAAGGAACACTTTAATAATCACTGGGCCTGACAAGACTGCAATATCTGTTCATGACAATAACAGCTTTATAAAGCAAGTTCTGTGTGACTGATTAAAGGACACACTCACCGCCTATTCACAAGTCATGGAGATGGAGTCATTATTGACAAGCTCACCATCACTACTGATCACATTTAAGACACATCGAGTGCTGGTGCTACAAAGAGAAATAAAACCTCAGCCATTAAAAGATTTAAAAAACAGCCCCAGAAGACAAGATTGCCATAACTTATGTATATCTTAATGTGTTCTGTATAAGATTTTCTCCTATATACACACACAAAGGATCTTATTTGATAATAATTATCAAAATTATCGAACTAAAGCACTAGGTAACAAATCAGCCACTACAAAGGAAAAAAAAAAGGAGAAGCATCGTCTTATAATTTCACAATAATTATGAAAGGACATGATATATAGACAAACTTTCAAAATGTTAACACTTTCCGAAACTTGACATGACTGAAAGTAAATACTTTTTCAGACTGTTCATGTCTATCTTAGGCATTCTGCTAGTCATTAGTTTACATGAATTAATGTTTACATAGTGCCAGAAGCAAAAAGTTTTAAAAGTATGTCTCTACCTTTCAGATATCCCTTAGTAGGTAAAAGTAAACATAAAGTTTAGAAATTCTAGTAAGTTATTTTACTTTTTGCCCTTAAAGTATTGTCTTCCCGTGTGATCTATCTGTATTAGTGAATAGAAAATAAAGGATACAGTAAGACAACCACGTTTATAATCTGAAATTAAAGGCAATCAATTAAAACATTTTATTAGTCACCAGGATATTTAAAAATGAGACCTGTGAAATATTGCAGAATCACTCCACTAGGAGAGAAGCAGCAACTTAAGTATGCTGTCACTGACATGTTGGGAGGAAAAAGCAAACTACCAGTACCACCATGTACATGATTCAAATTAAGCTACATAAATAGTGAGTGCATGGGGTTGTGGGTACAGAAACTGGTTCGCTGAGGAGGTGCTACTTACATTTCCTGTATTTCATATTTCTGAGAACTGTCTTCTGTAATTTCCAAAGTGTAGGAATGGTTGAAGTTTGAAAATAAATGGAGAATTTCAAATAGTTAATGAATAGATTTAGGAGCTATACTGAAACAACTAGCAGAAAATACATTTTCTGGAGTTCTTTAATTTTGTACGCTTAAAAGTATGGTGTTCCTAAAGATGGCTAATTCTTGTTGAAGTAAGTAGCTCTGGAAGTCATATTTTCCATTTCTCCATACTTCATCTATTAATCAGTTGACTGGCAATTTCCGACACCAGTTTTGCTAAACTTTATAAATTTTGCTTCCTCCAGAGGTAGGAGGGGGAAGGAGATGGGCAATACAGAAACAGATTTTACAGCCAGAATATGACAGGGCCCCTTAAACTACAAATAGATGTAGAATTTTAAATGTAGCTCTGTAGTTCAATTTATACCACAGAAATTGCGAGATGCTATCTTCCTGTTGTTATAACGTATCAGGTCAAGGGATATAAATTGTACCAGGTAATTCATTTTGCTGTTCAGAGAGTCATTAAGTTCCTCCCAGAATATATGTGATTGATATCCCTGGAGGTGAAAGGCTAAAGGAACCATATGGCAACATGTTGCATTCCGTATGCTATCTGCCCATCCGTGCTTAAGCTGTCATTAGCAACATCTGTACCTTACGGAAATCCAGCTGCGCCGACGACGGCTGACGGAATTGTACTTGGGGGGAAAATCTAGCTTAGCGCCATTAACTTGAGACTTAGAGTCTATCTACCAGGACGGATGGAAGCTTTCACAATTAGACGAGACGACACGAATGCTTTATTAAAGTTTAATTTTGAACTCCCAATTAGCGAAAGTGCATTACAAATCGATTGCAATTTCCTAGAAGGTGCAGCAAGTTCTCTGCCTGCCTGCCACGTGCGAGACGCTCCACAGCGAGCTTCCCCAGCTCCGGGCAGCAGAAAGGGGATGGTTCAGAGCCGATCTCCGCATCCCAGGAAGTCCCTAAAATCCGCGCCAGCCCCTCCTCCCGCAGGGCGGGGGCGTCCACGGCGCGAACCCGCCAGAGGTGTAGGGGGAAGTGTGGGGGGCTGGTCCGCAGCCTTCGAGGGGTGGGGCGACAGGAGCGAGCGGCCGGGGGAGGAGAAAAAGGCGGGCGGCGGGAGAGGGGGCCTCTATTATCTCGGCTTCTCGGGAGGAGCCTCATCTAGTCAGTCACGCAGAAGTTTCTCTTTCGCTCTTCGCGCTACACACCCAGATTGGCTTCCAGCGCGCAGGCGAGTGGGGCGAAGGAGGGGGGACAGGAGTCCCGGAAGGGCCGTCCGGCGTTCACACCCACCCCTGTTCCGCTCCTCCCGCCCCAAACAAAGTCCCCCGACTCTAGGTCCAGGATACGTTACCTGCCCGGCGCTCCCGGCCCCTCGGTCACCGCATCCCCCGCTGGGCGCGCCTGGTACGGGTCCCGCTCCCCGGGGCTCACAAAGTGGTCGCCCCTGGCTGGGCGGCTGGGTAGATGCCCCTCTCTGGACATGTTGGGGCGGTTTTTGGGGTGGAGGGAACGCGGGAAGTGAAAGCGGAGGCTGGGACAAGGGGAACTTACTGATAAAATGGAAAAAAAAAAAGCCCACAGGGCCCAGGTCCTGGCCGGGGGCGAAAGAGGCCTGTTACCTTTCGGGGGGTCGCGGCCGACCAAGAAGGGAGCCGGGGAGTCGCCCGCCCCCCTCCCCCGGCCCCCGGCCCCCGGCCCCCGGCGGCTGCGGCAGCTGCACACAGAAGCCCATTGTCGCCGGCGTCCGGCGCGCAGCCCCGCGGACTCGGCCCCGCGGCCAAGCGCGTCAGCGGCCCCGTCAGCCGGGCCGGGCTCCGTGACGCGCGCGCAGCCCGCGCTATAAATAACCTGCCGCCGGGCGGCTCGGGCGGCTTTCCAGTGACGCTGGGGCGGAGGCGCGGTAGGAGGAGGGCGAAAGGAAACAATAAAACCGCCCGGCAGCCTCCCAAGTCTCCCTCCTCCCTTCCCAGGCCGCCCGCGGCCCTTCGCGTCGAGCTCCTTTTTCCCCGCCCCGGCCCGCCCTGCGGGGAGCGCGGTTCGCGGGTGGGAAGGAGCCCGGCGTGCTGGCGTCCCCGAGTGCTGCCGGGGCCCCGGGGCGGGAGGGGGTTTTTCCCGCACCCTGGGATGGCGAGGAGGGAACTTGGCGACAAGTTTAGTGAGGGGATCGCTGTGTTCCTTTCTAGTCCAGTTAAAATGACCCGAGCTTTTCCCGCTCCCTCACACACCTATTCTAGTACAGGTCGGATGTGTTTTTGGGGTAGTAAGTCCTCAACCGAAAACAAAAGCGAAAAACCTGTCGTCTTCAACGTAAGCATTATCTAGGTTTTTGTGGGGCCAGGCTTGCATTAGTGTTTTCATTCGGGGGGTTGTATTATAGAAAGGGTGCCCCGTAGTAGCAGCGTGAGGAAGGGTTCCAGGACCCAGGCTGTCAGCTCCGGTGCATTTACAGGTCTTTTTGCCGTAGAATTTAGCATAGGCCTGAAACATGGCATAAATGAACTTTCTAAAAGTCTATAATCTCAACGTTAAAGAGCTTACTTTTTAACTCTGGACTTTAATAAAGGCTCCCACTTTAAAAGGGGCTTTCTCTATAGGAAAGTATTAATATTTTTGTGGAGACTCTCACTGCTACCTTCCATACTCAGGCAATTCTGTCACACACCCTGACACTTGTCCTACTCATTAAGGTACCCACATACAACTGGAGGTAATCTGTTTTCTTGGACCAACAATTAATAGACTATAAAACTGTATTTCGTCTTGAGCAAAATGTCTCAGCTATGAACATGTTTTCTGAGGTTCTGATATAGACATAGATAAAAATTTGCAGATGCAAGCAAGGTGTTGCAGTGACTTGGCATGGTTAGAGTGAGTTACTAGTGTTGGGGGAAATGGTTCTTAGTTCACTAGTGAGGCAAAGTGGTATAGTAGAAGGTTCTCTGAGCTGGGGTTTAGAAGATAAAGAAATTTGAGTTTTAATTATGTCTTCACTGTACTTTTCTGTGCCACCTTGCAGAAACCACGGCCTTTCTCTGCCGCACTTTCTTCATTAACATTAAGGACTGATAGTTCCTTTTCTACCCTTACATTCTAGGATGTTAAAGGATATTGTGTCCAGGGATAAAGTTTTATCAAATAAACATAAGCACCCAGTGTCTCATGGGAGACAGGTAACAAATGTAGATTAATTTGGTGTTCTGACATTTTAAAATTTTGTACATCTTAAAATATATTAGGGCCACTTCAGGAAAATAATGAATTAAAATATACCATTAAAACTATTTTAAGAGGAAAAACTAGTCACAGTCTGCCTCATTTACAGGACAGCAGACATATTTACAGTCTAATGATGTCACAGGCCCTTTCCAACACCACGTTTTCTCATGTGAGCAAATGGATTATGGGTAGCAAAATGCAATGAGATCACTTTCTCCAATTTTGCTCCCATTTCTGGTTTGTGTGGTTTTTAAAAGGAATGTTTCCGTTGAAAGACACTGAATTGTTTATCACTAAGTGGTGTTATTGAGACAAGGGAAAGTTTTCTGATTTATCAGTCAGAATATGCTTTATTCTTCTTTCTTCAGGTTGGTGAATCAGAAAACATAAAAGTGGCAAAATAAGTTTAGAGCCAAAACATTTGCTTCATATAGTCACCGCCAAAGTGTGATCACAACTAAAAGTTAACCAATATTTTTCCAGTTCCAAAAGCACATCTGTCTCTCTTTCCCATAAAATGTTTGATATGTCTAATTTAACTTAGCCTTAAGGTTCTTTCTTCTGCTCCTTATAAAGAGGTATTTTTCTTTCACTGCTATTTTCCTGAAACACTGAGCTTCTCTCATAATTTTAAATTAAAGCCCTTTTGCTTACTTCTTATCCCTTTTTAACGTGATGTTCCATTTTCCATTATCCCTGCCCTTAAAAATTTAATAGGATGAGAACTAGCATATATTGGCGAAATTTGAAACATGCCCGATTTTAGAGGGGAGGGAGGAAACAAGATTAGCTTTAGAACCAGTAGAAATACAGTAAAACAACCAGTTTCCTCAAAACTAACAAAAACAAAAAAATCATAACGAAATTCGTGAAATAGGGGACTGAAAATACGGAAAATATTTTATCTGGATCTCATTGATAACATAAAGCTTGTTACAATTTTTCAAACATAGTGAATGTTTTAGAATGTGAACATTTCCCAATCTTCTGAAGTTTCTGTCTACCTGAGGTTAAATCCTTTGAAAGACTCCTCTACAGCAACAGTATTGAAGAATTTATTAGAGAAACTACAGTGAACTCTTGCCTTATTACTCAGTTAATCCTGATCTATATTTAGAGAGTGGTGCCAGCCAGGTTGAGGCTTCAAAGGAATGAGCACAAATATTTACCATATCCTGTGCAGTAGAGTTTTGGTGATTGAAATGAAAATTCATCTTGGAAAATATCACTGAAGTTATAGTATAAGCAAATCTCAGCAACCTTCAAATGAATAAATAGAAGGTTAACAAGAAAAGTGATGAGGGATTCTCAGTATTCCAAATGAAAGAAAAGAGACAACTCAGATTTAGAGGTAGGAGCCTTCTTCATTTAAAAGGCCAAGAAATTCAGGCAGACAGTGTCTTAAAAATAAGGGTGACTAAATTCAGGAAAATTACAGGGCTCCCAACATTAGTTAAAAATGTGGACATATACGCACATAACCGGCCCTTCTGATGAGGCTGTCCTGATTTTAATGGGTAATGCCTCAAGCTGCCCAGACTTTGGTATCCTCCCATTGATGGGAGCCACTGCAAACAACTTTGTTGTTCTAGTATAAATTATCAACCTCCAACTAGGATTTGTTAACTATGAATTTTTTAAAATCCTCTGTGTGGGTTTAGGGTCCTAGACTTGTTTGCCCTCGGTTTCATTCCTGGTTCTTCTTTCCCCTCCTCTGGTCCATATCACAGGGACACTAATCCCTGCAAGCTGCATTTCCAAGCTTCCTTGTGAGCTGGTTGCCAGCTGGGTTTGAATGGGAAGCTGGAGGAGGACAGTGGAGAGCTGGAGGGTAGGAAAAGCTAGGGTGTTCCCCACCACACTGCCACACTCCAGCTCCGGCCAAGTGATCCATGACCTCTGACCCTGTGCCCCGGTATCACAGCCTCTTTCCTTTATTCTTCCATTTTGGAGTCACAGTGCCTTCATCCTTTTGAAAAATAACTGTCCCTTTTTTGGTTTCTTAGCTCTGTTCTCACCTGTTTTACAAATTTATTGAATTAAATTCTCCCTATGTTAAATACTCAGAGCAGTTTCTGTTTTCCTGGTTGGAGCCTGAATCCATATATCCCTTTGACAGGCATTACTGGACCGTATACACGGAAAATTCGATTATTCCTTGAATTTCTTTTGCTAGGAATTCTTTTTTAAAATGTGCTACTTAGAAGTGCTAATAAAGGGTTCAGTCCTCAGAAAAGCAGGATAAAACCTAGTACACTTTAAAAAATCAATTTCCTGTGGGCATAATATTAAAAATTATAAACACAAAATATTACATAACTTCTCGTAAGTCAGAACAGGGCAAATACATAGCTGAGGCTGAGACATAAATTCCATGCCAATAAGAAGGGTGGCATATAATACCTGTCAAGGCTTAATTTACATCACACATTTGTGAGGCCTACTCATTCACTAGCTTGTTTGCCAATGGTCTCCGCCTCCTCAGATCTTAAACGAGAGAAGGAGAGAGAGAAAGAAGAAGACACTTACATTACTAATTTGAAACTTTATTATATATGTGATTCCTTGGAATAATATTTTGAAATCTACATCATGTCTGTATTTTTCTTTTCCCTGTATTTTCTGCTATTGCTTCTCTCCTCCCTCTCCACCCCTGTAAGCAGATCTCCTACTGGGTGTTCATTGTCCCAAGAAGAGGTAAAAGGAAATGCAAACAAAAATGATCTATGAGTATTTATGGCTTTGTTTTATAAAATCCTAAATTCTTAAGAAAAAGAATCCAGAGTATCTGGAAGAAGCTTCAAAGGGGAAAATATTTTTCTGAAACTGTTAAAAGGATTCCCGTGGGCACATACAAGGGGAGAGAGACAGAACGATTAGGTTTCCTGAGGGAGAAACAAGGAACTAGAAGCTGATACTGGGGAAGTAGCCCAAGTAAGAAGAGGCCAGGGTACACTTGGCAAAGGAATCCCAAGAGGTTGTGGTTTTAGCATCCAGGTGTGTCACGGGAGACAAATCATCACACAAATACTACCTAGACCTTACTCATCTGTACTAGAGATTGCACTAGTTCTTCTTTCCATTGACCGGTCTTCACCCTAGGGAGCCAAAGTGACTGGTCAAGACTTGTACAGGAGCCACCAGGAGGGATCTCTGTATTTCTTTGTTCTCTGTACTTGAACAAATGTAAATTGCCACCACAGGGCACAAGCCTGCTGGAGAACAGAGCCAACACAGAGAAAATGGATCCAGGAGATGAAGATGGAGAAACTGGGTGCTGAAGACCTTTGAGCTGTTTTTGGAGCTAGACTGATCACTGGACTTTCAAATCATATGAGTAAATTTGTTCTCTTTTAGGTGAAGTTAGCTTGGATTGAATTTTCTGTCATTTGAAATAGAATCCTAATTGATACACTTGTCTCCAATACCTGTTCAAAGCCTTAGTGAGGCATAGTAAGTACAGAACTTA
Source organism: Homo sapiens (assembly GCF_000001405.40). Taxonomy (NCBI): domain Eukaryota; kingdom Metazoa; phylum Chordata; class Mammalia; order Primates; family Hominidae; genus Homo; species Homo sapiens. Next base: position 156,347,374 of record NC_000002.12, read on the forward strand.
GCTGTTGACCAATATCAGTGCATACACATATGATACCAATTTATTAACTTACTGCTACTGGGCCAAGGAAAGGGAGTTGTAATATTATCACACGTGTGGCATGTCAGAATCAAATTGGAGTACCTGCTTTTGTTTAAACTTCCAGGGAGGATGGAACTCTTCTTACCACAGACATATTAAACCCTCTTACCACCACTACAGAAAATTCAGCAGTCAAAGCAGGAGGCATTCAACATAATAGCCTTTGTTCCCTGTATATCTTCCACCTTTTTATTGCTGCACCCCCACCTCCAGCTTTTACTCCTAGTTAACTAATAGTTGTCCGTGCTGCTTCATGCATTAGTACCTCTGCACGAGCTCTTTTCTTAGGCTGGAATGTACTTCCTAGTACTGTCTACCCTTCTAGGCCCAGCTCAAGTGCCCCAGCCTCTGAAATGTCTTTTGTTTTTTGTTTGTTTGTTGTTGTTGTTGTTGTTGTTGTTTTGAGGCAGGGTCTGGCTCTGTCACCCAAGTTGGAGTGCAGTAGTGCAATCTAGGCTCACCACAACTTCTGCCTCCCAAGCTGAAGCCATCCTCCCACCTCAGCCTCCTGAGTAACTGGAACTACAAGCACATGCCACCACACCCAGCTAATTTTCGTATATTTTGTAGTGATGGGGGAGCGTCTCACCATGTTGCCCAGGCTGGTCTTGAGCTCCTAGGCTCAAGTGATTCACCCACTTTGGCCTCGCAAAGTGCTGGGATTACAGGCATGAACCACTGTGTCTGGCCCCCTCTTCCGCGAAATTTTTTGTTTTACCTAACAATGACACAATCCTGCACTTCATACCTCCCATGCACATACTCTAAAATGGATCATTTACTTGTGTCACACTCTGTACATCCTTCTATTTCCAATGTTTTTCTGTTTATTTATCTAGCTCTTCTACTACTAGACTGAGCGCCACAAGGGCAGGAATGCTCTCCAATTCATCTTGGAATTTTTTAGGTTCCTGGCCATTAAGCTATAAATAATTATGCCTGGTGGAAATAAATAATCAAATACATTTAATGAATGGCTGTGGAAGCAAAGAGATTCATACATTTTTATAGCTGGGAACTTAGAATTCACCTAATCCTGTGAGGTAAAATATGTTTCGCAGGAATAGCAAAATTATAGATTCTACGAGAATAAATTTTTTAATTTCATCAGAACTCATCACATGATAGCATTCTGTATTTTATACTTGCATAAGTATAGTAATGTATCACAAAGTTTAAGAATCTTTATTCTTTAAATTTGTCTATCTTCTTTTTCTAAGTTAAAGACCTTCTTTCTATTCTCTTTAAGCATTTTATTCATATGTCAGAGTGCTTCTCAGATCTACACACTATTTGTGATTACATAATATTTTATTATCGCCAAGAACCCAAACATTAGTTCAAATAGTAAATAAATTCAGATACCTTAAAGAGCCAAGCTAAATATAACTGAAAAATGACTCTCCACCCATTTTATACAAACACACACACGTACATACACACACGTTCATATCCATGATCTTTAGTAATCCCACAATTTCAACATCTTTGTGTAGGAAGGGAGTTGCTGTCACATGAAAAGGTTACAGATGGATCCTATTTCTTATAGACCTGAAGGAATCTGGGCATGCTTAGAAGCAGGAGAATGAATATTGTGGAAATGGACAATAATCTGCATGAAAATGTATCCAGTTATCTCCATTTAGGATTGACTCAGTACAGACTATGTTATATTTGGGGAGATATTTTTCTTCTTTAATATGAATTGTCTTTGGTGATAATTATTTGCCCTTGAGATATATATGTAAGTAGAATCCCATAGATGATCAAGAAGAATTAGGTGGCAAATCTTCACTGCTACCAATGGGCAAGAATTGGAATGAAAACTCTACAGAGACTGTGCTATGAGAGAGTTTTTCTGTGGCATTATTTTATTTATTTTGTTTATTTTTTATTTATTTTTATTATTTTATTTTATTTATTTATTTTTATTTATTATTTATTTATTTATTTTTCTGTGCCTACCTAAGACTTTGGGAAAGGTATTGCTAAACATAATGTCCTGTGGGTTGTGCTGATTGAGAAAGGGGGCTGGACCCTCCATGAGATAAACTACCATAAAGTTTTAAAGATACATACCATAGAGAAAAGAGGAAAGATGCTTTTGAAGAGGAAGGTACATACACAATAGTGGACCTTGAGACAAGGAAGCCTGACTAGCAATCAGAGTATACTTTTAAGGGCATCTTTGTGAAAATGTTCAGTTTTTTGCTGTTCTTTAACTACTGGGAAAGTTTTATTTAGTGCAAGGGTCCCCAACCCCCAGGCCACAGACCAAGGCCTAACAGTCCATGGCCTATTAGGAACCAGGCTGCACAGCAGGAAGTGAGCAGCAGGGAGAGCCAGCAAAGCTTCATTTGTATTTACAGCCACTCTCCATTGCTGGCAGTAAGGCCTGAGCTTCACCTCCTGTCAGATCAGCAGCAGCATTAGACTCTCATAGAAGCTAGGTTCTGCACTCCTCATGAGAATCTAATGCCTGATGATCTGTCACTGTCTCCCATCATCCCCAGATGAGACTATCTAGTTGCAGAAAAACAAGCTCAGGGCTCCCACTGATTCTGCATTATGGTGAATTGTATAATTATTTCATTATTATATTTATATTATTGAATATATATTATATTCAATATATATTTCATTATATATTACAATGTAATAGTAATAGAAATGAAGTGCATGATAAATGCAATGTGCTTAAATCATACCCCCGACCGCAGGTCCGTGGAAAAATTGTCCATGAAACCAGTCCCTGGTGCCAAAAACGTGGGGGACTGTTGACTTAGTGGACAGTTTTTACCAACATAGGGAAGTGTAATCTTCTGCACAATGTTGTGACCCCAGTGTCCTACTGGGGAGAATTCTGGCAAGTAGCAGGGAAGTGTGCAGCAGCCTGCAGAGGAGCATGGAGGAAAATGCGGACTATAATTGAGCTGTGGATGCTCAGAAAACTCAGGAACAGGCAGGGAAAACAAAACAAGAAAAAAAAAGTTTGTTCTCAAGGGTATCAGAGCTTCCTGTCAATTCTACCTTTAAACACCACCCACAACTGCCACTTCTACCAAAGGGAAAAAAAGTGGCCGTTTCTTTCCTCTTCCTTTAACTTTCATTGTTTCTTACCTGGACTTTGGCAACAATGCCTATGTTGCCTCTTATCATCAGTCTCTCCCTCCTTGCTCTGGCCTGTTCCTGCTGAACACCTTCTTTATGGTTGTCTTTCTAAAGAGCCCTGAGGACAGTTGCAGTGGCTCACACCTATAAATCCCAGCAGTTTGAGGGGCTTAAGAGGGCAGATCGCTTGAGCAAGGAATTCTAGATCAGCCTGGGCAACATGGAGAAACCCCCATCGCTACAAAAAATACAAAAATTAGCTGGGTGTGATGGCGTGTGCCTGTAGTCCCAGCTACATGCTGATGGAGGATTGCTTGAGCCGGGGAGGTCGAGGCTGCAGTCAGCCATGATCTCACCACTGCACTCCAGCCTGAGCAACAGAGCAAGACCTTGTCTCAAAAACAAAACAAAACGAAACAAAAACAAAGAGCCCTGGCTCATTTCCCTTCCCAGTATTCTGCTAATACCACCTGTAAAAACCTTTCTGCCTGTTTATTGGCCTCAGGATTTCCATTGAAAGCTGCTCCTCTCATTTGAAGATTTAGGTATTCAAAGCTAGTGAATTAGGCCTTTTGTAGAACCATTAAAGATGTGTTATTTTGTTCAATTAAGAAGTGCCATTAAAGTATTTGTCATGCTAAGAGGATTCCATTTAAAGATTTACCCATTTAAAGATTACCCAAGTTTTCAGTATTGAGACAGATGGTACCACAGTAAAAGCAGTGATGTCCTTGAAAAGCTGTCAATTTTGTTTGGGAAAGTAAATGTTCATATAGTGATCAATAAGGGTTGTGGGATATGCATCTTTAATAATTCTATAATTCTGTCAGATATTTCTGGTCCTAGATGAATCTGGGTGAGGAGAGATGGTAATATGGCATCTGATAGAGAGCATGGTGAGGTTAATGAATGCAAATTTTGGATACAAATGGATTTGTCCTGACACATTAGTTGTAGAATTCATAGGCAGGACTCTTCGTCTCTACACCATATCATCATAGTTACATCACGGTCTTTATGGCACACACAGCCCACTTAATTTTCTGAAAAGTAGTTATTTACGGCATTTTCAAAAATCTTCTATGAAGTTAAGTTTATGCCTGAATTTCTAATACACATAATGGGCAGAGTTATAAATACATAGAAGAGAAATGAAGAACCTAACAACATCTCCCTGTATCCATGCCATTGTAAAGGGACCCAGATATAGCTTTGAAATCTAATTGGAATTCCTATTACCCCTCTCTTTTCGTATCTCTAGTCTATGTTGATCGAATGGATAGCATAAGGCTGGTATATAGAGTCTTGTCCTCATCTGTATCATAGAGAACTACATGACAGATGTCTTCATAAATATCATTGATATAAGATTTCTCCTATATCAACAATGACTTTTAATACATTCAACTTTGGTATTTAGTTTACATGCCTTACATTCAAGAGCTCTTCACCCACTGATGCCCACATATGCTGACAACTGTTCTGATCCCAGCAGGAGTAACAGATTTTATTTCTTAAGCATTGCAGAACTACGACCAGAGTGTTATTATTAGATGAAAGATCCTCATACTGGCTTTGCAATAGAGAAAAAAGAAAGAATTGAGATGAAAATAATCTAGGCTATTTAAAAATGCCCCACATTTTCAAAATTGTAACTGAATTTGATTTTCAAAGGCAACATATTCAAATGCTCAAAATTCAAATGATAACAAAATTTTATACAGAGTGTAATTTCTATGGTATCTTTGTTCCCCTGCCATCCAGCTCTTTCCAGTCTAAACCAATGTTATAAAATGTTTGTATTTTCTCACAGAGATAGTCTATGTATATAGAAGCACATATATGTTTGAGTATGCATCTTGTCTATTTCGTTTAAACAACTTCTCTTGGGGATAGTATAAGCACATAAAGAGCTTTTAAATTTTTTTCTGGTTACATACTATTCCATTGCAAGAATGTACATAATTTATTTCAGTACCAAGTAGATGGACACTTAAGTTGTTTCCAATCTTTTGCTAGGACAGAGGTATCCTTGCACCTATATCATTTTGCTTATGGGTAGGTATTTCTTTGGAATACCTTCTTAGAAGTAAAGTATTTTTATTAAAGGTATGTATTGTCATTTTTAAGGAATGTAATTTATTCCTTTTTAACTGTGATTTTGAAAATGCAAAGAGAGAAAAGGATAAAATTTGGAAAAATCAGTCTTCCTCATACTCCCTTTGCCCAACCACACTTTTCCTTTCCCCGGGAACAAATATGTTACCACTTCATATATATCCTTTCAGAGATTTTATACACACACATACACAGACAAACACACACACACACACACACACACACAAGCTTACACATATGCCCATGTGCACACATGAAAGTACATATAGGATAATTTAATTTGTTTGTGCAAATTTGTGTTTTCTTCTGTATTGTAGTCTACAAAAATCAGAAGGTTATTCCCAAGTTGCTGGCTGAAATGCTTCATTGTAACCACTTAAGACAGAAATATACTCTTATTGCCTCATGTGTCATCATCATTTAACGTGATAAAATAAATTCCACTAATTTTCTCTATACACATCTGTTCTGTGTGGAGGAAAGGGAGCTGTAGAAAAATAGCCCTGCACTGTACTTAGCCCCAAAATTTCTGACAAGATCCAATCTAGATTTTCTCCTGTATGCCTGTTGAAGAACAGGCACCCTGTAATCCTAACCTTCCTCTAAGGATTCCCTTCCCCTTTCTCTTGTGCGGGATATCTTGTTTCCTCCAACCCATGTAACCCTCTTTTTCTTAATGTTCTTTCCGGCTCTCTGTCTCCCTACACCCCCTTACATGCATTCTCACTCTCAGAATATATCTTCCAATAACCTCAAAGTAAGCAAGAGTGTCTGGGAAGTACATTTTTTGAGATCTTGCATTCTGAAAATCTCTTTATTCTCCCAACCCACCACTCCCTCTTCCCAACTGCCATCTGATTAATAATTTGGCCAATAATAAGAGTTCTAGGTGGGAAATTTATAGGCATTGCTCCCGTCTTACTGTTAAATCCAATGACATCGTGGTCTGTGATCTCCTTCTTTTTTTTTTTTTTTTTTTCAGTTTGTCACTGAGGCTGGAGTGCAGTGGCATGATCATGGCTCACTGCAGTCTTGACCTCCTGGGATCAAGCAATGCTCCTACGTCAGCCTCCTGGGTAGCTGGGACTACAGGCCTGCATCACCAGGCTCGGCAATTTTTTGCATTTTTTGTAAGAGACAAGGTTTCTCCATGTTGCCCAGGCTGGTCTTGAACGCCTGACCTCAAGTGATCCGTCCACCTCAGCCTCCCAGCATGCTGGCATTACAGACGTGAGCCACCCTGCCTGGCCCTCATTGTGATTTCTGACTCAATTTGTTTTCTCTCTGGAAAATTTCATGATCTTCTCTTTGTCCCCAGTGTCTGTATATATATATTTTTCCCTTTCTGAAATTCCTTTTTTTTTTTTTTTTTAAATGATGGACCTCCTGGACTGGGCCTCCAGTTTTTCTATTTCTTCCCTATTCTTTTTCATCTCATTTTGTTTTTGCTGAGAAATTTTCTCAATTTTATTTTCCAACTTACATTCTTATATATTCAAAATTTTATTTATTTTTAATGTGGCAAAATACACATAAAATTTACCATTTTTATCATTTTTGATTCAGTGGCTTATTAAGTACACTCACATTGTTGTGCAACCATCACTACCATGCATCTCCAGAACTTCTTAATCTTCCCAAACTGAAACTCTGTATCAGTTGAACAAAAACTTCAAATTCCCCTCTTCTTCAGCCCCTGGCAACCAACATTTTCTGCCTCTATGAATTTGATTACTACTCTATGTAACTCATGTAAGTGAAATCATACACTTTTTGCCCTCCTGTGACTGGCTCATTTCATTTAGCATAATGTCTTTAAGATGCATCGATGTTGTAGCATGTGTCAGAATTTACTGCCTTTTTAAAGGCTGAATAATATTCCACTGTGTGTACAGTTGGGCTTCCATATCTGTGGGTTCCACATGTAGATTCAACCAACCCCACATAAAAAATATTCAAAGAACAATGACATCTGTACTGAACACGTAAAGACTTTTTTCTTGTCTCTGTTCCCTAAACAATACAGTATAGTAACAAATTACACAGCATTTATATTGTATTAGGTATTATAAGTAATCTAGAAATTGTTTAAAGTTTATTGGAAGATTGTGTAGTTTATATGCAAATACTATGCCATTTTATTTTTTATTTTAATTTTTATTTGTTTATTTATTTAGAAACGAGGTCTCTCTCTGTTGCCCAGGCTGGAGCACAGTGGAACAATCATATTAATAGTTTACTATAGGCCAGGCGCAGTGGCTCAAGCCTGTAATCCCAGCAGTTTGGGGTTTGGGAGGCGGGTGGATTGCCTGAGGTCAGAAGTTCGAGACCAGTCTGGCCAACATGGTGAAACCCCGTCTCTACTAAAAATAAAAAAATAAAGAAGAAATAGCTGGGTGTGGTGGTATGTGCCTGTAATTCCAGCTACTCGGGAGGCTGAGGCAGGGGAATTGCTTGAACCAGAGAAGTGGAGGTTGCAGTGAGCCGAGATCGTACCACTGCACTCCAGCCTGGGAGACAGAATGAGACTCAGTCTCAAAAAAAAAAAAGTTTACTATAGCCTTATCTCTTAGGCTCAAGAGATCCTCCAGCCTCGGCCTCCAGTCCAAGTAGCTGTAGCTCCAGGTGTGTACCACTGCATTTGACTTACACCATTTTATATGAAGAACTTGGGAATCCATGGACTTTGGAATCCTTGAGAGATCCCTGGTAACCAATTCCCCCATGGATACCAAGGGACAACTGTATCACGTTTTTTATTAATTCATTTGTTGATAGACACTTGGGTTGCTTCTGTGTTTTGGCTATTGTAAATAATGCTGCAATTAACATTGATGTATCATAGTTTTATTTGTACTATTGTATATATTTTTATTTTTTGAGAGTTCTCTTGTTCTGTGTTCCATTTTTATACTTTTTTCTCTTATCAAAGCTGTAATATCTTTTCTTAGTTCTCTAAGGATATGAATGGTATGTATGTACATATATGTGTATATTAAAATATGTATGTACACATTTTTAAAATTTATTTTTCTTTGCATGGTAGCCATTTCCTCAAGTTGCATTTGATTGTTTACTTTGGTCTCCCTTTCCATGTTAGAAGTTTTCATCAGATTTCTTGTAATTCTTGATTTTCTGCTCTTCAGAATGAAAACTAAAAATCTAATTGGGAGTTCTGCATGCCTATGAGGCTCAGTAACCTTGAGCTTTACTGCAAGATGAACTGGGACGACTTTTGGGTATCCTTGTTAACAGTATGTTGATGTCTTTCCACAGGCTGTTCGGTTTAACCAAAGAAAAATCTACCTATCTCTTCCCTCAAGGGTAGAGATCCCACGCTAGAGACGGAGTGTCCTGGGTTCTGAGTGTGGAAAGGGGAAATAACAGAATGTTTTCAATAGAATATTCAGGTCTTCAGACATTTGTATCCTTCCTCAGTCCAGAAGCAGTACTGTACACTTCTCCAGAAAATAAAACCACAGACTTATGACCAAACTAGGAGAGTTAATCTCCTACTGGCATGGAGCTGGGAAAGACAATAAGGAGATGACTACATCTGAGTCAGCTTTCACCTACTCCTTCCTGTTTTAGCAGTGGTCATCCTTGCTTCATTTTCAGTTCCAGAATTATCTTGTCTTAGGATTTCTTGAAACTTTTGAGGATTCTTTTGTATTAATGGAGATGCTTCTCAGCTTTCGCCATTACCAACTTGGTTTCCACTCTCTGAGGTCTGCAAGGGCAGTCAGGTTTCATTCATCTCCTTTTCAGTTTTCAAAGCTCTGTTGCTGTTATCTCCTCTTGCTCTCATCTTTTTGTGTCTTCACAAAAAATTTCAAGATTGCTTTAACAGAATTTCTTGAAGTGGTGGTGGTTAATATTGTGCAATCCTCACTCTGAGCTGGTATAGCATAGTTCATGCTTGGTGGGAAAAGAGGTAAGGATCTTCTTGATTCACCAAACTTCCAATAGATTTAAGGATTTAGAATTTAGTTTTATGCCATTAACTTAATGTTGCCTTATTGAAAATTTTCTCATTTCCTCATCTGAAGGCAATATCTAGAAATTGGCTTGTTTCTCTACAAGGAAGACTTTAAAGTTCGGCCTTAAATCATACAAAGTACCATTCTGAAAAGCCAGTTGACATGTCAGAAGTTAAATCTATTTTTTAATGTAAAATTTGCTTATAGATACTCTACTAGAAGGAATCACTGAGAAAATTGTAGTTACTTATGATGGACTTTAAATTATAAAGGAGGGCCATGCAAGGTGATTCATGCCTATAATCCCAACACTTTGGGAGGCCAAGGTGGGAAGATGGCTTGAGGTCAGGAGTTCAAGACTAGTTTGGGCAACCCACAGAAACTCTGTCTCTACAAAAAAAATTTAAAAATTAGCCAAGTGTGGTGGTTTTTGCCTGTAGTCCCAGCTACTCAGGAGGTTGAGGTGGGAGAATTGCTTGAGCCCAGGAGGTCAAGGCTGCAGTGAGCCACAGTGGTGCAGTGAGCACCACTGCACTCCAATATGAGCAATAGAGCAAAACTCTGTCTCAAAAAATTAATTAAAAAAAATAAATGACTTGGATTGTTTGGTCCCCATTTATTAAAAAAGGACTCCTCTAGGAGGTCGTTTTGAAAAATGTATTATTTGAGATCATTACAATTGGTCAAACTCAACTAGTGTTGCAATAATCAAATGAACCTGCAAGAAAAAAATAAAAATAAAATGGCACCTGGTTATTACCCAGATATATCTGTTCTCTGTGCTTCATTTTAGTCATAGCTATTTAATTTCCTGAAACAAAAAACAAACAGATTTTTCACTAATGTCAGTACTGCAGAGCTAGCACAGGACAGAAGAGCCAGCTGTACTCGATTTCGTCTTATGCATCATCAACAAAATTGGCAGCTAAGTTCTGATTTCAGAGTCTTTATGGTTAATGATGATGTACAAGCTGTGCTTGATTTTCAGATACAAGACTGATCTTACTTTGCTGACAGAAAAATCTATTTTTGATATGTAAATTGAACAAATTTCATGCAAAATTATTGATGTAGGATAAACGCAGATCATGAAGATACCATTTTTAAGCTCATCTCTAACCCTAAAACCATTTAGGTTTATTATTATATCTTCATCATTCCTACAATTATTAGCGTTACAATGATGGCAACTAAGCATTTAACTAAAATTACATTTATGTTTTATGAATGAGTCATATATTGATAACTATTATACTCTTAAGAATGTGATTGCAATGAAAAGGAGCAACAGAACTAATTAGTAATTGATTATATTAGCAGCCCTGTTCTGGGTATAATGCTAATTCAGAGCCATGTTACAGGTGATCATGGGTAAAATCTAACATTATATAAAGAATGGTGGAACAAATAGGTGTGAAGGAGAGAAAAAATGCTTCCTTGATTATAAACTCTTTGACAATAGATATTACATCTCAGTCCCTGCTTAGGGAAGCTACTACACTTTTAAATTCATACAAGTTTATTTTATTGTACTTGCTAATGGTATACTATTGGATGTTTTTTAGAGGCAGCAATATTGGCCTTATGCAAAAGTATATAGCTATAAAATCTTGTCTTAGCTTTTTTTCATCTTGTCTCCATTTCGGAGTTCCCACCACAGATACTCAGTTCTTTTGTGCTGCCTGTTTCTTGAAGGTATTACCCGCTACCCACCTCCTGCTCAAGTTTGCCTCTCCCTTATTCCATACCTGTTACTCCTTAACCTTATCAAAACTTCCCTGTTCTTTATCCCATTCTTTTAAGATTTTGCAAGGGCACACAAGTTAAGAGCCTAGAAGTATTTACTTTTTAAAATATGTTTTCCTTTTAGGAATATAGATTTGCATTTTTAAGAAGAACTCTTGAAGACCTATTGTTAGCAGTCAAAATGTCACATCTTTCTGTCTGTCAAGAATGGCAAAAATCCATATTTTACAATAACTGGCTTTTACTTATTGATTCTACCCAGCTTAAAATGTGTTTCTGAAGCATAATGAGATAGAGATTAAGATCAAGGGCTTTGTAGTCAGACAGACCTAGTTTTGAAGCTAAACTCTATCCCTTACTGGCTGTCAGTGATGATTTACTTACCTCTAAGATAGGACAGTGGTACCCACTTCGTTGGGTTGTTGTGAGAAATAAATTCATTAATGTTAAGTAATATGAAGGGTCCAATAATTACGAACTGCTATTATTATTTATGTAATTGAAATTATGTAATTCAAACATTTGTAAAATTGAAACATTGCTTTTTATTGGTCTCAAATATAGGTCACATATATTTGTACTTGCACCCTATACAAAGGAAATGTAAACCTAAGTAAACCAAGGATATGTAAAGCATCAAGCCTTATTCAGCTTTGTTTTCCCAACAGTGTATAGCACAGACATATAATCATTGCTAAATCAATGTAGAGTTTTATTCAATCACCATGAAATGTGTTTAATAGAATATATATGTCCCATAAAGTAGAAATAGCTCCAACAAAGAAAAAAGATTTGCACACTAATGTACTTCAGTTGTATTAAACCATTCTTGTGTTTTTCTTCAGTTAAAATCAAATGAAGTATTCTCTTGAAAGATGGGACCATTTCTTTTGTCATCACTGTAACAGAAATCTCACAAGTTATAAGCAATAAACCAGTATCCTAGGGCCTAATTTACTATCAAGAAGAATATTAGATACCTTCAGATGACTAGAAAAGTGTGCCAAATTGTACCCCAGGGGTCTAAAAGACTTCATGTCTTCCTATAAATTACAACCTTGCTTATTATCGGGAAATAATTTAAACATTTGAAGAAGCTGTTTTAATAATATCAACAAAACAGTATCATTAAACAGCAGTTTTTATAATATCAACAGCTTACTATTAAGCTGTTTTAATAATATCAACAAAATATCAAATTGGACCAGAAGTGTGGACCAATTTGGTAGGGGATAATTAATGATGTCGGAGTTAAAAATCTTTCAGAAATGGGCGTGAATACCTGTTATTTAAGAATCATTAAAAATGGGCATCCAAGAAGCCATCTTCAAGTGCAAAGTTTACTTAGCATTTGAGGTAAATTCAATCCAGGGATCTTTTAAAACTGTTAATACAGGTTGAGTTCAAGCCTCTGTCATAATGACTGACTAGTGACTCTAAGTTTGTCTGGTGCAAAACACCAGTCTCTCAAAGAGACAGTTTGATGTCTCACAAAATCTAAAAGTCTGCTTGATTGAAAGCTGTATAATCATTTTTAGATATTAGAGAAAGCCAAATTAACCTCCTTAGCGACTGCATTTTAGGATATAGACATGGACTGAGTAAGAAAATCTTTCCTGTTTCCATATTTACCAGTGCTTGTGTCTTCCTTCTTTAGAAACTCCAAGTGTTTGTACCTTGCCCTTTCCCTCTTAGTTGTAGTCAACTGATTGGAGTCAACAATACGAGCATCCTGGGAAAGAAATGGTCCCAAGCCTCTAGATGAGAGCCGCATCTTGTGTTACACTGGGGCCTCTCAAAAGCAGATATTCTCACCAAAATTTCTGCTCCTGGTCAAGAAGTCACAGCAGTTCCATGTCAAGATCTTTTTTTTTTATCCCTGGCTACGACATCTGGGAGCAGCAGATGTTTGGTAGCTTCACAACTTCTTTCTTAAATGGGCAATCCTCCTTCTCCAGGAGAGTATCAAATACTCCCATTTTAACCATGTTTCTGCTTTTTACCTCACTGATCATCACAAGCCCAAACTCCATTACCAGCTCTGTTTATTACAGAGTCAAATCAGCCAAATTGAATCCACTGCCCATTTTTGTAAATAAAGTTTTACTGGAACACAACTATATCCACTTCTTTACATATCGTCTACAGCTGCTTTCACTCTAAAAACGCAGAGGGTTGGCTTTAGCTCAAGCAGTTAGACTCTCCTCATGCTAGACTCTCCATCTGTCCAATCTCCCCGCTGGGGTCCAAGACCTACAGATGCTTACTGACTCTTTAAAAACTTAATAAATAAATAAAAATTTGTAAAGTAAAAGGCAGAGTTGAGTACTTGAAACGGAGGCCATATGACCCACAAAGCTTAAAATATTTACTATCTTTCCCTTTATTTAAACAATTTGCTGACCCCTAGCCTAGATATTCGTTCTTGCACTACTATGTATATCTACTCATCTGACCTACTCTTTCACTTCTGCCATCCCAACCCCTTCCTCTCAGCCATCTACAGCTGCCAATCCATCATCAACAAGTGTGACTGCATCCTCAACATCATCTTGAATGTTCCCTTTCCTTTCTTGCTCTAGGTAAAACCTGGCTGTGCCCTGTTGAAATCAATTCTGTTGCAGTCATATGCGGTGGAATCTGTTCTTCTTTTGCATCCTACGTAACCAGACCAAGCTGTGGGGTGAGTGCTTTTCTTGTTCTCCAGTGCCATTTTCAGACCTGTTGTCTTCCTGCATCCTTCCAAACCCCAGGCTCTGTTAAAGTTGTGCCATCAGAGTTTTTTGGGTTTCTGTAAAGATGAGATCTCACTATGTTGTCCAGGCTGGTCTTGAACTCCTGGCCTCAAGCAGTCCTCCTGCCTTGGACTCCCAAAGTGCTGAGATTACAGACATGAGCCATCACACCTGGCCCTGTGCCATCAGACTTTGGCACCTATTCCCCTTCCTTGTTGCTGTCATCTAGAGAATTCAGTTAACTTTATTCTTTGATAAATTTAGCACCTGGCTCATTGGGGCTTTTTTCATTATTATTCTGATGTTATTCTCACTCACTTCCTTCTTTCTGACTTCAATGCCCACTCAAATATTACATCTAATACCTTAGACTCCAGTTTCCAGATCCTCCCACCTTACAATAGAATGATATAATTCTTCACCGACCATCAGCTATCCACTCCTGTCTAAGGTCATACTTCTGACCTTGTAATCATCAATAAGTCCATCATCTCCAGTATCTCTAGTACCAGCATCCCATTCTTTGACTATTGTCTTCTATCCTAAAAGCTCACTAAACCAAGAATATCTATACAAACAATATCTTGCCTTTATTAAGACTCTCTAATCTGGTGAGTTTATGACTGAATCACTATCAATCTGTCCTCTTCAGGTACTCCCTTCCTTATTCACTCACCTTAGACTCTGTAATACATTATTAAGCCACTGTTTGATAACACCCTTCACTCCCTTGCCTCTGCCACCCTCCTTCACCTTAGCCGAGCTGCAACCCTCTTATACCCAATGGTCCCCATGCAACAACACAACTGAACACTGGTGAAGACAAAAACGTATGCTTGCTAGCATCACTTTAAATTCTGGCTATAAATCTCAAGTGGGTAGTCAAGAGCAGTATTATTAAACCTGTAGGACTTTTGCATTCCCACTTTCCAAAATGATAATTTCACCTCATGTCTTAACTCCTTAAATCTCCTGACCCATTTTACTGTTCATAGTCTCAGCTTATAACATTGCTTCATAAATCATTGAGAAAATAGAAGTAGTTTGACAAGAATTCCCTCACCTTTCCAATCAAATATTATCTATCCTCCTCACTCTATACCTATTTTCTGCCTGCTCAATTTATTGTAGAGCAACTGTCTCTGCTGCTGTCACTGGTACACTCTCTGGTTTTACTCTGGAATTCATGCCCCCCTCACCTTATTAAAGGTTTTGTTTCTCAATTCTCTGCTCATTCTTCCCTGAATCATCACTTCTTTCCTCAATCACTCCCATTGTCATATACCAGTTCTAATAATTCCTTTCTTACACACACACAAACACACTGACAACTAAAACAATAATAATAGCAAAAAGAGCAGCAAAAAGACCTTCACTTCACCTTCCATCCTTTTCCAGCGGTCTCCTGTGTCTCAGCTTAAATGTTTTCCCAGGGGGTCTTCCTCGTCCACCCATTTAAAAGTAGCAGCTCAGTTATTTTTTATCATATTATTCAATTTGAAGTCTCTTCATTGCATTTATCACTCTCTTATGTGTGTATATGTTAATGTTTGTTTACTGTTTTTCTCCACCTCCCCCCATATTACATAAGCTCTGGGAGTGCAAGTGTCTTCTGTCTTTTCATGTCTGTAATCTCAGCACACATGATAGGCGAAGAAAGTCCTCAATAATAATCTTTGAGTGAGTGAACGAATGAATGAATGAATGACTCTGTGTGTGTGTGTGTGTGTGTGTGTGTGTGTGTGTGTGTGTGTGTGTCTACAACTAGACCATAGGATTCACCAGGGCAAGGACTTTGTGTCTTATAAGTCTTTGTAGTTGGTGTTTAATAAACACTTGTTGCATGAGTGAGTGAATCATTGCTCTAAATGAGCAATAATCTAAAGATAAAAGTTATTAACATGATGTTCCGCTTTTAAAATTTGCATTGGCATTTTTACTTTAACAAAATCAAAATGATTTCTTTTAGGATTATACTAATTCCTTTTAAACTAGTGCTAATTTGTGTGACTTATCCATATGCATCTAAATTAATTTTTCTAACTTTAACTAGAGCTTATAAATAAATAAGTATACATATATGTATGTAGATGGATGGCTATATATACACCTACCCACACATATATAAAACATATGTTAGTCCTGTTCTAAGGATCTGCCAAACTTTCTTGGTAAGACTTGCCAATTGCAATCATGTGACAGGATGACAGTTCTCTTCTCTGGGAGAAGTCCAGACTTCCAGTGTCTGGGACAGAAATAATGTAGACCAAGAAACATATATAGCTGATGATGGATGATTTTTGGCTCTCATAATGTGAGGTTTGGTCTTCTTATTGGGAGACTATGAAAATCATTAGATCAGAAATTATTTTTATTTCTACTCAGTTGAAAGAAGTTTTCCTTCTAGTATTTCTGTATGCAGGCATACTGCAAAGACAATTTGCTTGGTCAATATGGGTTTATACTAAACTCTACAACTCAAAGATAGGATGAGATCCTTTTGCCAGTGTAGCTGTCTTATTTTTATTGGCATAGTGACTGTGTGTCCAAATATACACCAATTATAGATGTTTTCCTGTTGTCAGTAATATGGTACTGTTTAAGAGTGAAGACGTTTTCACTCTCAGGCAAAACTGATTCTGAGGACATGACAGGGATACTTCAGTGATTGCATTTATGCGCACAGAGGAGGTTAACAGTTAGGAATGCTTTCAGTGGTAAGCAACAAAATAATTAGCAGTGCTTCAACAAATTGGGGCTCAGTGGCTCAATGACATAAAGAGTGCCATCTTTGCAATTCCAATGACCTTCCTGTCAAAGTCGAATGATGGCTGCAGTGCAAAAGTGTCCTAGCACACCTGTCCTAGCAAGTGTGCTTTTGCTAGGTCAGGTGTGCTAGAAGCAGGAGGTGGTGTGGACAGGTGAGTTTCTCTTTTTGCTTATATTCTCTTATCAAGGAGATAAAAACACTTATCCTCCAACAAACTCCTCCAACAAACTTCCCTTTACATCTTATTGCCTCTTAATTTGTCCCATGACAGTTCCTAGACCAGCTGCCGAAGCTACCTTTCCTGAGAACTAAAATCCTTGCCTGATTTCTGAACAAATGGGGCCTCCACTTGAAAGAGTGGATAGAGGAATGGTTTTTGTGATGGCAAGGAATAGAGCCTGCCACAGCGGGCTAACAACCACACTCATGAAGTTTCATGGAGGAGATCTTGCTTATGTTGAATTCAACAGAAGCCGACAGGTAATACAGTTGAGAAAGGTTGAAAAGGCAGAGAGAGAGAGCTGCTTCTGCAAGTGTATTGAACAATCAAAGGCAAATAATTCGTTACAGCTGGGCATTCTGTACATGTAGATTAGTGAGAGATGACTGCAGAGGTCAGCAGACCTCGTGCCATAAAGACAACATGGAAGCAGGGAGTCAAGTTCTCATACCTTTGGGCATTCATTCTGAAATTGCTAAAGAAGCAAATAAATGTCTGTCTGGGCTTTCCCGCCATACATGACTGAGAATATCCAGACATTTCTCTATATTAAAGAAAAAGGAGAGAGCAGTCATTACTTAGAATGTCTTTTTGTGCTTGCGCGCACGTGCTCTCTCTCTCTCTCTCTCCCCCTAGCTAAACCTTGGCTGGGGAGTTTTCTGCATTTTGCTAAGCTAGATTGTACTCAATGGGTTATAGAGCCCCAGAAGATTTTTCAGCTACACTTCGCCCACTAAAACCTTTGGAGAAAAGAGGCTGAATGCTTGCAGTGAAACTAGTCCTGCTACCCTAATCATTGTTGATCAGGCCAAGAAACCAGTACCTGAACCCAAATTTGTCCCAGTAAGAACTCACCATATTGGGTAAAGACAAACCAACAAAATTAGATCTCCTCACCTTGAGAAGGGAAACTGAATGAGAGATGTATGCTAGAAATGTCAGTAGCAGAAGCAACGTGCAGAGGAGGAAGGAGAGAGGGCAGAGGAGGAAGGAGAGAGGGCAGAGGGAAAGAGCTAGAGAGAAAAAGAAAAAGAGGAAAGTGAACAACAGCTGGGCTCTGGAAATTAACATAATAAGTCTCTGGCTATTGGAAACTGAGGAGGAAAAAAGAACACAGAAAGTGTCAATCAACTCTCAGACAATTCTTTAGTGACATGGACCATATTATCATGATTATCTTCAGTTCATAGGAATCATTAAATCTATTCCCAAAATGCAATCTAATATTCTCCCAAGGAATATAATATATTCAAATAAAATTATTGACAAAGGTTACAATCGTAAATTATTTATCAGGTTGAATTACTCCCCACCTTCCAGGGAAGTCTCAGGTTGAGGTCTTTGGAAATAGTCATGCCACTGTTTCCTCTTTGAGTTTATGGTTAATGGCACAGAGAGAAGTCTTTTCTTCCCTGGGTAGTTCTGAGTAAGAAAACAATAGTCAAACTTGAATGTAATCACTGAGGCAACAAGAGAAAGAAAAGTAATGTTTAGTTAACAGAACTGCAGACCGGAAGAGACAGGATTCATGGATCTGCCAAGGTGAGGAATACAGCCTGAAATGCAAATAGAAGCAGATTGGAGAACAGGAAAGAAACTTCTGGAGAAAGCAGGCAAAGGGACCTGTTCCAATGGAAGCACACTTTATGTCTCCCAGAATAGTAGTTCCCCATCCTGGCTTCCTGTCAGAATTACCTGCAGTTCGTTTCAAAAAAAACACATTTCCAGAACTTGCTCAATTCCTGCTGAATCAAAATATGACTTTTTATGCAGCTGGCCTGTCACCTACACATGATGAACTTTTTCCTGTCCAGAGGAAAATATCCATGATGATGGCAAAAGTCCTTTCTTGAGAGCTGTCTTTTATTCTCGGACTAAGGTCATCTTAATTTTTTATTATAATATTCTTCCTTTTATGAAATTGTTATGACAAAACATGATGAGGTTTTTTTTAATGTTCTTACTTAGCAAAATAAAAATTAGCAAAACTATTGCTAGGTCTATGACCTTGGATGGTTCACCAAAATCACCATCACTAGTTCCTGATTTTAAAATCAGAGTAGTAAAACCTGGCTGGGCACGGTGGCTCACACCTGTAATCCAAGCACTTTGGGAAGCCAAGGCAGGTGGATCGCCTAAGGTCAGGAGTTGGGAGACTAGCCTGGCCTAACACGGTGAAACCCTGTCTCTACTAAAAATATAAAAAGTAGCCTGGCGTGGTGGCGAGCACCTGTAATCCCAGCTACTCCGGAGGCTGAGGCAGGAGAATCACTTGAACCCGGGAGGCAGAGGTTGCAGTGAGCCGAGATCGTGCCATTGCACTCCAGCCTGGGTAACAAGAGCGAAACTCCGTCTCAAAAAAAAAAAAAAAAAAAAAAAAAAAAAAGAGTAGTAAAACTTAACAGCATTGTTTTGTGTAGATTATAGGAAATAACATGTATAATACAACTGGTACATAAGAAACACCCAATATGTTCTCTATGTTATCAGGTAAAATACTTTGGTTTGACTCTTGTTACTCAAATGATAGGATGATTTACTGTTTCAGGTAAGTGAAACGTCTTGACATTGTGATTGGCGTCCAGTCTCCTTCAAACAGGACTCTGCTTTTCTATGATTCTTTCTGTTGTCCCTTCCACTATGTTTTGTATTTGCCTCTGGTCTAGCTTCTCAAGGTAGCCTCCAGGATGCACAGAGTGAGAGAGGATGCTTTTCCCTAAACCAGGAACAAAATTCCAGCCCTAAGGAGATTGGACCACTCCCGACCAATGAGTTTGGCCAGGGAGGTCATGCACTGATTGGCTCAGCCCTGGATCAGTCTACTTCTCAACCAATCAAGGTGCTAAGGAAACAGGATTACCCTAAACGATTTAACACACCGGGACTCATTCCTGAAGCTGGAGATGCTGTAACACAATCAAAACTGTAAGGCTTAAAAGAATTAAAGTAGGAATTGCCGCAATTCCCTTCCTAGACTTATTCCCAAATATACTTACTATGGACTACCTGCATACAGCAGCCCCTTCACATATTTTTACTGCCTGTCATAAAGTAGTCTGGGTTACATTTAAAGAAGCTGCCAGCACTTAATGCATAGAAGTACTAAAAATTTGTTACTGATGTTTGAAAAATATAGAAAATTAGAAGCGGAATGGCTGAGTGTAGTGGCTTACACCTGCAGTCCCTACATGTTAGGAGGCCAAGGCAGGAAGACTGCTTGAGGCCAGGAGTTTGAGACTTGGGCAGCATAGCAAGGCTTTGTCTCTACGAAAAATTGAATAAATGGATAAATAATAAAAGAAAAGGAAAGAATAAAGAAAATTAGAAGGGGAAGAAGCCTCTTATCCCACCAGAGAGTGTAAATGATTATTAAAATTTAATGTAGCTCTCCCTCTCCCTCTCCCTCTCCCTCTCCCTCTCCCGCTCCGTCTCCCTCTCCGTCTCCCTCTCCCTCCACGGTCTCCCTCTGATGCTGAGCCAAAGCTGGACGGTACTGCTGCCATCTCGGCTCACTGCAACCTCCCTGCCTGATTCTCCTGCCTCAGCCTGCCGAGTGCCTGCGATTGCAGGCACGCGCCGCCACGCCTGACTGGTTTTCGTTTTTTTTTGGTGGAGACGGGGTTTCGCTGTGTTGGCCGGGCTGGTCTCCAGCTCCTAACCGCGAGTGATCCGCCAGCCTCGGCCTCCCGAGGTGCCGGGATTGCAGATGGAGTCTCGTTCACTCAGTGCTCAATGGTGCCCAGGCTGGAGTGCAGTGGTGTGATCTCAGCTCAGTACAACCTACACCTCCCAGCCGCCTGCCTTGGCCTCCCAAAGAGCCGAGATTGCAGCCTCTGCCCGGCCGCCACCCCGTCTGGAAAGTGAGGAGCGTCTCTGCCTGGCCGCCCATCGTCTGGGATATGAGGAGCCCCTCTGCCTGGCTGCCCAGTCTGGAAAGTGAGGAGCGTCTCTGCCCGGCCGCCATCCCATCTAGGAAGCGAGGAGCGCCTCTTCCCCGCCACCATCCCATCTAGGAAGTGAGGAGCGTCTCTGCCCGGCCGCCCATCGTCTGAGATGTGGGGAGCACCTCTGCCCCACTGCCCTGTCTGGGATGTGAGGAGCGCCTCTGCTGGGCCGCAACCCTGTCTGGGAGGTGAGGAGCGTCTCTGCCCGGCTGCTCCGTCTGAGAAGTGAGGAAACCCTCTGCCTGGCAACCGCCCCGTCTGAGAAGTGAGGAGCCCCTCCGTCCGGCAACCACCCCGGCTGGGAAGTGAGGAGCGTCTCCGCCCGGCAGCCACCCCGTCCGGGAGGGAGGTGGGGGGGGTCAGCCCCCCGCCCGGCCAGCCGCCCCGTCCGGCAGGTGAGGGGCTCCTCTGCCCGGCCGCCCCTACTGGGAAGTGAGGAGCCCCTCTGCCCGGCCAGCCGCCCTGTCCGGGAGGGAGGTGGGGGGGGTCAGCCCCCCGCCAGGCCAGCCGCCCCGTCCGGGAGGGAGGTGGGGGGGTCAGCCCCCCGCCCGGCCAGCCGCCCAGTCCGGGAGGGAGGTGGGGGGTCAGCCCCCCGCCCGGCCAGCCGCCCCGTCCGGGAGGGAGGTGGGGGGGGTCAGCCCCCCGCCCGGCCGGCCGCCCCGTCCGGGAGGTGAGGGGCGCCTCTGCCCGGCCGCCCCTACTGGGAAGTGAGGACCCCTCTGCCCGGCCAGCCGCCCCATCCGGGAGGGAGGTGGGGGGGTCAGCCCCCCGCCCGGCCAGCCGCCCAGTCCGGGAGGGAGGTGGGGGGTCAGCCCCCCGCCCGGCCAGCCGCCCCGTCCGGGAGGGAGGTGGGAGGATCAGCCCCCCGCCTGGCCAGCCGCCCCGTCCGGGAGGTGAGGGGCGCCTCTGCCCGGCCGCCCCTACTGGGAAGTGAGGAGCCCCTCTGCCCGGCCAGCCGCCCCGCCCGGGAGGGAGGTGGGGGGGTCAGCCCCCCGCCTGGCCAGCCGCCCCATCCGGGAGGGAGGTGGGGGGATCAGCCCCCCGCCCGGCCAGCCGCCCCGTCCGGGAGGGGGGAGGGGGGGTCAGCCCCCTGCCCGGCCAGCCGCCCCGTCCGGGAGGGAGGTGGGGGGGTCAGCCCCCCGCCTGGCCAGCCGCCCCGTCCGGGAGGGAGGTGGGGGGGTCAGCCCCCCTTCCGGCCGGCCGCCCCGTCCGGGAGGTGAGGGGCTCCTCTGCCCGGCCGCCCCTACTGGGAAGTGAGGACCCCTCTGCCCGGCCAGCCGCCCTGTCCGGGAGGGAGGTGGGGGGGACAGCCCCCCGCCCGGCCAGCCGCCCTATGCAGGAGGTGAGGGGCGCCTCTGCCCGGCCGCCCCTACTGGGAAGTGAGGAGCCGCTCTGCCTGGCCAGCCGCCCCGTCCGGGAGGGTGGTGGGGGGTCAGCCCCCGCCCGGCCAGCCGCCCCATCCGGGAGGTGAGGGGCGCTTCTGCCCGGCCGCCCCTACTGGGAAGTGAGGAGCCCCTCTGCCCGGCCACGACCCCGTCTGGGAGGTGTGCCCAGCGGCTCATTGGGGATGGGCCATGATGACAATGGCGGTTTTGTGGAATAGAAAGGCGGGAAGGGTGGGGAAAAAATTGAGAAATCGGATGGTTGCCGGGTCTGTGTGGATAGAAGTAGACATGGGAGACTTTTCATTTTGTTCTGTACTAAGAAAAATTCTTCTGCCTTGGGATCCTGTTGATCTGTGACCTTATCCCCAACCCTGTGCTCTCTGAAACATGTGCTGCGTCCACTCAGGGTTAAATGGATTAAGGGCGGTGCAAGATGTGCTTTGTTAAACAGATGCTTGAAGGCAGCATGCTCGTTAAGAGTCATCACCACTCCCTAATCTTAAGTACCCAGGGACACAAACACTGCGGAAGGCCCCAGGGTCCTCTGCCTAGGAAAACCAGAGACCTTTGTTCACTTGTTTATCTGCTGACCTTCCCTCCACTATTGTCCTATGACCCTGCCAAATCCCCCTCTGCGAGAAACACCCAAGAATGATCAATAAAAAAATAAAATAAAATAAAATAAAATAAAATAAAAAAGAAATCCAATTGCTGGAAAAAAAAAAATTTAATGTATTCTTGTCTTCTTTGCATTGTGTGCATGTATATTGTGTTACATATAAAATTGCATATGTTTATATTTTATTTAATTAATTTATTTATTAAGTTCTAGGGTACATGTGCACAACGTGCAGGTTTGTTACATATGTATACATGAGCCATGTTAGTGTGCTGCACCCATTAACTCGTCATTTACATTAGGTGTTTCTCCTAATGCTATCCCTCCTCCCTCCCCCAACCCCATGACAGGCCCCGGAGTGTGATGTTCCCCACCCTGTGTCCAAGTGTTCTCATTGTTCAATTTCCACCAATGAGTGAGAACATGTGGTGTTTGGTTTTCTGTCCTTGTGATAGTTTGCTCAGAATGATGGTTTCCAGCTTCATCCATGTCCCTACAAAGGACATGAACTCATCCTTTTTTTTATGGCTGCATAGTATTCTATGGTGTATATGTGCCACATTTTCTTAATCCAGTCTATCATTGATGGACATTAGGGTTGGTTCCAAGTCTTTGCTATTGTGAATAGTGCCACAGTAAACATACGTGTGCATGTGTCTTTACAGCAGCATGATTTATAATCCTTTGGGTGTATACCCAATAATGGGATAGCTGGGTCAAATGGTATTTCTAGTTCTAGATCCTTGAGGAATCACCACACTGTCTTCCACAATGGTTGAACTAGTTTACAGTCCCACCAACAGTGTAAAAGTGTTGCTATTTCTCCACATCCTCTCCAGCACCTGTTGTTTCCTGACTTCTTAATGATCGCCATTCTAACTGGTGTGAGATGGTATCTCATTGTGGTTTTGATTTGCATTTCTCTGATGGCCAGTGATGATGAGCATTTTTTCATGTGTCTTTTGGCTGCATAAATGTCTTCTTTTGAGAAGTGTCTGTTCATATCCTTCACCCACTTTTTGATGGGGTTGATTTTTTCTTGTAAATTTGTTTAAGTTCTTTATAGATTCTGGATATTAGCCCTTTGTCAGATAGGTAAATTGTAAAAATTTTCTCCCATTCTGTAGGTTGCCTGTTCACTCTGATGGTAGTTTCTTTTGCTGTGCAGAAGCTCTTCTGTTTAATTAGATCCCATTTGTCAATTTTGGCTTCTGTTGCCATTGCTTTTGGTGTTTTAGTCATGAAGTCCTTGCCCATGCCTATGTCCTCAATGATATTTCCTAGGTTTTCTTCTAGGGTTTTTATGGTTTTAGGTCTAACATTTAAGTCTTTAATCCATCTTGAATTAATTTTTGTATAAGATGTAAGGAAGGGATCCAGTTTCAGCTTTCTACATATGGCTAGCCAGTTTTCCCAGCACCATTTATTAAATAGGGAATCCTTTCCCCATTGCTTGTTTTTGTCAGGTTTGTCAAAGATCAGATGGTTGTAGATGTGTGGTATTATTTCTGAGGGCTCTGTTCTGTTCCATTGGTCTATCTCTCTGTTTTGGTACCAGTACCATGCTGTTTTGGTTACTGTAGCCTTGTAGTATAGTTTGAGGTCAGGTGGCGTGATGCCTCCAGCTTTGTTCTTTTGGCTTAGGATTGTCTTGGCAATGCGGGCTCTTTTTTGGTTCTGTATGAACTTTAAAGTAGTTTTTTCCAGTTCTGTGAAGAAAGTCATTGGTAGCTTGACGGGGATAACATTGAATCTACAAATTAACCTTGGGCAGTATGGCCATTTTCACGATATTGGTTCTTCCTATCCATGAGCATGGAATCTTCTTCCATTTTTTTGTGTCTTCTTTTATTTCCTTGAGCAGTGGTTTGTAGTTCTCCTTGAAGAGGTCCTTCACATCCTTTGTAAGTTGGATTCCTAGGTATTTTATTCTCTTTGAAGCAATTGTGAATGGGAGTTCACTCCTGATTTGGCTCTCTCTTTGTCTGTTCTTGGTGTGTAGGAATGCTTGTGTTTTTTGCACATTGATTTTGTATCCTGAGACTTTGCTGAAGTTGCTTATCAGCTTAAGGAGATTTTGGGCTGAGATGCTGGGGTTTTCTAAATATAAAATAACGTCGTCTGGAAACAGGGACAATTTGACTTCCTCTTTTCCTAATTGAATACCCTTTATTTGTTTCTCCTGCCTGATTGCCCTGGCCAGAACTTCCAACACTATGTTGAATAGGAGTGGTGAGAGGTCATCTCTGTCTTGTGCCAGTTTTCAAAGAGAATGCTTCCAATTTTTGCCCATTCAGTATGATATTGGCTGTGGGTTTGTCACAAATAGCTCTTATTATTTTGAGGTACGTCCCATCAATACCTAGTTTATTGAGAGTTTTTAGCAAAAAGGGCTGTTGAATTTTGTTGAAGGCCTTTTTGGCATCTTTTGAGATAATCATGTGGCATTTGTCTTTGGTTCTGTTTATGTGTTGGATTACGTTTATTGATTTGCGTATGTTGAACCAGCCTTGCATCCCAGGGATGAAGCCAAGTTGATCATGGTGGATAAGCTTTTTGATGTGGATGTGCTGCTGGATTCGGTTTGCCAGTATTTTATTGAGGATTTTTGCATCAATGTTCATCAGGGATATTGGTCTAAAATTCTCCTTTTTTGTTGTGTCTCTGCCATGCTTTGGTATCAGGATGATGCTGGCCTCATAAAATGAGTTAGGAAGGATTCCCTCTTTTTCTGTTGATTGGAATAGTTTCAGAAGGAATGGTACCAGCTCCTCCTTGTACCTCTGGTAGAATTCGGCTGTGAATCTGTCTGATCCTGGACTTTTATTGCCTCAGTTTCAGAGCCTGTTATTGGTCTATTCAGAGATTCAACTTCTTCCTGGTTTAGTGTTGGGAAGATGTATGTGTCCAGGAATTTATCCATTTCTTCTAGATTTTCTGGTTTATTTACATAGAAATGTTTATAGTATTCTCTGATGGTAGTTTGTATTTCTGTGGGATCGGTGGTGATATCCCCTTTATCATTTTTTATTGCATCTATATGATTCTTCTCTCTTTTCTTCTTTTTTAGTCTTGCTAGCGGTCTATCAATTTTGTGGATTTTTTCAAAAAACCAGGTCCTGGATTCATTGATTTTTTGAAGGGTTTTTTTTGTGTCTCTATTTCCTTCAGTTCTGCTCTGATCTTAGTTATTTCTTGCCTTCTGCTAGTTTTTGAATGTGTTTGCTCTTGCTTCTCTAGTTCTTTTAATTGTGTTGTTAGGGTGTCAATTTTAGATCTTTCCTGCTTTCTCTTGTGGGCACTTAGTGCTATAAATTTCCCTCTACATACTGCTTTAAATGTGTCCCAGAGATTCCAGTATGTTGTGTCTTTGTTCTCATTGGTTTCAAAGAACATCTTTATTTCTGCCTTCATTTCATTATGTACCCAGTAGTCATTCAGGAGCAGGTTGTTCAGTTTCCATGTAATTGAGCGGTTTTGAGTGAGTTTCTTAATTCTGAATTCTAGTTTGATTGCACTGTGGTCTGAGAGACAAGTTTGTTTACAATTTCTGTTCTTTTACATTTGGTGAGGTGTGCTTTACTTCCAACTATGTGGTCAATTTTGGAATAAGTGTGATGTGGTGCTGAGAAGAATGTATATTCTGTTGATTTGGGGTGGAGAGTTCTGTAGATGTCTATTAGGTCCACATGGTGCAGAGCTGAGTTCAATTCCTGGATATCCTTGTTAACTTTCTGTCTCGTTGATATGTCTAATGTTGACAGTGGGGTGTTAACGTCTCCCATTATTACTGTGTAGGAGTCTAAGTCTCTTTGTATGTCTCTAAGGACTTGCTTTATGAATCTGGATGCTTCTGTATTGGGTGTATATATATTTAGGATAGTTAGCTCTTCTTGTTGAATTGATCCCTTTACCATTATGTAATGACCTTCTTTGTCTCTTCTGATCTTTGTTGGTTTAAAGTTTGTTTTAGCAGAGACTAGGATTGCAACCCCTACTTTTTTTTGTTTTCCATTTGCTTGTTAGATCTTCCTCCATCCCTTTATTTTGAGCCTATCTGTGTTTCTGCACGTGAGATGGGTCTCCCGAATACAGCACACTGATGGGTCTTGACTCTTTATCCAATTTGCTAGTCTGTATCTTTTAATTGGAGCATTTAGCCAATTTACATTTAAGGTTAATATTGTTATGTGTGAGTTTGATTCTGTCATTATGA
The DNA here is from genome assembly GCF_000001405.40 of Homo sapiens. NCBI lineage: Eukaryota > Metazoa > Chordata > Mammalia > Primates > Hominidae > Homo > Homo sapiens. The sequence continues at coordinate 156,374,299 of NC_000002.12, forward strand.
TGTTAGCTGGTTATTTTGCTCATTAGTTGATGCAGCTTCTTCCTAGTATCGATGGTCTTTACAATTTGGCATGTTTTTGCAGTGGCTGGTACCAGTTGTTCCTTTCCATGTTTAGTGCTTCCTTCAGGAACTCTTGTAAGGTAGGCCTGGTGGTGACAAAATCTCTCAGCATTTGCTTGTCTGTAAAGTATTTTATTTCTCCTTCACTTATGAAGCCTAGTTTGGCTGGATATGAAATTCTGGGTTGAAAATTATTTTCTTTAAGTATGTTGAATATTGGCCCCCACTCTCTTCTGGCTTGTAGAGTTTCTGCCGAGAGATCCGCTGTTAGTCTGATGGGCTTCCCTTTTTGGGTAACCCACCTTTCTCTCTGGCTGCCCTTAACATTTTTTGTTGCATTTCAACTTTGATGAATCTGATAATTATGTGTCTTGGAGTTGCTCTTCTTGTGGAGTATCTTTGTGGTGTTCTCTGTATTTCCTGAATTTGAATGTTGGCCTGCCTTGCTAAGTTGGGGAAGTTCTCCTGGATAATATCCTGCAGAGTGTTTTCCAACTTGGGTCCATTCTCCCCGTCACTTTCAGGTACACCAATCAGACATAGATTTGGTCTTTTCACATGGTCCCATATTTCTTGGAGGCTTTGTTCATTTCTTTTTATTCTTTTTTCTCTAAACTTCTATTCTCGCTTCATTTCATTCATTTGATCTTCAATCACTGATACCATTTCTTCCACTTGATCGAATCAGCTACTGAAGCTTGTGCATGCGTCACATAGTTCTTGTGCCATGGTTTTCAGCTCCATCAGGTCATTTAAGGTCTTCTCTACACTGTTTATTATAGTTAGCCATTCGTCTAATCTTTTTTCAAGGTTTTTAGCTTCTTTGCGATGGGTTCGAACATCCTCCTTTAGCTTGGAGAAGTTTGTTGTTACCGATCGTCTGAAGCCTTCTTCTCTCAACTCATCAAAGTCATTCTCCATCCAGCTTTGTTCCATTGCTGGCAAGGAGCTGCATTCCTTTGGAGGAGAAGAGGCAGTCTGATTTTTAGAATTTTCAGCTTTTCTGCTCTGGTTTCTCCCCATCTTTGTGGTTTTATCTACCTTTGGTCTTTGATGATGGTGATGTACAGATGGGTTTTTGGTGTGGATGTCCTTTCTGTTTGTTAGTTTTCCTTCTAACAGTCAGGACCATCAGCTGCATCTCTGTTGGAGTTTGCTGGAGGTCCACTCCAGACCCTGTTTGCCTGGGTTATCACAAGTGGAGGCTACAGAACAGCAAATATTGCAGAATGGCAAATGTTGCTGCCTGATCCTTCCTCTGGAAGCTTTGTCTCAGAGGGGCACCCAGCTGTATGAGGTGTCAGTTGGCCCCTACTGGGAGATGTCTCCCAGTTAGGCTACTCGGGGGTCAGGGATCCACTTGAGGAGGCAGTCTGTCCATTCTCAGATCTCAAACTCCATGCTGGGAGAACCACTACTCTCTTCAAAGCTGTCAGACAGGGACGTTTAAGTCTGCAGAAGTTTCTACTGTCTTTTGTTCAGCTATGCCCTGCCCGCAGAGGTGGAGTCTACAGAGGCAGGCAGGCCTCCTTGAGGTGCGGTGGACTCCACCCAGTTCGAGCTTCCTGGCGGCTTTGTTTACCTACTCAAGCCTCAGCAATGGCAGACGCCCCTACCCCAGCCTCACTGCTGCCTTGCAGTTCAATCTCAGACTGCTGTGCTAGCAGTGAGTGAGGTTCTGTGGACGTGGGACCCTCTGAGTTAGGCACAGGATATAATCTCTTGGTGTGCCATTTGCTAAGACCATTGGAAAAGTGCAGTATTAGGGTGGGGGTGTCCCAATTTGCGAGGTACTGTCTGTCACGGCTTCCCTTGGCTAGGAAAGGGAATTACCTGACCCCTTGTGCTTCTCGGGTGAGGCAATGCCCCGCCCTGCTTCAGCTCACACTCCATGGGCTGCACCCACTGTCCGACAAGCCCCAGTGAGATGAACCCGGTACCTCAGTTGGAAATGCAGAAATCACACATCTTCTGCATCGCTCATGCTGGGAGCTGTAGACTGGAGCTGCTCCTATTCGGCCATCTTGGAACCACTCCCTCCTATATTTTATTTTAAATCGTGTTTTAAACTAATAGATGTTTCTTTATTATAAGGGAAATATCCATTCAAGTTTTAAAAATAGGAAAATTTAGACATGTGAAACAAAAAAGAAAGGAAATGAGAAAGGGAAAGAGGGAGGGAGGAAGAAAAGAAGAAATGAGGGAGGGAAGGAAAATAGAAATCTTGTTGAGATATCTCTGTTTTTTAGTATGCATCAAATATTTGTTTTATGTAGTTGAGGTAAAGTTATTTATACTTGTGTTTTAAGCATAATTAACAAACTTTCATTTGTCTTAGATGACAGGTAGTATCTACCACTGGATGGTTTATTAGTCTTTCCCAATTAAAAAAATGACTCAGTTAATCAATATGAACTTTAAAGATGTGGGAACTTATAATTCAAGTTTCTTAGCAATAAAAAATGATCACTATATTGCTGTATATAGATCTATTTTCTAGAATGGAAGAAAGAGACTATAATAATTCTTTGAGCGTGGCTCACAAATTTGTAAATAGTTTAGCCTTTATTTTAGAATTTTATCAAAGTAGTACATGCATATGTTATGCCCTAAATGTTTGTGTCCTCTAAATTTATATGGTGAAATCCTACCCTACAAGGTGATAATATTAGGGAGTGGAGGCTTTGGAAGGGATTGGGTCATGAGAGTGGAGGTCTCATGGATGATATTAGTCTCCTTATAAAAGAGGCCCTTGGGAGCTCATTGCCCCTTCCACCTATGAGGATACAACTGGTGGTGCTGGTCTGTGAACCAGAAAACAGGCCCTCGCCAGACACTGAATCTGCTGTGGCCTTGATCTTGGACTTCTCAGCCTCCAAAACTATGAGAAATACATTTCTGTCATTTATAAGCCATCCAGTTTATGGTACTCTATTATAGCAGCCCGAATAAACTAAGAGACGATACAATTTTAAAAAACAAATCCAAACACAGAAGTCCTCCATTCTACCTCTCCTAGTAGTTCTTAGTTCATTTTCCCAGAGATAAACACTTTCCATTCTTTTAGCTATCTCTTCTAGACTCTACTGTCTTAGATGGGTGTGATGGCCCATACCTGTAGTCCCAACTACTCAGGAGGCTGAGGTGGAAGGATCACTTGTGCCTGGGAGGTGGAGGCTGCAGTGAGCTATGAATCATGCCACTGTACTTTAGCCTGGGCAAAAGAGTGAGACCCTCTCTCAAAAAAGAAAAAAGACTACTGTCATAGCTCTTGACCATTTTAATGCCATTTATAGAGGTACTGATTTGAGACTTTACTTTTCGCATCCTAAATCTAAAAGATAAAGATCTAGCATTCTTCTACCCCCAATTTTTGGTTAAATGAATACAAATTTGTTTATATTGCTACAACTTACCACATAAATATTATTTATAAATGAATATGTAATTTATTATGATTTACATTTCCTTTCTTCTATGACTTTGATTTCCTGAGCTAATTATTGTTTATTCTTGTGGTTATTATAGTTATGTTTGCTTTACTTTCTTTATATCTAATATTATTCACCCTCCAAAAATCTTTTTTCAAAATAATTTCAACTTTTATTTTAGATTCACAGGGTACATGTGCAAGTTTGCTATCTGGGTATATTGTGTGACATTAAGGTTTGGGGTGTGAATGATCCCATCACCCAGGTACTGAGCATAGTACCCAATAGTTTTTCAACTCTTGCCCCCTTGCCTCCCTCCCTGCTCCAATAGTCCCCCCTGTAGCCATTTTTATGTTCATGAGTATCCAGTGTTTAGCTCCCACTTACAGGTGACAACATGCAGTATTTGGTTTTTTGTTCCTGTGTTAATTCACCTACGATAATCACCTCCAGGGGCATTTATGTTGCTGCAAGGGACATGATTTCATTCTTGTTTATGGCTGTGTAGTATTCCATGGTATATATGTACCCACTTTTTTTTATTCAATCCACTGTCGATGAGCAGCTAAGTTGATTCCATGTCTTTGCTTTTGTGAATAGTGCTTCCATGACCATACAAGTGCATGTGTCTTTTTGGTAGAACAATTTATTTTCTTTTGGATATATACACAGTAAGGGGATTGCTAAGTCAAATGGTAGTTCTCAGTTCTTTGGGAAATCTCCAAACTGCTTTCCACAGTGGCTGAACTAATTCACATTCCCACCAACAGTGTATAAGCATTCCCTTTTATTCACAACCTCAACAGCATCTGCTGTTTCTTTGACATTTTAATAACAACCATTCTGACTGGTATGAGATGGTATCTTACTGTGGGTTTGATTTGCATTTCTCTAATGATTAGGCATGTTGAGCATTTTTTCAAATGTGTGTTGTCCATTTGTATTGTCTTCTTTTGATAAGTGCCTGTTCATATTCTTTGCCCATTTTTTAGTGGGATTATTTGTTTTTTGTTTGTTCAATTAAGTTGCCTATAGATTCTGGATATTAGACCTTTACTGGATGCATAGTTTCTGAATAGTTTCTTCCATTCTGTAGATTGTCTGTTTACTCTGTTGATAGTTTTTTCCTTTTTCTTGCTGTGCAGAAGCTCTTTAATTCAGTTAGGTCCCACTTGTCAATTTTTGTTTCATTGCAATTGCTTTTGAGGACTTAGTCATAAATTAGTTCCCAAAGCTGATGTTCAGAATTCCTACAAAAATCTTTACATTGATAGTTTAAAATCAACTACCCCACTGACAGGAGAAATGTATCAATAGAGTCAAATATATCAAGTTCCTATTTCTTTTTGGTTTGGTTGATTTTTTTTTTTTTTTTTTTTTTTTTTTTTTTAGTGATATCTCTTCAACCCCATCATTGCAGTATCAAAGACCAACTACTTTCTAGACCTTCTGCATAGCTATTGTCTTGGGAATTCCCCTTGCAACACTCTATGTTGACTATTTTCTAGACCTAAGACTTCTCCTTTTGTGGTGTACTCCTTCACTTTTGTAAAACAAATCATACATTGGAGGGCTTTCTTTTTTCTTGAGAAGTTCCTTGTCTGATCAATTTTTCAATTTTTACTTACACTCAGTTGATAGTGTGGGTGGGTAAATAATTCAAGGCTAAACATTATTTTCTCTTGGATCATTAAAAACATTTTTTCACTCTTCTGGCATCCTGAGTTTGGATATATTCTTCGAATATGATGTCTGCTTCCACTTACCTTTATCACAGGTGTTCTAAAATGTTATCATATGCTTTGATGTCGGTCTCTTTTTATCCATTGTACCAAGAACTCGTGAGAATGTGTTCTTTGGTAACAATATTTTCTTATATTATTTCTTTCATCATTTTTCCTATCCATTTTTTCTTCCTCTACTCTGGAAGTCTTATTGATCTGATTTTTAACCTCTTTTGTTAGCATAATTGATTATCTTATTTTTCCTCTCCTGTGGCTGGCCTTTTTGCCTATGCTAGTATTTTTTCTGGGTGATTTCCCCAACGTCATATTCCAAACATTCTATTAATTTTTAAAATTTCTGCTGACATATTTTTTAATTTCTAGAGACTTATTTTTTTCCCTTTTCCTCTCCACTTCTTTTTCTTCAATAGCATATTGTTCTTGATTTACAGATATCTCTCTTAGATTTCTGATTATATTAATTATAGGTTTTTTAAAACACAATTTTCTTTTAAACTAAATTTAACTTAAATTTAACTCCCCCTACCCTGCCATTTTTGTTTCTTCTGCATTCAATCTTATCTCTTTTTAAATCTTTTTTTTCTAGTTTCTATTTTGGAGGTTTCACTCACATTCCTGGGCTATTTGGCAGTCTGTTCACATTCAAGATAGAAGCTCTGGATGCTGATTAGAGGCTATGTGTGCATGAGCACACTCATGGAAAGGGGAGGCGGGGGAGGGAGTTTGAAGTGAGAGGGAGGTTTGCTGACTTGAGGCTTTACTACTGTAGGGTGAAAGGAAAGGCACCTGGTTGTGCAGTCTCAGTATTTGCTGGCCTTTTATTTCAGTCAGTCTTTTTGTACTAGTTTTCTATAACAAATTACCACAAAGTTAGTGGTTTAAACCAACACAACTGTATCTTACAGTTGCATAGTTCAAGTCCAACAATGGGTCTCACTGGGCTAAAATGAAAGTGTGGGCATGACTCTGTTTCCTTTGTAGAGAGTCTACAGGAGAATCTGTTTTCTTGCTTTTCTAGTGGTCAGAGGCTGACCACATTCTTTCACTCATGGCTCCCTCCAGTTTCAAAGCCAGCAATGGCTGTGGAGTCTTTCTCACATCTCATTCCTCTGACACTAACATTTCTGCCTCCTTCTTCCACATTTAAGAGTCTCTATGACTACATTGAGTCACTTAGATAATCCAGGATAATCTTCTTATTTTTACATCAGCTGATTAGCAAACTTAATTTCTTCTACAACCCTGACTGCCCCTTGCCATGTAACATAACGCATTCACAGGTTTGGGGGATTAGGATGTGGACATCTTTAAGGGGTTACCCTTCTGCCTAACACACAGTAAAATCTCCTGTCTGATGATGTCTTCTAGGAGCAGAGCAGGGTATAGAGCTGAGATGTTTCAATATTTTGTGGGAATTTCACACATTCCCTGTTTTCTGTGGGGGCTCACTTCCATTTCTCTGATGTGTGTTGTTTCCCCAAGTGTGGATTCTCTATGGTTTAATTTATCTAGAAAATGAATTTGGCTCTTTCCAGAGATAAAAAGAAATCCAGCCAGAAGCTTGAAATCTGCTTTAGAAGGTGATCTGATAGTTCCCAAGGGTTGGCATGAGGGGTACTCATGCTGTATGGGTAGTTGCTGGGCTGGGTGGTGTGGGATAAGAGGATGCTGGAGGCTAACAGCTCCCTTTTCAGACATTTAGACATTTGAATAATCCTTCCATTTTCAATTCCAGCCAACACTCCCGCCTTTTTAGATTCGTGGTGAGCCTGAACCTTCTAGGATTCATCCATCTGTTTTCCATCTTTCCACAAATTAGACCCCTCCTATAATTTATTCTCACATTATATTTCCCCTTAGTGGTTTTATACTTTATTCCTTTATTTTTATTTTACTGGTATTTCTGGATCAGAGATGAACTAATGTGATCATTAACCAGAAGTTGTTTATCATTTTTTAACAGTGATAAAACCAGAGAACAACAGACATTATTTTCGGTTGTCACTAAACCCGGAGAGAGTTTCCATGTAAATTGAGAGGTACAGATTTGCAAACACCAACATATATGTTTAGCTAATTGCAAAAGTAAACAAGTAAAGTAAAAAATAAGAAAGAAGAGGCTAGGCACAGTGGCTCATGCCTGTAATCCCAGCACTTTGGGAGGTCGAGGCAGGTGGATCACAAGGTCAGGAGATCAAGACCATCAACCATCCTGGCCAACGTGGTGAAACCCCATCTGTACTAAAAATACAAAAAATTAGCTGGGCGCAGTGGCACACGCCTGTAGTCCCAGTTACTCGGGAGGCTGAGGCAGGAGAATTGCTTGAACCCGGAAGGTGGAGGTTGCAGTGTGCTGAGATCGTGCCACTGCACTCCAGCCTGGTGACAGAGCAAGACTCCATCTCAAAAAAAAAAAAAAAAAAAAAAAAAAGAAGAAGAAGAAGAAAGAACAGATTAGGGAAGCATTGCAGATTAAGAATTTTTCAAAGCTGCAGAATTCATCTATCACGTTTTCAACTGGATTAACAAGGGGGTTCAGACTAAATGAGAAATGCTATGCAAGTTCTTTCATATCACTACTTCTGCATTTTTGAATTCTAATTTTTAATCACCTCTGAGTTATCCAGATTATAACTCCAGGATGTACTATTTTCTCAGACAATGCTTATCTAAGAGTGTTTTCTTTTTGCCCTTCTACCTGAAAGAAAGACTGTTTGTCCAACTATACATTTTTTAAAGTTTTTTCTCGAGGTCTTTAGATGTTTCTCCATTGTCTTGGGAAGGTATTGTGTAGAACTGTGAGGCCAGTTTGATTTTTGTTCCTAACAGCCTGTTTTGTATGTTTCTGAGGCTTTTTTTCTTTTATCTTGTAGGTCTTGAAATCATAAATGTAGACAATTTGAGCTCGATGCTATTAATAGTCTAAAAATAACAGCAAAATTGCTCTAACAGATATATGTATTGACACATTTCTGAGATTAGGGTAAAATAAGGAATAATGTTACAATCAAGAGCTCTTGGAATCAAATATAGTGCTGCTTAATAATCTGTCCTAATTAAAAGCTGTCTTAAGTTTTAAGTCAGATTTTCTGTGGATCCACAACTGGGATTATAAATTAAAAGTCTGTAATAAGCAGGATAACTTAATTGTCTGGAAATTTCTTACTTTAAAATCTATGTAAATCTATATAACTACTTTCACCTTCCTATTTCAGAATATCAAAGCCATAAAGGCTAGTGTTTACCCTCTTTGTAGGAGCTGACATATATGTACAGCTTTAGCTTTTATTACAGAGTGTACATTGTTATAGTCTGACTTGGTCATTTTGGAGGCAAAAAAAAAAACTTTCGTAGATTTAATTACCATTTTAATTTTTCACTTTACTTTTTCACTTTAGAGAAAGTCTCTATTCAAATTACAAGCATCGTTTTGTGTATTTCTAACCCTGTTGTCTCAGGGTGTCATTGTTGTAGGGCCAGATATTATTCATTTCTATATTTGAAAAGCCAAGCCCAACAATAAACTTGCAAGGAGCTGAGTGGGGGCAAAATGTGGGTGGTGTGTATTTATAACAAACCTGTATTTAAGAAAGGAGTAACAACAACCCAACCCCCATCACTCTACGCTCCTCTGGGCCTCCTGTATCAGGCAGTTTAACCTCTGGCTCTAATTATGAACTTCCCAGCTGGAGGCAATGGGTTGGAATTGAACATACACAGGATATTTGCCTTTGGGAGACCTGTTGGCCACAGCACCCATGCAGATTAATTGAGGAATGGTACTGTCAACAGCATTATTTGACAAAATCTTGAGAGTTTGAGGTCAGGGAGAGGATCCCTGTTGTGAAGCTGTAGTGCAGTTGAATCAACAGTGAACACAGTGAAAATGTTGCAGGAGATGAGAAAGGAATGCAAGTTCTGAAACCTGCCCAGGAAGAGATTTACCTAGATGGCAGGACTAGATAATAACATAGCACAGCAAACAATTCATTGCTAAATTTTTGCACAGAACATAAGGAATTTGGTCTCATATATAGCCCAAGGGAGTCGCAGTACTGACTGAAATAGGCTCTGAAATTATTAGGGACATCACTATTATCTCCATAGCCTCAGATATATATATACACATATATATATCTGCATAGTAAATTGCACTATAGTTTACTCCCATTTAAATTAAATCTATTTAATCTTCATTCTGCAATGGAGAATTTTAAAATTATGCGCCTGACCATTCCTTTAATGAACAGGTGAAGTCCTGTCAGTAAGTTAAATATTTCAACAACTGTCAAGTGCACTCATAAGCAGAAGCTTCTCTTGTTATTATTGCTGGGTCATGGCCAGTAGAATGGAACTTCTTTACCTCATCACAACAAGGTAAATCAAGAATTCATTATCTTGAGTTTAACTCTGGATGTATGTTTCAGCTTCTGGCCTTGCCACTTGTCTGTGACAGATCTGGTTAGAGTTGATGAATGGTCTTAATGGTGAGTAGAAGCAATACTCTTGCTCTCTCTCACATTGTTCACTGGCAAACTATTCCAGTATTTTCTGGTAGTTTTTTCTGATAGAATTCCAGGATCATGATGGCTCAGATTAGTCAAAATCATTCAGAAAAGTTTTCATTCAAATCCCAAAACCATCATGACATGAATATCAAAACTATATATCATCACAAATATCAGCCACCGAAGAACCTTTAAATACCTCCTACTGTAGAATTATTTCTTTATGATGCAAATTGAAATTCAAGGCAAGAAGTAAAATTCTTCAAGCCAACAAATAAAATAAATAAAACAATAAAATATAGTAAAAATTCAAGGCAATAAGTAAAAAAAAATAAGGCACTTATCTCAAATTCCTTCAAAATTATCCTACCTATTTATCCTGGGGATCTCATGTATGTAAGCTTCTAAGCTCTATGATATCTATATATTCCTGGTAACTGATCTATATAGTCTGTTTAATGCAGTTTAGAAATAGCTAATATTTATTATTTCTATGTATCAGGTACTATTATTCTAAGTGATTTGTATATATTTACTACTCAGTCTCCGTTTACCTTTTGTTATTTCTATTTAAAAACTGAGGCACAAAGAAAAAAATAACTTTCTCAAGGTTGCACAGGTAGGAAGTAGCATAACCAAGATCCAATCCCAGGCAGTCTGATTCCAGCATCGAAGTGCTTAATTACATACAGTAATGTAGCAAATTAAAATTCTTAATTTGCTACACACATTTATCAAATCCTATGATTTTAAATAGAGTTTCCTGACTGGGAGGGGGAAGCAAAGGAGAACTGCTAAAAAAATGCAAGAATCAAATGTTATACTGCTGTGTTCATTTTTTTAAAAATCTTTTACTGTCCTCATGAGTACAAAGAAATGTGTCACCACCCAGATACACACTAAATTGGATGTTCCAGAAATGGATTTGAATTCAAAATTCAAATAAGAGACATGGGAGAACCTAATCTAAACAAAATCATTTGAGCTAAACACAAAGCTCAAATTAATTGTACAACCTAGAAATGCTCTCTGAAAGGCTAAATCTTTGGATTTTCATACTATTTGGAAAAGGAGTAGGTTCTGTTAATAGGACAGACTTCGTGCAACATATGTTAAGAAAAAAAATTGGAAGCACTTAAAAAATACAAGCTTGGAAGCTCAATCTTGCAAAAATGGAAAAAAATTCCTTAAAATATTTTGGAGCTTTTAGGAGAAAGTCAATATTAAAATTAGTACGGAACATAGAGAAAGGGCTTTATGAGTCGAGTGACTGTTGTTTTTCTAAATGTCAGCATGGAAACCCAAACAGAAAGAGGTGAGTTGGGTCCCTGGAAAGACTGACTGGGAAAGCTGAGTGTTAAGTTTGTGACGTGGTTGATGGCAACCAAAAATTGTCAAGTGCATGATGACAAAGTATTTCCTGGAACTAGGGGCTGCTTTAAGACATATAAACAAGGGTAATGTTGTGGGGGCATGTGCTCTAAACCAACATAGGATCTATATGTGGTTATATTACTAGCAGTTTGAACAATGTCAGACAGAGCTCTCTGGAATTTGGAAACCAATAACAGATAGTTTGAGCTGTATACTGAATTGACAATCCTTTTGTACAGCAGGGAAAAATAACCAACTTTAAAACATAACTTATACTGTACTTTTATTTTTGCATCATGGAAAAGAACCGGTTTTAAAATATAAGTTGCACTCTGCTTTCATTTAATGTTATGGTCTTGAAAATATAATCCCTATCCATTAACAAAGGAGTAACTTTGTTGTAGCTTTAGTGTCTCTCCCTGAAAATCATATTTAATTCAGTAATTAATTTTAATCAAAGATAACTTTGTCTAAAGGTGTGACCACGTACTCTAAGTCAGGCAGGGAAGTGTGTTCTATTTTAAGGTTACCAAACCTCTCTGGGCCTTAGTTTTCTCATCTGTAGAAAGGAAGGATTGGTCCAAACTGTCTATAAGAGTTTATGGAGCTTTTTTTTAACCCTCCCTTGTAACCAAACTCAGATGGTGATATTTTCTAGATTGGCTATTAGTTCCAGTAGACGAGGAGCCTAGAGGTGTGTGTGTGTGTGTGTCTGTATCAGACACAACCACAATACTAACATATATACTTATAGAAATTATACTCACAAATGAATACAGTGCTTGAGAAATTTACCACACTGTAAACAAAATAAGAAACCCTCTCTTTGAAAACTAGAAAAGGGCTGGGTGTAGTGGCTCACTCCTGTAATCCCACCACTTTGGGAGGAGCACTTGAGCCCAGGAGTTCAAGACCAGCCTGGACAGCATGGTGAAACCTCATCACTATAAAATAAAAAACTAGAAAAGAAACTTGTCTAGTTTTCCCAACATGCTCTCTCCAAAACATTTTTCTCCCCATGAAAGTAAGAAAAGCACTTTGTAAAATATCTAAAACATCAACCTAAATAGTTGTGACTCTTTCTAAAGCTTTGGCTGTTTCTGGCTCACATCTTACCATTTATGGGGAAAAAAGTAAGTGTTTTTGTTTAAAAGTGTTCCCCCTCTAATTAAACAGAGGTGGAACTTGAGTCAACAATGGATTTCCGGAAGCTGACAAACTAAAATGTCGATAAGCTGTCAAAAGACATGCTCTGTCCAAAGCTATTATGAAATTGCATTGATCCTGAATTCTTAAGAAGAGAAAAAGACCTTTAGATTAAAAAATAGGCCTTAGGAGGAGCAAAGGAACATTAGCCTAATCATGATTCTTTCCTTTTACAAACTCTTTCTGATCCATTGGCTGGCAAGAGAAGGGTAAGCCTTGCCAGATTTTTAGGGAGGAAGAAAATCTCACACTCTTCTGGCCATGTGGCACTTATATTCTCTCTACAGTACTTCCTAACCCTTTTGTAAAATGAAGAAAATTTGTTTAGAAAAAGGCCACCAGTGCTTAGGAAACAGATGAGCTGCATGGCTTGCAAGGTTTTGTCTTCTATCTACATTTATACTTGGGGTTGAGGTAGGAAATTCTTTATGCAGTGATCGTAGAGCAACCTCAGCCTCCATAAAACTTTTACTAAACCAGTAGATTTCAAATGTTATGGTGATGATTGCAGAACTTTGTGGGTATACTAAAAACCACTGAATTTTATACTTTAAATGGGTGAATTGCATAGTATGTGAATTCTATCTCAACAATGTTATAAAATTTTTTTTAGTGTGTGTAGTCAACTAGGATGCTTGTTTAAAATACAGGTTCTTGAGTCTCAGTTCAAAGGACAGAATCTCTAGTCACTGGGTACAGGCAACTATATTTTAAACAAACATCTCTGGTGATTCTAATGAGATTATCCACACTTTTAAGGAAATAAAAAAGAGATGATTTATTTTGGTATGTCCCCTAAAGCAACTAAAGAAACTCCACGAAAGTGTAGAATAATCAATTTTTAAAAAATCCTTCAGAAATCATAATTTGCTCTAATTCTCATTTTTTCCATTATGAATGTGAATATTACCAGGATAATAGGAACCATGATGAAAAAAATTTCACTAGCGCCAGGTCAGGAGTCTCCTCAGATAATAATTAATACGAGCACTTAACCGACTGCAAATAAATTTTGTGAACATTTTCTTACTGAATCTTCACAAAGACCTTGTAGAGTTGTAAGAGCTGTAAAAACCACCCATCTTCTACAGATGGGAAGATGGATTCACCAAGGTTAACTGTTTTGCCTCAAAACACCCAAGTGATAATTGAACAATTGGTTTGGAAACCAGTTCTTCCGACACATAGTTCAGCACTCTTCGCTATAAAAATCTGCCTTTAAAAATGCTTTTTCAGCATGTACCAGCATGGCCTGCCCCTAACCTTTAGAAACTATTGTTTGAGCACTTTGTGAAGTTCTGTCGTTCATGGTGCTAACAAATTGCACATCTTTTTTTTTCTATCTGCAACACAAAAAGAAAAGGCACAATTTGACACATTTACCCCAAATTCTCTGTGACATGCTTGTGTAAAAAACTGGATTCTTGTATGTCAGTAGGGAAGAGCATATGTGAGTGTGTGTGTGTATATATTGAGAGACAGAGAGAGACATATTGTATCTGTATGTGTATGTGAACTGTTAAATAAAACTAACATTTACTGGAAAACTACTGTGCTGTAAATCTACTTTCCTCCTGTCACCAACCTCTTCCCCAATTTCTTGAAGATATAGGCATCTGGCTCACTGCCTGCTCCACTCAGATCTCTCCATTCTCATGAGGTGAATTAAAGGTCCTTCTCAATATCACAGGCCTCTCAATTCCTTGATCTCATCTTTATTAACCTTCACCTCCATTCCACTTTAGGTATCCACTCTGGACCACGTCATCGCCCTGAGCTTCCCCATCTTTGAAATATTTATTCTAAATATTCCACTGGCCGCAGCTCTCTAATATGACTTCAAGGAATTCTCCAAGCATCTGGCCAACCCATTTTTCAAGAAACTCTTAGATTCTATGTTCTTCTCTTAATTAATACTCTTGTCAATTCCCAAACTTCCTGGCACCATTGTCCTTTTTCCACAAACACCTAAAAGAATCTCTGCCCAGGCAACCTGGTGATCTCCTTCCTCTGTGCCTACTTCCAGGGCTGGTGGTTCTCCACAGTCCTCCCTCGAGCCTCATGGAGTCTCAGTGCTGCCTGGAAACCCTTACAGTCTTTAGAGTTTTTCCACTTTCTTGAGGTCTTTCAACACAATAAGCTGACCTTAAGGCCAGTAAGCATTTTTTTTTTTTTGAAACAGAGTCTTGCTCTGTTGCCCAGGCTGGAGTGCAGTGGCACAATCTCAGCTCCCAGCAACCTCCGCCTCCTGGGTTTAAGCAATTCTCCTGCCTCAGCCTCCCAAGTAGGTGGGACTACAGACATGCACCACCACACTTGAGTAACTTTTGTATTTTTAGTAGGGATGGGGTTTCACAATGTTGGCCAGGCTGGTTTCAAACTCCTGACCTCAGGTGATCCACCTGCCTCGGCCTCCCAAAGTGTTGGGATTAAAGGCGTAAGCCACTGTGCCCAGCCAGAAGCCTTTTTTTGGGGGGAAAGTTTCAATTTACTATTTATAAATCTGTAAAATTAACTGTATACCAGAACCCATCTGCTCCTGCTTTTCTTTTTCTACATTGAGATAGGTGTGTCTCCCTCCTGCTTAAGGGAGACAAAGTACTTTTCACATATCTTTATTGTCTTCCTCTCTCTGATTCCTTCATATTTTCTTTTAAACATACTGAATCCTCTTCTGTCTTAAAATAAAAAGAAAACAATAAAAAAAACCTTTCTTTCTTCAAGCTTTCCAGAATCTATTATCCTTTTATTTAGTTGCTCAAGTTAGCGGCTTAGGAATCATTATTTATTCTTCCCTCTTTTTTATCTTTTATATGCAACTGATAAACAAGCTCTATCAAATCCATCGCCTCAGTATCTCTTTATTCATGCATTTTTCTCTATTTTCTAATGCAAAGGCTCTAAATCTGTGCTGTCCAATAAAAATATAATGTGAGGGCCAGGCACAGCGGCTCATGCCTGTAATCCTAGCACTTTGGGAGGCTGAGGTGGGTGGATCACTTGAGGTCAGGAGTTCGAGACCAGCCTGGCCAACGTGGTGAAACTCCATCTGTACTAAAAATACAAAAATTATCTGGGCATGGTGGTGTGTGCCTGTAATCCTAGCTACTTAGGAGGCTGAGGCAGAAGAATCACTCGAACCCAGACGGCAGAGGTTCCAGTGAGCTGAGATCACATCACTGCACTCCAGCCTGGATGATGGAGCAAGACTCTGTCTCAAAAAAATAAAAATCATATATATATATATAGTGAATCACATATGTAAATTGCTTTCTTTTTTAATGGAAAATACCAGAAATACATTTACGTAAAATATTTTAATTTTTTAGGAGCCACAAAAAGTAAAAAGAAACACTAAGATTAATTTTAACAATATATTTTATTTAATCCAATATGTCAAACATATTGTCATTTTACATGCTACAATATGGATGAAATTTGAGGGCATTATGCTAAACGAAATAAGCTAGTCATGAAAAGACAAATACTGTTGATTCCACTTATATGAGGTACCTAGAGTAATCAAATGCATAGACACAGAAAGTAGAATGGTAGTTGTCAGGGGCTGAAGGAAGGGGAAAATTGGGAGTTATTGTGTAATGGGTATAGATTTTCAGTTTTACAAGATGAAAAGAGTTCTGAGTTCTGGAGATGGATGGTGGTGATGGTTGCACAACAATATCAATGTACTTAATATCACTGAACTGCACACTTAAAAATGTTTACAATGATAAATTTTACATTATGTATATTTTACCACAATAAAAATATTTTTAAAATATTGTCATTTTAGGCCAGGCATGGTGGCACATACCTGTAATCCCAGCACTGCAAGAGGCTGAGGTGGGCGGATCACCTGAGGTCAGGAGTTTGAGACTAGCCTGGCCAACATGGTGAAACCCCGTCTCTACTAAAAATAGAAAAATGAGCTGGATATGGTGGTGCACGCCTGTAATCCCAGTTACTCGGGAGGCTGTGGCAGGAGAATCGCTTGAACCCAGGAGACAGAGGTTGCAGTGAGCCAAGACAAAGCCATTGTACTCCAGACTGGGTGACAGAACAAGACTCTGTCTCAAAAAAAAAAAAAATACATATATATATATATATAAATTATTGTATGTATATATGCATGTATATATAATAACATATACATGTTAAAATGACTATAAAATGACTGTAGTCATTTTAACATCATAAAATACATGTATATTTTAACGTATATATATTATATATACACATATATCTAAATATATATAAACTATATGTATATATTTTAACATATATAATTTTATATAACATAAAATATATTTTTAACATATGTAGTCATTTTAACATGTCTAAAAAATATTAGTGAGATATTTTACATCTTTGATTTGAATTAGTCACGTTTTAATAGATATTTGTTGCTAGTGGACACCATATTGGACATCATCATCTCTTACCCATATCCATCATAACTTTATGGGATGCCAGGAGGAAGCTTCCAGTGGTCTCCTTGCTTCTTTTTGGGGCCCCCCCTTAGATGTTCTACAACATAGACCCTTATAAGGGCTCCCCTTATATATTTTACATACTACAGCCAGAATGATTTTGCTAAAAATAAAATTTCATGTTGTTTTCCTCCATAGAACTCAGCATGTTTCTCACAGTTCTGTGAGCTCTTATGATATTTACAAGGATCTGCATAAACTGAACCTTGTCTACCTTCCAGCTTCATCTCTTCCTTTTCATAGTCCACAACATAGCACATGCACACACACAATTTATTTTTGCTTTTTAAAGCCATTATGATCTTCTTGTATTCTGGGTCATTGCATATTCTGTTGCTTCTATTTAGAATGCTCCTCTTCATCCCTCTTATCCCTGTTCATCCTCAATTGGCTAACTGCTGCTCATACTTAAACTCTCCTCAGAAACCTTCTCTGATCCCCTAGGTCTGGATTAAGTGTAATTTCTGTGTGCTCACATGAAACTCTTAACTCCTTCTACCATATCCTTTATCAACACTTTTTTTTTTTAGAGGTGGGATCTCACTGTGTTGGCCAGGCTGGTCTCTAACTCCTGGCCTCAGGCAATCTTCCTATTCATCCTCCCAAAATGTTGGGACTACACGCATGAGCTACCATGCTAGGCCTTGTCACACCATTGATACTTTCTTTATATTTGGTTGCCTCCCTGCTTGACCCTAAGTATAATGAGGGTAGGGACAGCTCTAACTTTGTAACTTTTTTATCCCCAGTCCCAAGCATAATGCCTAGCACACAGTAGGTTTTCAATAGATGTTCACTGAGTGAATGAATAAATGTCTTATTTTTCAGGACCAGAAAAGAAGAAAGGGAACTTTTCTGATTTGCAAATTTTCTTTGATTTAAAAGTATTTGTGTCTCTTGTTATTTCTTGATTTCTTGGATCTCATAAATTTCCAAATAAATTTCCTTTAAAAAACTAGCTTAAGGTAGGTTTGAAATGGTAAAGAGCATGAAATAGACAAGATAAACAAAGACAAGAAACCTTGCCAAAGAGAATGACTGAATTGCACAGCATACATTAGAAGAATTAACATTCAATTTTGTAGCAAAATAACTTATTAAAGGTAACTGATGAGCTTCATGTCAGTCAGTCTAATAGGAATTTTAAATCTTGGGTATCTAACCTGACTTCTCAGATGCCAGACTTTTCCCGTTGGGATCCCTGAAACTGTTCTTCTGCTTTTTCTTTTTTCTCATTGGCTGTACCTGTTCACTCTTCTTTCTCAGCCTTTAAAGGTGAGAGTTACTCAAAGTGAGAGAGCCGTCAACTAGTGTGATAACTCTGACAACACTGCTTCTCATCAAAGTATGTCTGTTTGGGTCACAAGGGCAACATATATCTATATGCTTATTTTTGTCCCAGAGAGAATTATTATTTTTAATAATTAGAATTTAGGTTCTGTTGTGGGAAATTGAGATCCCAAATCAAGTGACTTAAACATGAAGAAAGTTTTTTTCTCTCTCATAAAAGTCCAGATGCAGACAGCTCAGTGCTGGCATGGTGGCTCCACAGCTGTCTACCACCCAAGTTGCCACCACCTGCCCAGATGTGGCCTTCCTTTTTAAGTTTCATCCCTCACTTTGCAGCTAGATTGAATCACTTGACTCCGTTCTGGCTAATGGGATCTGAGGGGAAATAAGGCTCACAACTTCCGGGATGTGTCCCTAAGGAAGGAGATGTGGGCTAGGCTCAATGGTTCACGCCTGGGTTGTAGTCTCAGCACGTTGGGAGGCAAAGACGGGTGGATCACTTGAGCCCAGAAGTTCGAGACCAGCCTGGGCAACATGGCAAAACCCCGTCTCTACAAAGAATACAAAAATGTGGCCAGCGTGGTGGCTAACGCCTGTAATCCCAGCACTTTGGGAGGCTGAGGCAGGCGGATCACTTCAGGTCAGTAGTTGGAGACCGGCCAGGACAACATGGTGAAACCCCGTCTCTACCGATAAAATACAAAAATTAGCTGGGCGTGGTGGCGCATGCTTGTAATCCCAGCTATTCGGGAGGCTGAGGCAGGAGAATCGCTTGAACCTGGGAGGCAGAGGTTTCAGTGAGCCGAGATAGGGCCACTGCACTTCAGCCTGGGTGACAGAGCGAGATCGTGTCTCAAAAAAAAAAAAAAAAAAAAAAATTAGCCAGGCTTGGTGGCCCATGCTTGCAGTTCCAGCTACTCGGGTGGCTGAGGTGGGAAAATCACTTGAGCCCGGAAGGTGGAGGTTGCAATGAGCGGAGATCACACCACTGTACTCCAGCCTGGGTGACAAAGCGAGACTCCGTCTCAAAACAAAAACAAACAAAAATGTCTTTTTTTAAAAAATTCTTTGGAGCAAATGTGTTACTACAATAAAAGGTAGAACAGATATTGGAGACAAGTAGCAGTCTTTAACACAGCCTTAGCATTTCTTCAGACTTAACGCTAATGATACAGCCCTGGGGTACAAATTTAAGGGTGAGATAACCTTGGTTTGATTTCTGCTTTGAACGTCTCTACCTGTGTGAACTTGGGCAAGTCACAATGTTTTCGAGTGTTTGTTTCTTCCTTTAATACTCTATGCAAAGCTCCACACTATAGAGTTCGTCATGTTGTACTGCAGTTTATCTTTGTGTTCGCCTCTGCTTGGTTCATCACCCTACACACAGCACTCCCTGTTAACAGTTACGGGCTTTTACTTAGTAGTTGTTCCCCCACCTCTATAACAGCTTTCTCCTTTCCGTATACATTCACAAGAAACCATTGTCTTTCATCCTTTTTCCTTTTCACATCAGTTACACCAGTGGTCCCAAACTTTTCAGCCCCAGGGATTGGTTTCGTATAAGACAATGTTTCCACCGGCGGGGGCGGGAAGGGGGTGGGGGCGCGAGGGGGTGGGGACGCGGGCAGGGGCAGGGGCTGGTATGGTTTCGGGATGAAACTGTTCCACCTCAGATTATCAGGCATTAGATTCTTATAAGGAGCCGGCAACCTAGATCCTAGATCCTTAGCGTGGGCGGTTGACAATTAAGGTATCTATTAGAGAACCTATTAGAGAATCTAATGCTACCGCTAATTTGACAGGGGGCGGGGCTCAGGCAGTAATGCTGGCTTGCCCGCCGCTCACCTGCTGTTGTGCAGCCGGGTTCCTGCGGCCTGGGGATCAGAGACCCCTGAGTTACACAATCTGGATAAGTAACCTCTCAGTCACATGAATCCCATCCCATTGTTAACACATTCCATTCCGTATCCCCCCTTTTTTACTTGTTATAATTTACATATTATAAAATGTCCCGCCGACCCCCCGCTTTTTTTTTTTTTTTTTTTTTTTGAGATCGAGTCTCGCTCTGTCGCCTAGACTGGAGTGCAATGGCGCCATCTCGGCTCACTACAAGCTCCGCCTCCCGGGTTCAGGCGATTCTCCGGCCTCAGCCTCTTGAGTAGCTGGAATTACAGGCGTGCGCCACCATGCTAATTTTTGTATTTTTAGTAGAGACGGGGTAATGTACCCATTTTAACTGTACAATTAAGTGATACTAAGTTTACTGAATTGTACAAACATCACCATAATCCAGTTTTAGAATATCATCATTACCACAGTAGAATTCCTTTTGCCCATTTACCCTTAAATACCCTTTTAACCAATCTCCCACATGGAATTGTGAGCCAGCATGATTATTGAGAACCCAGTGAATACTTAGTGCTATGAGGAATTCACAGAATAAAATACAATAGCTAATCTCAGCGGAGTATAGCTAGTTGATAAAACGAGACCTCAGTCAGCGATCACCATAAGAAAATACATATCCTATTCTTGGCTTTTGTGAATAGGCTAGTACCATTAGACTCCATAAACTCCTATAGTTGAGCAGATCACCTAAATCTGGAAAAATCTTTCGTACCTCATAAAGGTAGCTATTTTTTTCTCTTTCCAGTTTTAAAACACTTCTTTTTTTTTTTTTTTTTTTTTTTTTTTGAGACTAGGTCTCATTCTTCACTGAGGTTGAAGTGCAGTGGTGTGATCTTGGCTCACTGCAGCCTTAACCTCCCAGGTTTAGTGAATCCTCCTACCTCAGCCTCCCAAGCATCTGGGACTACAGGTGCATGCCATCACTTCTGTGTAATTTTTGTATTTTTCGTAGAGATGGGGCTTTGCCTCTTAATCCTGTTACAATGGCAACTAAGTTCCCAACATAAGAACTTTTGGGGGACATACTCAAACTATAGCAAATATGTACCTCCTTCTGTTTCCATCTATTTGTAAACAGCATCTAAATTATAGAATTTGCATCTTTCCAAGTAGACTCTAACTTACTACTCAATAAATACTTCTAAATGCAAATTATGATCACTATAATTTTTCACGTTGGGGTACTTTCCGAAAAGAGTAATGTTTATTAACTTTCTCTGAATTAAATGTAACCAGTAGCTTTTTGGCCCTCGGGTTCGTATTAATGATTATTAGCTGTGATTATGAAGAATTATTAATAGTTATGGCCCTGAGGAGCAAAATAATGTATTTCAAAAAGCTACTTGCTCCTATAGATAATGAGTAAAGCAATCCAGTCCTTTTTCATCCAGCAAGCCACAAGTACTGGAATTCCCTGAGACCAGGTGTAGATGACTCTCCTCCCCACCCATCTCCTTGTTTCTTCTTGAGCCCTGCCCCCCACCTTTTTTTTTTATTTTTTTATTTTTGAGATAGAGTCTCACTCTGTCACCCAGGCTGGAGTGCAGTGGTACGATCTTGGCTCACTGCAACCTCTGCTTCCTGGGTTCAAGTGATTCTCCTGCCTCAGCCTCCCAAGTAGCTGGAACTACGAGCACCCAGCACCATACCAGGGTTTTTTTTGTTTTGTTTTGTTTTTCAGTAGAGACGGGGTTTCATTATATTGGCCAGGCTGGTCTTGAACTTCTGACCTCAGGTGATCAGCCCACCTTGGCCTCTCAAAGTGCTGGGATTACAGGCATGAGCCACCATGCCTGGCCTCTTCTTGAGCCTTTTTAATGGCCAGCGAATCATCAGGGACAGCCTACTTGAGGAACTCATTCATGTAATATGATTATGGGGTGGGGGGGGACAGAATGCATGAGGTTGAGAAATACTTGTTTTTCGCACTTGAACACCTGCCTCCACCAATTTCATTTTATGTGAAAAAAAAAAATAGGAGAAGTTGGAGTGAGTAAGCTTCTTTCACCTTCTAGCAATGCAAATTCCTGAGTACAAAGAGCTCTGGGCAGAAGTCTTCCACTTTCAGAATTATGGCAGCCTCAAGTGCTCATGCATTCAATGAAGAATTTGAGGAAGTATGTGCTCAAATGCAGTGGTTTTGTACCTTGTCTGCATATTAGAATCACCTGGGTAGCCTTTCAAAACAGCTGCCAATTAAGTAAGTATATTTGCAGGTGGGATCTAGGTATCAGTATTTTTTTAAAGCTTGCCAGGTACCTCCAACATGCAGCCAAGGCTGAGAAGCACTGGCTTAATAATAAGTTTCTTATGTGGACATGCTAGCAGCTCTCAAGCAGCGGCTCTCATCCTTAGCTGCACATTGGAATCACCTGAGAGTTTAAAAACTATTGATATGGGGGAAATGGGGAAATTGAAAGGGTACAAACTTTCAGTTATAAGATGAACAAGTTCTGGGACTTAATGTATAGCATAGGTGGTGATGGATGTGTTAACTTGATTGTGGTAATCATTACACGGCGAACACATATATCAAATCATCATGTTGAACACCTGAATGCATTAAATATTTGTCAATTATATATACATATATATATATATGTATATATATATTTAAAAAGATGCTGATGCCTGGACTCACCCCTAGAGATCCTGATCTAATTGGTCTTGGTTTAGGCTCAAGCAAGCATCGGCATTTTTCAAAGCCTTCCTCAGTGAGTCTAATGTACAGTCAGAGTAAAAACCACTACCTGGACTGGGAAAAAACATTTTGACTTGTACCCAGCTCTGAGGGAAGGACGCTCAACACCTCCTGGACAAAAAGTGCCAGGAGCTGAAGCAAGAAATGTGAAAAGAGTGCCAGAGGTAGATGTCACCTGCTTCAAAAGGGGGTTTAAGGTCAATCCTTGTGTATTAGTCAGGGTTTTCCAGAGGGACAGAACAAATAGGATATATATATAGGAGTGTATTAAGGAGTATTGACTCATACCAATCACAAAGCAAAGTCCCACAATAGGCTGTGTGCAAGCTGAGGAAGAAAGAAGCCAGCAGTGGCTCAGTCCAAGTTCAAAAGCCTCAAAAGCAGGGAAGCCGACAGTGCAGCCTTCAGTCTGTGACTGAAGACCCGATAGCCACCAGCAAACCACTGATATAAGTCCAAGAGTCCAAAGGCCGAAGAACCTGGAGTCTGAAGTCCAATCCAGCATGGGAGAAAGATGAAAGCCGGAAGACTCAGCAAGCCAGCTTATCCCACCTTCTTCCATCTGCTTTGTTCTAGTTGCACTGGCAACCAATTGGAAGGTGCCCACCCACATTGAGAGTGGGTCTCCCTCTCTCAGTTCACTGACTCAAATGTTATTCTCCTCTGGCAACACCCTCACAGACACACCCAGAAACAATACTTGACCGGCTATCTAGGCATCCTTCAATCCAATCAAGTTGACACCTAATATTAATCATCACACCTTGTGAATGATATGTGTGTGACACAGACTGAGAATAGGGGACTGTCTCTAACCAAGAGAGATGTGGGGAGCATAGATGATAGAACTGGATTTTAAATATTCCATAATTTTCGACATTTGGTGTATTAGGCCATTCTTGCATTGCTATAAAGAAATACCTGACAGATGGTATTTTTTGTTGTTGTTGTTTTATTTTTATTTTTATTTTTTTGAGATGGAGTCTTGCTCTGTCGCCCAGGCTGGAGTGCAGTGGCGCCATCCCCACTCACTGCAACCTCCGCCTCCTGGGCTCAAGTGATTCTCTTGCCTCAGCCTCCTGAGTAGCTGGGATTACGGGCACGCACCAACACACACTGCTAATTTTTGTGTTTTTAGTAGAGATGGGGCTTCACCATGTTGGCCAGGCTGGTCTCGAACTCCTGATCTCAGGTGATCCACCCTCCTCAGCCTCCCAAAATGCTGGGATTACAGGCATGAGCCACCTCGCCTGGCCAGAGACGGTAATTTTTAAAGAAAAGAGGTTTGATTGGCTCACAGTTATGCAGGCTGTACAGGAAGTATGATGCTGGCATCTGCTCAGCTTCTGGGGATGGGCCTCAGGAAACCAACGTTCATGATGAAAGGCAAAGCAGGAGCAGGCACTTCACATGGTCAGAGCAGCAACAAGAGAGTGGGGGGGAAGGTGCCACACACTTTTAAACAGATCTCACAAGAACTCATTCACTATCGCAGAAGATAGTACCAAGAGGATGGTACTAAACCATTCATGAGAAAGCACCCTGTGACCCAATCACCTCCCACAAGACCCCATTCCAACACTGGGGATTACAACTGGACATGAGATTTGGGTGAGGACACAGATCCAAACCATATCATTTGGTCATCCTCTTTACATATTTGAGCAGAGCTGGATCCAACAAGCTTTCCTGAAAAGGCCCCCAATCCAAAAGTGCACCTGCTGCTTCACCTCTCCCATCAGCCATAGTGGCTGAAAAAACCCACTAAGTGAGAGCCTTTTTGATTAAGGTATGCCAGTAAAGCAATTTCACATCCCCTGTTGGCTTTAGAGCTCTAAATCAACTTTACGTCCTCTGTTGGTTTTAGAGATCAGCCTCATTTGCTTTATCAGATGCACCTACATAGCCTGAACTCTTGAAATGGGAGTGGACATTTAAAAGGGATCTTCTCTGGGCTCTGAAATTTCCGAATTGCCTGAGAAAAAAAGCCCCCAAAATGGAAGGCCTCAGGTGATGGAGAAATAACCATAACATGAGGAAGAGGATCCCCAAAAAGATGACAAAGTTGAAGACGCCAGAGGCCATATTTCCCTCATAATGAACTGAATAGTATAGTTTAAATATGCATTGGGTAGAGAAATGACTGTGTCCCCATTTCCTGATTCAGAATCAATTGAAGATGCTCATGTTCTAGTGCCTGAGGGTGGAATGCAGAGGGTGATTTGGAAATGTTCAGGCTTGGTAGAGCAGAACTCTTCAATGACTGTCCTCTTGGACATTGCGTATTATATTTGAATTAGATCAGCCTGTGTCCTGTTCTAGTTTAAACCAAAATTCAATTATGAGCCATTATTTGTTTAAATTACTGTAAGCAAACACAATGGTTTATTTATTTTTAATTCAGAAGTTGATTGTGAAACTTGTGGTTTGCTCAGAATGATTTTGAAATCTCTGTTTTCTGCTCTGGCTCTCGGCTTGCTGACCAAATGGTCATTTATCGGGAGTGCTCTGCAACTGAAGGAGTGGAAATTCTAGGCCCTCACGGTGCTACCTGTTGGGGCCAGCCTTACAGGTCAGCTGGAAGTGACGGTGACCCAGCTACCTCGACACCAGATCTCTACCCTGCTCCCATCGGAGTGTCTGAGGCTTCCACCACTCAGCTTTCACCAGGCTGGGGTGGTATCAGCTTAAACTACACCTGAAAAAGTCAAACACACCTCATCTGACTATACTGCAAGTCAGCACATCGATTTACCTAGCACTCAGCCAACTGGAGAGGCAATTTCAGAGGGAACAGGACTCAGGGTAGGTCTTTTAATTTGGAGCTTGGGTACCATTAGTGGTTAGAGAGGGTTCAGAAGGCATCAAAGGAGATGTTCAATGACTTACACTACGATCACCACTTACCAATCCGTTAAGACTGGCCCAGGGTGTGAATATCAAAAGGAGAAAAAAAAAATCTACCTGGAGCAAGTCCCCTGCCCCGATCTTATCATAGTTTATATATGACTAAGCTACAGGGAGGGTGGTGGTGTCATATTCTTTCTTTCAGTTTGAGCCTCATGAAAATGAAGAGCAAGCTGCAAATCATTTTTATCTGCAAGGGGTTATCTGGCTGTAACCCTTACATAAGCAAGGTATGGGGATTTGGTGTGAACACGTGGTTTTCCTGAGATGTGCATTTATTTTCGGGGGTGAAGAGTGTTCAGGTAAATCCATAACATTTTCGTGTGCAAAGAGAAGGTCTCCACCTTTCTGCTCCATGAACCAGTCTCCATGAGCACCCGAGGCGACGCTCGCGGCGCGGCCCGAGCGCTGGGCCCGGGCTCGAGGTTTGGACCGGGGTTCTACCCGGCAGCAAAGCCAGAGGCCGGACACACCACGGCCTCCTGGATCTGCGCTGCCTGCGCAATAAGCCTGGGGAGGTGCCAGCTCCGGCAGGCATTGGGCACCCGGGAGTCCCGCCGCTGTGGCCGCGCAGGGCACCGGATCCCTCCAGGATCCCAGGCTCCCGACGTCCAGCAGAAGTGCTCTGGAGTGAGGCTTCATTGGTCCCAGGTGAGCGTTTCGTTGCCAGCTCGTTGCGCGAGGTCTGAATGCACAGTGGAAACAACTTAGGGTGGGTATGGGAAAAGAAGAAACATATTTCAGAAGCACTCGCCAATATAAATTTTTAAAAATAAAGATCTTAATACAGTAATTTGACTAGAGCTAGCAGACTGAATGAGTATGGACACCAGAAATATGCTTTCGGCTGGGGGATGTAGCTCAGTGGTAGAGCGCGCGCTTCGCATGTGTGAGGTCCCGGGTTCAATCCCCGGCATCTCCAAATCAGCCGACGTTTGCTTTTTATTTTTTCTCCTTTCCTGTTGTATCTTAGAACACTTACCCCATTACTTGTACATACATTTTGCTCACATCTAGGCCGCCCAAAAACAATATAAAAGGAGGGCTGAAAAAAATCAGCGAAGCTCAGGGAAACCACCTTCTTGACTGCTCGAAGTAAAAGTGAAATAGGGAATTGGCTTTCATTAATACTTCTTTATTTGCATGAGTCCAGTGTTTAAAGGCCCTGTTATTGAACTTTGAGGCTCCTGTGTATGATACCCACAGAAAAAAACTAGAAGTCAAAACTTGCATTGGCCGGGAATCGAACCCGGGCCTCCCGCGTGGCAGGCGAGAATTCTACCACTGAACCACCAATGCTTATAGCAAATGTGCTTTTCTATTGCTTACTAGAAGACACTTACACCCTGGTAATTCTCTAAACAATCACGTATTTGTGTATTCAAAAACAGAGAAAGCAATTAAATTTTTAATCACATAGTTATAAAAAATTAGAAAAACATTAACATTTACAAAAATTTTCATTATACTACTTTAGAACTTTATGAGATTCTTCTGAAACTCTCTTTGGTGAAGGAGGCAAATGAAGATTTTGTCATGTATGCACAGGATTACACAATCACCTAGCCTATCTTCAGACACTTAGATAATTTATAACAACTCTCCCTCCAACCCCCTGCCATTTTTTTCTTTTATTATTTTACCTATTCAGACAAATACATAATGGAGATTTGTTAGAAATTGGGAACAGAGGCAAAGAAACAGGGAACAGAAATTTGAACACTGACCCAAATTTATGATTTGGAAATTGGTAAATTGGAACTATGTGATTTGCATAGGGAACTTGAAATATTGATGATTCAAGCCAAGTGACCTGAATTCTCTAAGCTGCCCCTTCCTTCATTTAAGACCCCTTTTAACTCTAATAGTATGAGTCTGATCCTTCACCCTTAGTTTCCAAGGAAAGTGAAATTGTGAATGATACAACAAAAGATATAGGAGGGGAAAAAAATAAAGTGAAGGAAATGGATTTATGGAAATGATTCTAAATACGAGATAAAAGGCTGTGGATATAGGCAACATTGGCTTTTTATCTCTGGGAGGGAAATACCTAATAATTTCCAGATTCTTTGGTCAAGAATAATTTGGGGAAAAGTTATGAGAAAATAACAGCTAACACATAGTAACTGTGTACCAGGCTATGTTAAGTACACTACACATGGACTTCAACCCCGTGAGTTAGGAAGCTGAGGCTCGTAGAGGCAAGATTGGAACACACAATATTATGTTCAGTGTTGGAGTGCTTAGCACTGCCCGTTCAGCCTACAACAGAATAGGTCACTGTGTATTGAAACTCAAATGCTGCATGTAGTTTAGGACATTATATATTAAGAATAATCGAATGGTGTTAGAGAAAGATCATAAAAGGCTACTGAAATAAGGTAATGACTTCTCCATTAAGATTCATCTTTAAGGACTTCTTAGTGTGTGGGTAAAGAGCAAAATCTGAAGACAAATACAGAATTATAAAGACATAAAAGATATGAAGGGATTAGGGAATTAGGGAATCAGACTACAATCCTAAATAACCTGTGGAAGAACAAGGTCAACTCATTTTACTTCTTCTAACTTTAGTTTATTCTTTAAAATGAAAGAAATGGGGGAGAAATGGGGTTTTAAAATCCCATTCTGAAGTGATGTACCTTTCCAGAGGTGCTTCAGGGCCATTGGCTGGTAAGGCCTCACTTTCATGGTGGGGACTACAGGTGTGCACCACCATGCATGGCTAATTTTATTTATTTATTTATTTGTTTGTTTCTTTATTTATTTATTGGAGAGAAGAGAGAGGTGTCTCGCTATGTTAGCCAGGCTGGCTTCAAAGTCTTGAGCTCAAGCAATCCTCCCTGCTCTGTCTCCCAAAGTGTTGGGATTACAGGGGTGAGCCACTGTGCCTGGCCCCTGAGATTCTTAAATATTGTTTTTAATTTTGAATCCTAACTTCAGAAATCTAAAGAATCTTAGATTATTTAGTTCAGGGCTTCTCAAAGTTTTTATTTTGAACGTGTAACCTAACAAACAAAGGCAAATAAATAGGGAGTTTAAAAATGAGCTGGTGGAACTGAGGGAGCAGGGCAATAAAAATGAGGCCTCACCAGCCAATGGTGATGCTCAAGTGGAAGGCCTGAGGTCAAAGCTGCAGAGAGCCAAGATCGTGCCACTGCACTCCAGCCTGGGCGACAAAGTGAGCCCCTGTCTCAAAAAAAAAAAAAAAAAAAATCTCAGAACACAAGGAAAAAAGTCTTATGTAAAACATTACTAGTGGCCTACCTAAAGGCCTTTTTATTTATTTATTTTTTCTTGCTAAAAGTCCATTCTAGTTTACCTAGCCCAAGGAACAAATGTGGTGCCCTAAGCCAATTATCTCATTTTTCGTTCCAAATTGATCTGAGGTGTGCTTTTCACTGAATCCCTGCCAATGAGGGCAAGAATAGTCAGCTAGGAGTTTCTGGGAAAGATGATACGGAAGATCTCTCTTACCCTTTCTCCTTGTATGAGGGTGTAATGCTTGGAGCTGCCCCAACCATCCTATGACTTGAAGGAAGACAGAGGGTGATCCAGCAGGAAAATAGAAAAAGGCTCTACACCATCCTGACATTTTTTATGCAGACTTTTGGTTAGGTAAATTAAAGAACTCTATTGTTTAAGTACGTTTGAGTTGAGGATTTTGTTACATGTAGCCAAAAGCATTCAAAGGGTGTGTGTGTGTGTGTGTGTGTGTGCGCCTGCATGCATGTGCATCCAGCAGTCCACCCAACTCCTTCTGGTACAAGAAACCTTCTGTTCTATAGATAATCAATACTTTGAGATTTGTGTTAGGTTAACTTGCCTCTTTTTCTGTATTTCTCTGTCACAATAGCAGGTGTGTAAAACAGGTCTCGTCAAATATTTTCCCTTGGCACTGCACTTTCTTAGAGATGGGTATGTGACTAAATCTGGGACAATGAAAAGTCCTTGCCGAAACTCTCTTGCAGAAGTTTTAAGTAAAAACTGTCTTTTTGCTGGGTTGTTCAAACAGGTTGAGTGTATAGTTTGGGTTGTCCAGAAGAAAGAGACAAACATATTCCTAATATGATATTGAGCCACTAGAAGCAGCCATGCCCGACTAGAAAAAATTCTGGATTTTGTGTTTATATGAGTCAGTAAATTGCCCTTAAACAATAAGTGGTGGGCTAAGTGTAGTAACTCACACCAGTAATCCTAGCACTTTGAGAGGCCGAGACAGAAGGATCAACTGAGGCCAGGAGTTTGACACCAGCCTGGGCAACATAGTGAGACCTTGTCTCTACAAAAAATAAAAATTAAAAATTAAAAAAAAATTACCCAGGTGTGGTGGTACACACCTGTAGTTCCAGCTACTTGGGAGACTAAGGTTGGAGGGTTGCTTGAGCCTGGGAGTTTGAGGCTGGCTGCAGTGAGCTATACTGTGCCACTGCACTCCAGCCTTTGCAACAGAGCAAGACCATGTCTCTAAAAAACATACAACAACAACAAAATTAGCCTTTAAACTTAGTTTGAGCAGTATTTTGCTAGAATCTTAACACAAATTGAGAAACAGTTTTACCCCAAACATGGTAAACTTAGATAACTCATTACCCAGGATGTGATATAGACTAATAATATTAAAGTTTAAGAAAAGTTTAGGCCAAGTGTGGTGCCTCACCCCTATAATCCCAGCACTTTGGGAGGCCGAGGTGAGTGGATCACCTGGGGTCAGAAGTTCAAGACCAGCCTGGCCAATGTGTGAAACCCCGTCTCTATTAAAAATACCAAAAAAAAAAAAAAAAAAAAAAAAGCTGGGCATGGTGGTGCGGCTGTAATCCCACTATTCAGGAGGCTGAGGCAGGAGAATCCCTTGAACCCAGGAGGCAGAGATTGCGATGAGCCAAGATTGTGCCATTGCACTCCAGCCTAGGGAACAGAGTGAGACTCCGTCTCCAAAAAAAAAAAAAAGAAACATTTACATTTAGAGAAATTCGTCGATGATGATAACACTACAAGGAGACAACAAAAACCATGAGAAAATTTTTAGGACACATTCCCAGCTTGTTGGAATAAGGTAAACTCTGTTGCAAAGAAGGTTCGGAGCATTTGAAGGAATATTCAGGCAACAGTGTGACAGAGAAGTAGAAAGAGGAGAAACTAAAAATAGAGAAATCCATTCAAGAGGTAGTTAGAATAGGAGTAGAGAGGTGACGAGGTCCTGAACCAAGGCCACAGCTCTAGCATGAGGTGCATGGCAAGACAGAAGGAGGAAGAAAAATTACTCTAGGAATCTACCTTACGTGCTTGATAGACTTGGGGTGTAGTGTAGAAAAGTAAGGAAGAGAAAATACTGGAAGGAAAGGGGTGGTGTAAAGCGCTCATTTTTGGAAATTCTGACTTTGAAGTAAGTAGGAAGAGGTGCCTGCTAGGTGGTTAGATCAACCCCAGGAGAAATCAAGGCTACAGAAGTGGATTTGGAAGTCAATCACCTGATGGGTGAAATGCAAAAATGTGGAAATGGAGAATATCACACAGAGAAAAGAGTGCTGAGGACGCAGCCTTAGGGAATGACAAGAATTGAGGAGCCAAAGTTGGAGAAACAGGACAGTGGCATCTGTGGAGGCAGGCAGAGCCCCACTTCTTTTGCTAATTCTGAATAATAAAACATGACAAACACATATGTCACAGTGTTTCATAGATATACTGTGTAGTAATCCTGTTTCACATCGGGAATGCTGTAGTAGGCAGTGATTTCATTATCCACGTGATCAAGCTTGAAGAGATCAGAGGATGACCAACAGTGCCTTCTGGGTGGTGCACACTAACACTTCCCCTGGTCTGCTCTGTTCCCATGCTCAGATAAGAAGCTCCCATTGAAGCTGGTAGAGAGAAGGAAAGCACTTGAGCACTGTGAAGTGTTACACAATCTTCTCTTTTAGGCAAGCCTGGCCATTGTGACACCCAGTGCGACAGGCAGGGGTTGTAAGTTGCATCATAGCACCTTGGAGCACTTGCTCAAGGTACCAAGTTCCTAGCTGGTGTTAGCTCATCATAGAAAAGTGGCCAGGCTTATATCATCTGAAGAAAGTAAACAGTTCAGAAACAGAAATAGTTCATATAATACAAAGTCACCAAAGCAATGCCTTTTTTTTTTTTTTCACCTGTGAGTGATCGTATTGATTTAATACACACAGCTTATTTCTGTCCCAGGTTACAAACTAGCCCTAGGGAAACGGTGGAGCCAGTCATTTGGATTGCCCTTTACTGGCTGGGAATTAAATCATTACTTATTCCATTTTAGAATCACAAGTAGTACCCTAAGGCCTACTTTCCTAAGGATTAAAATCAAGGCATGGAAGTGAAGAATCCAGGTGTAATTCTCAGATGCATGCAGATGTTGAGAATGCAGCAATTTTTCCTGGAAAGCTGTCACTGCAAAATCATCCTGCTCACGATATGCTCATTCCTAGTTCTCAAGCATATCCAATTAGTCAACAAGCCTGATTTCTCCTTTTAAAATGGCACTGACTCTTATTCTCCCTCCTCATGCCAATCTCTCCTACACAGTGCAGACAATTATCAGCTCACTCCCTGGGCTACCCAGGAAACCTCAGATTTCCTCTGCCATCCTGCATGCTGCTACCAATTGCATTTTTTCCTTTCCCTCCCCTACTTCTCTCTCTCCCTCCTTTTCTTTCTTCCTTCCTTAATTTTGGAAAATTCAGTCATTTCTTTATTCCAAAATTGAATTAATTTTAAATCCATACAGAGTCCTCATGGTGGAGGAAATGTGAGTGGGAATTCTTTACCTTTCTCTTGACTCTCATCTCTGGGTGAAGCATTTATTCAACTACTTCAGAGCTGTGCCGCTTGGCAGAAATAGCTTTCACTTCCCTTCCTAAAGCTCTTTCTTCTTCTTCTTCCCAAGTTATTTGGGTCTTTTAAAATATATGTTTTTTTCATAAGAAACCCACATGTATGGTGCAAAATTCAAAAGGTATGAGAGAGTATTCATTGAAAAGTATGCCTAGCCTGGCACAGTGGCTCAGCCTGTAATCCCAGCACTTTGGGAGGCCAAGACGGGCAGATCACCTGAGGTCACGAGTTTGAGACCAGCCTTGCTAACATGGTGAAACCCCGTCTCTACTAAAAAATACAAAAATTAGCCAGGCATGGTGGCTCATGCCTGTAATCCCAGCTACTCGGAAGGCTGAGGCAGGAGAATCTCTTGAACCCAGGAGGTGGAGGTTGCAGTGAGCTGAGATCGCACCACTGCACTCCAGCCTCAGCAACAGATCCCAGGTTTCCTTTCCTAGAGGAAACCATTGTTATCAGTGTCCTGTATTTCCCTTCACAAATATTTCTATGTGGATATAAACATTGCAACTTTTATTAAAAAAATTTTTTTAATCTCTTTTTTGAGAGACATGCAATTTATTTTTAAGCACAAATGGTACATACTATACATACTGTTATGCTCATATCCTTTTCTCCCCCCAGAAATATATATCTTGGAAAATTATCCTTCTTAGAACACATAGAGCTAACTTTATCTTTTTAGTGGCTCTATGTTCATTTTTTAAACTGTCTTTTATGGACTAGGAATTAAAACATTATTTTTTCTATCTCACAATAATAAGCAGTACCCCAAGGCCAAGTTTCCTAAGGATTAGAATCAAAGCATGGAAATAAAGAACCTAGCTGTAATTGTAAGATGCATGAAGACAGTGAGGTACCATAATTACCTGAGCCAGTTCTTTGGCAGAGGACATTTAGACTGTTTCTAATCTTTTGCTAGTAGGAACAATGCTACAGTGAATGCCTTGAATGAATGCCATTTTGTTCATGTATGAGAACACCTGCAGGATAAATTCCTGGGAGAAAAATTGCTAAATCCAAGGGTGAGTACATTTTAAATATTGCAAAATTACTCTCCAAAAATGTCTATTTTTCTTAATCATTGCATTTATTATATTACTCTTTTGCTCCCAAATGTTAGTGAATCCTTGCACTTATTTAATCCTCTGCTGTCTCCATGCTGTAATTTTTTTTTTTTTTTTTTTTTTTTTTTTGAGACAGGGTCTTGCTCTGTCACCCAGGCTAGAGTATAGTGGTGCAATCACGGCTCACTGTTGCCTTGAGGTCCCCAGGCTCAGATGATCCTCCCACCTCAGCCTCCCGAGGAGCTGAGACTACAGGCATGCGCCACCACACTGGCTAATTTTTGTATTTTTTGTAGACATGGGGTTTTGCTATGTTGCCCAGGCGGGTCTTGAACTCCTGGGCTCCAGTAATCTGCCCACCTTGGCCTCCCAAACTGCTAGGATTATAGGCGTTAGACACTGAGCCTGGCCAAAAGTAGTGTTCTAAATTACCAAGATTCTTCTCCGCATTAATAGTCTGAGAACTTTTTATATTGTTTTGAAATATGGAAAGTTTGCAGTTTAGGAGAAAATAAAAAAGTTTGATTAAGCTGAAAACATGTAGTGCTAAAAGAGGTCTTGAAAGCATCGCCTGGGAACTGGTTAGAAATGCTGACTGCAGGCTGGGTGCAGTGGCTCTGGCCTGTGATCCCAGCATTTTGGGAGACCGACCTGGATGCATGGCTTGAGCCCAGGAGTTTGAGACCAGTCTGGGCAACATAGGGAGACCACCCCCTGCCCATGATCTCTACAAAAAGTAAAAAAACTAGCCAGGCATGGTGGTGTGCACCTCTGTAGTCCCAGCTACAGGGGAGGCTGAGGTGGGAGAATCTCTTGAGCCTGGAAAGTTGAGGCTGCAGTGAGCTGTGATTGCCCCACTGCACCTGGTAAAAAAAAAAAAAAAAAAAAAAGACAAGAAAGGCAAATGCAGCCAGCTCCTGAAGGATCTTGGCTGCTGGGTGAAGTTTGGGTGAGGCCAGGTAGGCTATTGTGTTATGAGTTAAATTTTGTTGCCCAAAAATGTGCATGTTGAAGTAAAAAATTTGCATGTTGAAGTCCTAACCCCTCGAAATATGACCTTATTTGGAAACAAGGTCTTTGCAGGTGATCAAGTAAAGATGAGGTCATTATGGTGGACCCTAATCCAATAGGACTGGTGTCCTTATGAAAGGGAAAGGTTGGACAGAGAGACACGCATACCATCTGAAGATGAAGGCCGTGGTTCAGGTGATGCTTCTATAAACTAAGAAAAAACCACCAGAAGCCGGAAAGAGATATGCAGCAGATTTTCCCTCTCTGCCCACAGAAAAATCATTTCTGCCAACACCTTGATCTTGGATCTGTGGCGTCCAAAACTGAGACAATAAATTTCTAAGCCACACAATTGGTGATACTTGTTATTGGCAGCTCTAGCAAACTAATGCATTAGGTTATCAAGAAGTAACTCAGCAGTTAGGATACTATAGTCTTACATTTTTGACTTGGCAGAGACCAGTATATTTGTGCATTAATACCATTAACTTCATTCTTAATATTAGTTCTTGACAATTTAAGCAACACAAAGCTAAACACAACAATAATAGTAGAAAGTCTGCTGAGTGTGGTGGCTGACATCATAATCCCAGTTCTTTGGGAAGCTGAGGTGGGAGGATCTTTCAGGGCCAGGTGTTCAAGACCAGCCTGGCCAACATAGGCAGACCCCCCAACTCCACAAAAAATAAAAAAAAATTAGCCAGGCATGGTGGTGCATGCCTGTAGTCCTAGCTACTCAGGAGGCTGAGGTGGGAGGATCACTTGAGCCTGGGAGTTTGAGGTTGCTGTGAGCTATGATTTCACCACTGTACTCCAAACTGAATGACAGAGGGAGATTCCATCTTTAAAAAACAAAAACAAAAAAACCTAGAAAGTCAAGGAACAATTCAGCATAGTTAGGAGAGAGGACCTATATTCCATAAATAAACTATTCTCCAAAGTTAACATCCTGGACCAGGTATGGTGGTTCATGCCTTTAATCCCAACATTTTGGGAGGTTGAGGCAGGAGGATCCCTTGAGGCCAGGAGTTTGACACCAGCCTGGGTCAACACAGTGAGACACCAGCTAATAAAAAAATTAGCCAGGTGTGTTGAGGCAGAGGATCCCTTGAACCCAGGAATTTGAGGCTACAGTGTGCTATGATTGTGGCACTGCACCCCAGCCTAGGCAACAGAGCAATATCCCATCTCAAAAAGAAGAAAAAAGGAAGGCTTATAGATGATAAAAGTAATTGACAGCCACTTTTTAAAAATTAGCTTTTTGCTTTTATTTATTTATTTTTCTTCCATTTCAGGCTAGCAGTGTGTGACACCATAACAAAGTTTAAGGGCAGCACGTCTCACACATGCGGGTGAATACTCAGTCATCATGCTTATAAACTACAGAAGGATCTGAATGAGTTTCTAGAATAATTCCTAGTCTAAAGGTTTGTAGTTCTATTTTCATGACTATTTTAGGAGCTAGAAGCATTAAATGTAATTAATGATTGTGAAAAGTTGCAGACACAGGCATAACACAAAGCAAGGAGGACACAAAACCTCAGAGAGGCAATAACATACTTTTATTTTCACATTCAATCCTATAAATATCATTGCAAAATCTATATATGTGTTTTGGCACATAATATATTTACTAGTCATCTTAGCTTTGTGAATTTTCTAATTTGCTCTATTTAAAAAAGATTACCATATTTTTTCTAGAGATGGGGTCTTGCTGTGTTGCCTAGGTTGATCTTGAACTCCTAGACTCAAGCAACCCTCCCGTCTCACCTAAATAAGATACCCTGATAGGAGCTTCCAGGTTTAACTTTGGTTGAACCATTAACACATTTGTCTTTATTTTTTAGTTTTACTCATGTATGGCAAAGTGCTGCATTACAAAGTCATATACCATTTGACTCTGTTTTGCTTCTTAGGATTAATGACCACCTTATCTAGATTTTGTGCTTAAAAGGTAAATACTGCTATTAGTTACTTGGAGACCTCTTCACTTTTCCCCTTTCCTCAATTATATATATATACAGCATTTGCCACAAAAGGATATTGCACTGGTAAAAGGAACACTCCATTTGGTCAATTAACAGAATGTCTAACATAGACAAATTACTTCCACTTTAACGTGATTATTTTCCCCACTTCTAAGACAAATTCTATGTTGTGGGAGAAAAATAATAGGGTTGGTGAAAATAAATAATACTACATATAGTGTTTATAAGAAACTAGATGTTGTCTAACTTGAACAGCAAAATAATTACCATAAACTAGAACACTTCTAGTTAACAGATGAAAAAACAAGGGGGTAAGTAGCTTATTTAAAAATCCTTCAAAAAGTAAGTAGAAGGCTGGAATTCTGACTCTAGAGCTTATGTTCTTAACAACTTGTCTAGGCTCCATAACAAATTGTCTGTGTACTTCATTTGTATAACTTTCCAGTCACATAAGTTCTCTCTCTCTCTCTTTTTATTTTTAAATTTTTTTGAGATGGAGTTTCATTCTTGTCACCCAGGCTGGAGTGCAATGGTGTGATCTTGGCTCGCTGCAACCTCCACCTCCTGAATTCAAGCAATTCTCCTCCCTCAGCCTCCCAAGTAGCTGGGATTACAGGCACCCACCACCCTGCCCAGCTAATTTTTGTATTTTTAGTAGAGACAGGGTTTTACAATATTGGCCAGGCTTGTCTTAAACTCCTGACCTCATGTGATCCACCCGCCTCAGCCTCCCAAAGTGCTGGGATTGTAATCTGTATATACAGAATCTAATATACAGAATATAAATTCTGTATATTAAACAAAACAGCAATGAGAATTTCTAGCAGTTTTTCCGTTAGCACCAAGTAGCTGAAAGACATTGAACTAATAAAATGTTTTCTGCTATGACCTTAAGGGTCTTTAAACCTAAAGTTGTTCTTCAGAAGGGTAAGGAATTCCAAAAAATAATGGTCATTATCTGAATTTAAGATCCTGTATTACAGAATCAATACAAATTATAAAAATAGCATTTAAAATGTTTGAATCATTGATAAGAATTCTTCCTACATAATCTTTCATGGGCTTTAGGAATATATGCCTAGCCAGGAAAACCAACCTCACTCAGATATGAAGTCGCTTCTTTGTTTCAGTTTACCATCCGGAGCAAAAGTGCTTGGCCACCTCATTTGAAAACACTGAAACCATGCAAAGCTTCTCTTAGTAGTATTGAGCCGCAAAGATGTAGGATTTATTAGTCAGCCTTTAAAAATATCTGCAGACAACTGTATGAAAAACTTGCCCCATTGTACAATCCTTAGGAGTATAGGATTTGGCCAGGAGTGGTGGCTCACACCTGTAATCACAGCACTTTGGGAGGCTAAGGTGGGTGGATCATTTGAGGTCAGGAGTTCGAGACTAGCCTGGCCAGCATGGTGAAACCCTATCTCTACTAAGAATACAAAAAAAATTAGCCTGGCATGGTGGTGGATGCCTGTAGTCCCAGCTACTTGGAAGGTTGAGGCAGGAGAATTGCTTGAACCCGGGAGGCGGAGGTTGCAGTGAGCCGAGATCTTGCCACTGCACTACAGCCTGGCACAGAGTGAGACTTCGTCTGTAAAAAAAAAAAAAAAATACAGGATTTGGTCAGACTGCCAAGGTTTCAATTCCATCTCCATCTTTTACTAGTTCTGTAATTTTGATGGGGGCATTTAGCCCCTCTGTCTCAGTTTTCTTCTTGGTAAAAAGGGCATACAATTGTATGTATCTTATAGGGTTGCTGTGAGAATTAAATGGGCTAATGCACATAAAGCTCTTCCACAGTGTCTGGCACATAGTAAAATTAGCTCAATAAATATTAGCTATACATAACAAATGAGAACCAATATTGTAAAACCTTCTTCTAACTAGTATAAAGATGAGCAACATTTGGCTTTGGATTATCCTAAAGAAAAAACAGTAAGCAGAAAATTATACCTTTTAAAACTATGATGCCAGGAGCAGTGAGTGGCTCATGCTTGTAATCTCAGCACTCTGAGAGGCTGAGACAGGTGGATCAATTAAACTCAGGAGTTTGAGACCAGCCTGGGCAACATAGTGAAACCCCTTCTCTACAAAAAATACAAAAATTAGTCTGGCATGATGGTGTGTGTCTGTAGTCCCAGCTACTTGGGAGGCTGAGGCAGGAGGATTACATGAGCCCTGGAGGTTGAGGCTGCAGTAAGCTGTAATCATGCCACTACACTCCAGCCTGGGTGACAGAGCAAGACACTGTCTGAGGGTGGGTGGAGTTGGGAGAAAGATGAGCAATGTGTTAAGAGGACAAGTAATTATAAAACTGAGAGAAGAAACTGCATAGAGCCAAAATATATTTTCTCTGAGCTCGTAAAAATGGCAACTCTTTATTTCATCAATATTCCATAACCTTTGCTTATTCTTTTTAGAGCTATCTTGGTGGGGGTGATACTGAAAGTAATAATCAGCCAGGTGAGGTGGCTCATGCCTGCAATTCCAGCACTTTGGGAGGCCGAGGCAGGTGGATCACCTGAGGTCAGGAGTTTGAGACCAGCCTGGCAAACATGGCGAAATCCCGTCTCTACTAAAAATACAAAAAAATTAGCCAGGTGTGGTGGTTCGTGCCTGTAGTCCCAGCTACGTGGGAGGCTGAGGCAGGAGAATCACTTGAACCCAGGAGGCAGAGGTTGCAGTGATCCGAGATCATGCCACTGGACTCCAGCCTGGGTGTGACAGAGTGAGACTCCACCACACAAAAAAAATAAATAAATAAAAATAAAAATAAATAAGGCCTGGCCCAGTGGCTCACACCTGTAATCCCAGCACTTTGGGAGGCAGAGGTGGGCGGATCACCTAAGGTCGGGAGTCCAAGACCAGCCTGGCCAACAAGGTGAGACCCTGTCTCTACTACAAATACAAAATTAGCCAGGCGTGGTGGCGCATGCCTGTAATCCCAGCTACGTGGGAGGCTGAGGCAGGAGAATCGCTTGAACCCAGGAAGCGGAGGTTGTGGTGAGCCAAGATCGTGCCATTGACCTCCAGCCTGGGCAATAAGAGCAAAACTCTGTCTCAAATAAATAAATAAATAATTCCTGAATCTTTTTCCATGGGAGTGTGGAAAATACGAATAAAGTGATTTATATGCTCAATATAATTAATGAATAAGCAGAAATATTCAATTGAATTTAGTTTGCTTCAAAAATTCAGTCACTTCTGCTTAAATAACTTTAAGGTTAAATTAAGAAGAGTTGATGCAAATGCACATATCACTTGGGGACAAAGTTTGATTTTCCTTATTATTAAAGAATAGGGTCTTGATGTTATTCTCACTCTTCCATTTAAAAATTGGAATATAAATAAAGAACAAATGTCATCAATGTATTCTTATTTCAATATTCTAAGTGAAATTAGAATATTGCTTTCAGAATTGATGTTTTAAAGCAGAGTATTGTTGTTGAACATAAATAACGTATAAGTGACTATCAACCTATGTTTCTCCATTCTTTAAATTGTATATAAACTGCAGGTTAAACCCAACAGTTCTGTGATAATTGATGTGAAGCGTAAGGGGAGAGAATCAATGTGAGGTCAAACGTTCACATTAAAATTTAAAGATTAGGTCGGTTATCTGAAAGGATTCATAATGCTTCTTATAGATATATCTAAATGTGTTTTTGTACTAAGAAATATTTGAATCCTGAGTAGCTTAGATATTTACATGCTTTATGGAAAAGATGTGAACCAAATAATCTAAGTTACTTTCTAGCTCTGTAACTCTGTGACACTTCAACGGCTTTTCAAGCATATTATTAATATTAGTGAATGTTATTAAAAAAGAAATAAACTTTTTACATTCAAAGTGGATGAGTTCTAAATATATTTTCAAATGTTATTGGGACTAGCATTACTTTAACAAAAACTTGGTTTTTCAATGATTATTATATCATTCCCATTTACATTTTTCAAATGGAGATGTCATCAATTATTCCATAAATATTCTAAATAACAATAACAGCTCTAAAAGGGATAAATATACCTTTAATATCTATTGTTAAATAAGGATATAAAATGTCATATAATATCTAACTAGATTCAGAAATTATATGATGAGTTAATGGGCTCCTATTTCCTCTTTCAGACAATATAATGACAACATTTTTTTCCCATAGGTTATTGGGGTTACGTAAATTCTTTAGTGGTGATTTCTGAGATTCTGGTGCACCCATCACCCGAGCAGTATACATTGCACCATATTTGTAGTCTTTTATCCCTCACTCCCTCCCACCCTTTTCCCCCAAATCCCCCAAGTCCATTGTATCATTCTTTTTTTTTTTTTTTTTTTTGAGACAGAGTCTTGCTCAGTGGACCAGGCTGGAGTGCAGTGGCGCGAACTCTGCTCACTGCAAGCTCCGCCTCCCGGGTTCACGCCGTTCTCCTGCCTCAGCCTCCCGAGTAGCTGGTATTACACGCGCCCGCCACCACTCCCGGCTATTTTTTCGTATTTTTAGTAGAGATGGGGTTTCACCATGTTGGCCAGGATGGTCTCGATCTCTTGACCTCGTGATCCACCCGCCTCGGCCTTCCAAAGTGCTGGGATTACAGGAATAAGACACCGCGCGCAGCCGTTGTATCATTCTTATGCCTTTGTGTCCTCATAGCTTAGCTCCCACATATCAGTGAGAACATACAATGTTTGGTTTTCCATTCCTGAGTTACTTCACTTTGAATAATAGCCTCCAGGGCCAGGCACTGTGGCTCATGCCTATAATCCCAGCACTTTGGGAGGCCGAGACAGGTGGATTACCTGAGGTCGGGAGTTTGAGACCAGCCTGACCAACGTGGAAAAACCCCGTCTCTAATAAAAATACAAAATTAGCCGGGTGTGGTGGCACATGCTTATAATCCCAGCTACTCAGGAGGCTGAGGCAGGAGAATCACTTGAACTCAGGAGATGGAAGTTGCGGTGAGCCAAGATTGTGCCATTGCATTCCAGCCTGGGCAACAATAGCGAAAGTCCGTCTCCAAAAAAATAAATAAAATAGCCGGGCGTAGTGGCGGGCGCCTGTAATCCCAGCTACTTGGGAGGCTGAGGCAGGAGAATGGCGTGAACCCGGGAGGCGGAGCTTGCAGTGAGCCGAGATCCCGCCACTGCACTCCAGCCTGGGCGACAGAGCGAGACTCCGTCTCAAAAAAAAAAAAAAACAAAAACAAAATAAAATAAAATAAAAAATAGCCTCCAGTCTCATCCAGGTCTCTGCAAATACACTTAATTCATTCCTTTTTATCTTGAGTAATATTCTATCATATATGTATATACCACAGTTCTTTGGTTGTATATACATATATATATATATGTATATACCACAGTCTCATTGGTTGACAGGCATTTGGGTTGGTTCCACGATTTTGCAATTGCAGACAGCATGTGTTTTTATTAAACTGTGGAAGAGTAGAAGAAGGGAAGTCTCATCCAAACTCTTTACTTTTCGTTAACTATTTAGGTCATTTTAAAATATTTCTTTTTTTTTTTTTGAGACCACATCTCACCTTGTCACTCAGGCCAGAGTGCAGTGGTGGGATCACAGATCATTGTAACCTTGACTTCTCAGGCTCCAGGTATCCCCTTGCCTCAGTCTCCTGAGAAGCTAGGACTACAGGCATGAGTCATCATGCCCAGCTAGTTTTTTTTTTTTTTTTTTCTTTTTTTTTAATGGAGACAGGGTTTCACTATGTTGCCCAGGCTGGCCTCAAACTCCTGGGCTCAAGCAATGCTCCCACCTTGGCCTCCCAAAGTGCTAGGATTATAGGTGTGAGCTTTGTCCACCTTTTAAATATTTCATTTAGAACTTTTATGTGTCACTCTTTCAGACACTGATGATACATCAGTGAACAAAACAGACAGATATCCCTGCCCTTGTGACACTCACATTCTAATATGGGGTGATTGGCAATAGACACAATAAATAAGACAAAATATGTAGTATGCTAAATCATGATAAGTGCTGTGGATAAAAAACAAAACAAATAAGAGGTTAGAAAATATTGGTGAGGAAGAGTGGTGAAGGTTTCAGCAGAGTCAGGTAGCAGCTAACATCCAGGTCCTGTAACCTTAATAGCACTCAAGAATCATTTAAATTTAAATTTAAATTTAAAAACCTCACCTTGGCTTTACTCAGGCACTTTTGGTCACTTATTCCTTTGTAATCCTGTGGCACTGAAACATACCTGTCATACTTAACACGCTGCATTGCATTTATTTGTTTAACTGTCTGGTTTCCTCATTAAATTAAACTAAACTGAACTACAGCAGTTTAGTTCAGGATTAAGGATTATTTATCTTTGCATTTTCAGAAGCTAGCACAGTGTCTCTCATATTGTAGGTATTTGTTGAAGAGTGATTTGATCAATTTTATTCAGAAGAATCTGTTTGGGACCACTTTCTGCTTTTTCTTTGATCTCATTCTTTCCAAGGTGAGTGATCAATAAAAAAGGATCACTGAAATGTTACCAAATTTTATTTGATTAATACCAATCATTAGGTAAACCCTGAGACTTTGAATATTACAATTAAACATATGTCAGGAGAGGCAAAGTCTTAATAGGCAATGATTTCTTATTTGTATCTTGTGTATTCCAGTTCCTGAACAAGCTACTAAAAATAAGTCAATTTATTCCTTAATTTACCACATATTTATTGAGCACCTATTATGTTTGGATTTTCCAAACACTGTTAGTTCGTGAGATGCTTTTGGTGGCATATGGGCATTTTACAATTTTTCTTTATTTTACATATATTCAAATATATGTAATATATTATTACATGGAATATAATTCCATGGGTAATTCATGGAAACTTTTTCCTAGGAAAAAGTTATATTTTATCAAAAGTAAGTTGATTTCCTAATCAGGCATATTGGCACATGCCTGTAGTCTCAGCTACTTGGGAGGCTGAGGTAGGAGGATTGCTTGAGCCCAGGAGTTCCAGGTTGCAGTGAGCTGTGATTGTATCACTACTCTTCAGCCTGGGCAACAGAGACCCTATCTCTAAAAATAAAAATAAAGAATAACAAGTAAATTGATTTGAGGAAAAATGTTACATTAGGCTGGGTGCCATGGCTCACGCCTCTAATCTGAATACTTTGGGAGGCCGAGGTGGGCGGATCACGAGGTCAGGAGTTCGAGACCAGCCTGGCCAATATGGTGAAACCCCATCTCTACTAAAAATACAAAAAATAGCTGGGCATGGTGGCACGTGCCTGTAGTCCCAGCTACTCGGGAGGCTGAGGCAGGAGAATTGCTTGAACTCGGGAGGAAGAGGTTGCAGTGCGCGGAGATTGAGCCACTGCACTCTAGCCTAAGTGACAGAGCAAGACTCCGTCTCAAAAGGAAGAAAAAAAAAAACCCACAAAAATTAGCCGGACGTGGTGGTGGGCACCTGTAATCCCAGCTACTTGGCTGAGACAGGAGAATTGCTTGAACCTGGGAGGCGGAGGTTGCAGTGAGCCAAGATCGCGCTACTACACTCCGGCCTGGGCGACAGAAATAGACAACATCTCAAAAAAAGAAAAAAGAGAGAGAGAAAAAGAAAAATGTTACATTAATAATAAAAAAAAGGACCAAAAATAGTGAGTGGTATGTATAAATGTTGCAAGTTTGAGAAATAATATACCATGAATTATGCGATAGCAACCAAGGGACTTCTACCCATTCTCCCTGACCAGCCAAATGGACTGTGTGGGGCCAAGGTGAAAGTTTCCCCTGGGCCCTCTGAAGGTTCACTGGAAATCACTGACATAAAGCAGATTAATAGGATAAAAGGCATTCAGATTTATT
The DNA here is from genome assembly GCF_000001405.40 of Homo sapiens. Classification (NCBI taxonomy): domain Eukaryota; kingdom Metazoa; phylum Chordata; class Mammalia; order Primates; family Hominidae; genus Homo; species Homo sapiens. The sequence continues at coordinate 156,418,667 of NC_000002.12, forward strand.
TAACATGTATACAAGGGGAGAATCACAGTGATTACCCAAGCACCGTGATTCCAAAGCTTTCATACAATCCTGGTGTACGTTATGGGAGGGGGAAGAAGGGGAATTCTGTTGAGGGCATTATTAGGGAGAATGAGTGGATCAGAGAACAGATTAATTTGTACATTGTCTTGTGAAAGTTTCTGTTCAGGTGTGGGTTCATTCTTGGCCTTACAGAGAGAGAAAGAAAAAACAATTATTCCTTTAGATGGATCTGGATTGCAGGCGGATAAAGGCTTAGGGAGAGACTGTGGGGTGTGAAGTAGGGGCAGGTCAGGGAGGCCCGGCGGCTTCTTCAGTTCAGCATGTCAACTTGCCATATTTCGGGATACTATTTTCTTTCCTTCTTTTTTTTTTTTTTTTTTTTTTTTTTTGAGATGGAGTTTCACTCTTGTTGCCCAGGCTGGAGTGCAATGGTGCAATCTTGGCTTATCGCAATCTCTGCCTCCCGGGTTCAAGAGATTCTCCTGCCTCAGCCCCCCAAGTAGCTGAGATTACAGGCATGTGCCACCACGGCCGGCTAATTTTGTATTTTTAGTAGAGACGAGGGTTCTCCATGTTGGTCAGGCTGGTCTCGAACTCCCAGCCTCAGGTGATCTGCCCACCTGGGCCTCCCAAAGTGCTGGGATTACAGGCGTGAGCCACCACGCCCAGCCCAGGGTACTGTTTTCTAAGCTCCAACAACTGTGAAGTATGATCACTAATAATGAAGCTTAGTTTTATAAAGAAATGGCATTTATTTTTAGTTTTAAGGAGAAAAGCTTCAACATTCCAGTTCTTCTTTTGTTGTTGATGTTGTTTCTGGTGGCTTTACATTTATCTGTCTGAATGGCATAAAGCCTCCTTACTGATAGGTCTCATTGGGATCTCTTCCACTTCCCATATTTTCTCTTCTGGTTTTCTTCTTTTCTTAGCCTCTTTTGTTTTCTTTCATAATCATCATCCTCCTTATCATCAACAAGAACAAGATTGAAGAGACAGAATGTGGTTGAGTTTGCATTTACAAGTAGAGGAGATTGGTCTTCTACCATCTCCTTAAATTTTCACCTAAGTGTTTTTATAGTGAAGTGATTATCAAAACATATAATTTTAGGTACCAATCAAAAACTTGTAAGTGCTCTATGGCTAATCCTGTTTTTCTTAACCAAAACCATTGTCTTATTTAACATGAAAGGTGATGCTGACTAAAGTTACACAGCATTTTTAAGGTCTAACAAACTTTGAAACTTAGCTCTCTAAGTATATTTGGAATACAGAAAATTGTAGAATACACAAATGTCACTTGGTCCAAAATGTATTTTTCCCTTTGGGTTTATTCCAAATCCTACTATACCTATCTGAAAAAATTATTTAACTACTTAATGAAATATTTGGCATCCTAACAATTGCTCAGATTTTATTGCAAGGTGGTTATCTCTAGTCAGATTCTTTTAAGAGACTAATACAATGAAATACATATCTCTATCAGATTTATTTCTTTCCTTTTTTTTTCTTTTTGAGGCAGAGTCTCACTCTGTGGAATGCAGTGGCGTGATCTCGGCTCACTGCAACCTCTGCCTCCTGGGTTCAAGCAATTCTCCTGCCTCAGCCTCCCTAGTGGCTGGGACTACAGGTGTGTGCCACCAGGCCTGGCTAATTTTTTGTATTTTTAGTAGAGACAGGGTTTCACTCTGTTAGCCAGGATGGTCTCAATCTCCTGACCTCATGATCAGCTCGCCTTGACCTCCCAAAGTGCCGGGATTACAGGCATAAGTCACCGCTCATGGCCCATCAGTTGTATTTCTACCTATTTTGCATCTCTTAAAATATCAACTAGATAATGTTAAATAAAGTGCCATAATTTCTCCTATTTTAGTTTCAGCTGCATAATTTTACAGTTTAAAAGGTTGGTCAATAGAAACTAACATGATATAAAAACAAAACTAATTTCATTTCATTTAGCATCTATTGATCATACTTTGAGCTGTTTAAATCTTTTTTGCTGCAACCTCCTATAAAGTCATTTACACATTGAAAATAGAAATTGATATATAAGAAGGAGATACCTAGAGAACTTCTAAGACATCATTTAGATCTCATTTTTTTCTCATTACATCTCCTGGAATGTTAGTGAATGAGTTTTATATGCCACAGGATGCTAGAAAGAATTTGAGATACAAGGCTCCTTGCTGCATATTCACTATAAAAGCAGTGAAGCCCAAATAATGCTCCAAAAAACAAATGGATGGGACCTGTATTTTTCATGGAATGTTTTTACCTTGTTGAATCTACTCACAGATTCTTTATTGACAGCCTACAGAATAGAGTTTATTCACAATTAATGTGCATGCAAATCACCAGGAAACTTCTTAAACTGCAGATTCTATATAGTAGGTCTGTGGTAAGGTCTGAGATTCTACATTTCAAGTAAGTTCCCAGGTGAAGCTTTTATCACTAATACAGGAACCACCCTTTGAGTAGCAAAGATCTAGAATAGGTTGTTCAATATGGTGTAGTCTGAGGACTACCTACATCTGAATTAGCTGAGGTGCTCATTAGAATGCAGATCCTCTGTCCCCAAACTGTTTTTACAGAGTTGAAATCTGTGTACGTACCCTTTACTCCTAGGAATAAGTTTTTATATAATCATTGCATGTTATTTTTCCATACACTAAATTAAAAACAATGACAACTTTGCATAAGTAGCCTGCAGTTCTGTACTTTTCCTGGGGGCAGAAAGAGGTTGAGTAGATATTAGAAGAGTAGGATAAAAGGTAATAGTTGTTTGGCTTACTTGAAAATTCTGTCTGGTATGTGGATCATGAAAATGTGCGTGTTAACATTTTAGGTGCTCCAGCTCTTTACAGTCTGCTAAAGAGTTGAATGAAAAAAAAAATTCCCAACTCTTATCCTTCAATCTTTTATCTTAGATTATCCCTAAAGTTCTCTTTTGAAACTACTCATCTTTATAATCTACTAACCCAAAATATGTCTTGCCTTAGAGTATGATGTAAGATCAACTTGAAGGCAATGAACTTCTTCCTGTTGATGTTTTCCCCTCACTTTTCTTTCTGCTTCTCTTCTGCTTATCCTTCAATACCCAGCTCTGGTATCCCCTTCTGATTTTCCTTAAGAATGCTAAAAAGTGTTAAAAAGTATTTAAGTCAGGTGCAGGGGCTCATGCCTGTAATCCCAGCACTTTGGTAGGCTGAAGAGGGAGGAAGGCTTAAGCCCAGGAGTTCAAGACCAGCCTGGGCAACATAGTGAGAACCCATCTCTACAACAGCAATAAAAAATTAGCTAGGCATGGTGGTGCATACCTGTGGTCCCAGCTACTTGGGAGGCGGAGGTGGGAGGATTGCTTGAGTACAGGAGTTTGAGTTTATAGTTAACTATTATTGGTCCACTGCACTCTAACCAGGATGACAGAGTGAGAAAAGTATTTAAAATGTTCATCAACTTTGACTTAATTTCACTTAAAGGATATATCCTTAAGAATCAATTTGACAAGTTGTCTTTTTATAGTTCATAAGTGTGATGATTGGGTTTTTATGCTCTTGTATGTGATGCCCCTCTCCTCAAATCTTGTCATGATGTTGGCACATTACCCATCTGATGTTAAAAAAGAATCAACTGGACAAGGAAACAAAGATATTCAAAGTAATGTTATCTATAATACAGATTGGAAACTGTCTTTGTAGGTTGTTGAATAGGCAGTAAGCAGAATAAATCAGCATATACCTTTCCATTAAAATACTATGCAGGCAGGCTGGGCACAGTGGCTCACTCCTGTAATCCCAGCACTTTTGGAGGCTGAGGTGGGTGGATCATGAGGTCAGGAGATCGAGACCATCATGGCTAACACGGTGAAACCTCATCTCTACTAAAAATACAAAAAATTAGCGGGGCATGGTGGCAGGCACCTGTAGTCCCAGCTACTTGGGAGGCTGAGGCAGGAGAATCCCACTTGAACTCAGGAGGCGGACCTTGCAGTGAGCAGAGATTGCGCCACTGCACTCCAGCCTGTGCAACAGAGTGAGACTCAGAAAAAAAAAACAAAAACAAACAAACAAAAAAAAACTATGCAGGCAGTAAAAACAAAGATATAGATTCACATTTCTTGTCACTGAATGATGTTCTCAATATTTTGTTGAAAGAGGATTTACAGGACATTATATTGATAATAATTCTAATATTAAAAATAAATAAATACCATATTTAGTTCACTGATGTGGTCTAAGTGCTTAGAATGGAGAGCTCAATAAATATTTGTTAGGTGAATGAATAAATATTTGTTAGGTGAATATTGATTGCTTTATATGCCCCAGGGATTGTTCTAAGAACTGTACTTTTATCTTGTAATTTATCTTTACAGTAATCCATGGAGGTAGGTCCCATTACCCATATATTATAGATGAGGAGACTGATGCTCAGAGAGATTAGGCAGATTGCCTAAGGTCATAAAGGTAGTAAGTGACAAGATTTGGTTTTGAATGATCTGATTCAAAGCCCATGTTTTCACATATTTTTGTTTTCTATTATTTTTATAAGATGTACATAAAATGTCTATAGCAAGTTATTAGGTTGGTGCAAAAGTAATTGCAGTTTTTGCCATTAAAAGTAATAACACTGGTTAATTGTGACACAAGTAGTCAGATTATAGGGGCTGGGTTTCTTTTTTCCTCTTTTGTATATATATTTTCATGTTTCCAAAATGAGCATGAGTTCTTTCTGTAATAAAATACCTACATTAAAAAGAGCATTTTTGGTTAGTTTCACCACCACTGACAAAAAGGCATTTATGGGATTTTTCTTTTTGGAAAGAATGAATCATTTTCTTGCCATGCTATCTCAAAACACTGTTCCACATCTATTTTCTGCTCTTTTTACTCTCTTATGGTAATTATTGTTTCAATGCCGTTCTTTCCAACTTGGCTAAGTTACAGAATATATTTTATTTATCTTTGTATTTTTAGGGCTAATACAATGCCTGGAGCATCAGATATATATCCAAAAAGATTTATTTAATTGAAAAAGAATCTTAAAACAGTAAAATCAGTGTTTGTCATTCCATTTTTCTTTGCCCCATTCCTTGTTGTTGCAGTAAAATATTTTGTGTTTGTTCCCAGGTTCCTCCAAGGCAGAGCCGATCTCCACTGCCCTTTATCTCCTACCGCTAAGAGCAGTAGCCAGTAAGTGTAAAAACTCAAAACAAAGCGCTTTCCTATCTCCCCAGTGGAGTAAAAGCAGTGAAGCCCAAATAATGCTTAGTTACCAAAAGCCACGCCAGGTGGCTAATCGAAAGGGTATTGATTTTAGCCAGTAAATAGCCCTTAATATAGTTGGAACCTGGGTTGAATATGCAGTTTGGTAATTAGCTAATAAAGCAAACAAGGGCTGGAGAGAACGTGGCGCAGTTGGATAAGCAGCAGCCCATCATCCAGGAAGCTCGCCTATGTCTAATACCTTCTCATATGAAGGACTCAGGTTACCTTCAGGACTTTCCAGCCATTAAATAAGGAAAAAAAAAAAACACTATAAACCTATCATAGAATATGAGATATAACTAAAAGCAGTTGTAAATGTTTTGCAAATATTACATGCAATAGTAATGTTTCCTGAAGACAGATGTTGCAATTTAATAATCTTAAGTGAGGAGGTTTAATAACTATTTTAGATCATCAGGATAATGTTTAGTGTTCTAGGATAATTATTAAACAATTCTCAGTTTGTTAAATCATCTGATACTCCAGACAAATCCATAGCTTGGTTACTTCTCATATTATCCTGCAACTGCTCAAGGACACAGTAAAGTGGTAGAGGCCAGTCAGGAAAAGAGAGAAAGGAAGAAGAAAATCAAGGATAAAGGGTCAGAGAGCTAAGGAAACAGATTAAAATGAAAGGACTTAGATCAGAGATGGTAAATTTGAAGACTAGATGTGAGCTCTAGCATCCAAATGCATTATATCAAACCTGCAGTTTTTTGTTCTTGTTTTATTGCCTTTTTAAGGTTTGACTGCTAATAATTTCTTAAAGTCAAAAAAGTATCTTACACAAAAATCTCAGATTTCCAGTTTATTTTGAAAATTCAGAATATTTAGTAACACTGGGCTTAATTCCCCCATGACAACAATGGACAAAAGCTTTGTAGAAGTTACCACTTTTATTTATGCTAAAAATTTTGATTATGAACATCTTAAAGCTTATTGTAAATTAGAAAGAAAAATATCTATTCATCTACCTCTAAATTCAATAACTTAATACATTGCCATATTTATTAAGAATAGTTTCCTACATAACGCCAATATTAACACACTGAAAAAAAACTGTAATTTCCTAATGCCATGTTTCCTCAGTTCATATTCAAATTTCCCCATTCTTCCTAAAATGTCATTTATATTCATTTTATTTTTTTTTTTGTTTTTGTTTTTCTGGAGATAGGCTCTTGCCCGTCACTCAGTCTGGAGTGCAGTGGTGTAATCCTGCCTCACTGTAACCTCAAACACTCCTGGGCTCAAGTGATCCTCCAGCCTCAGCCTCCTGCAGAGCTGGGATTACAGGTGCATACCACCAGAACTGGCTAATTTTTTTATTTTACTTTTTGTAGAGACAGAGTTTCACTATGTTGCTCAGGATCTTCTTGCTTTGATCTCCCAAAGTACTGGGGTTACAGGAATGAGCCACCATGCCTGACCTGCATTTATCTTCTTTTCAAGCCGTTATTCAATTAAAACACATGCTTTGTATTTGATTATGTCACTTAAGTCAGTTTTACCCCAGATCAGACCCTCTCTCCCTTTTCTTTTCTTCTGTGACAGTGTTGTTGAAGAGGAATCAGTTGTCTTGTTGACTATAATTTATACCTAATGGGTTAATTAACTCAGGTTAAGTATTTGGGGCAAAAATCATCTAGAAGTGATGGTGCAGACTTTATATTACATCGCATAAAGAGGTGGGTAATTTCTGGTTTTCCTAGCTGGTCACAAAAAGTTTGATACAAGGTTAAGGTCGAGAGCCAACCCCTGTGGATGTGGCATGCTTTCTCCAATTTGCCACAGACCCCACCACTCCTTATTTGTTTTACAATAGCCTAATGAACTCACTTTACCTTGCCTGGGAGGCATATGTGAAATCTGACCGAACATATATCACATACTACAGTCCGGGTGTGTGATAAAAGCATATACTCCTTGTATTAGTTCGTTTTCATACTAGTGTAAAGAACTGCCGGAGTCTGGGTACTTTTTTTTTTTTTTTTTGAGACACAGTTTCACTCTGTTGCCCAGGCTGGAGTGCAGTGGCGCCATCTCGGCTCACTGCAAGCTCCGCCTCCCCGGTTCACGCCATTCTCCTGCCTTAGCCTCCCCGAGTAGCTGGGACTACAGGCGCCCACCACCACGCCAGGCTAATTTTTTGTATTTTTAGTAGAGACGGGGTTTCACCGTTTTAGCCGGGATAGTCTCGATCTCCTGACCTCGTGATCCGCCCGCCTTGGCCTCCCAAAGTGCTGGGATTACAGGCGTGAGCCACCACGCCCGGCCAAGTCTGGGTACTTTATAAAGGAAAGAGGTTTAATTGACTCACTGTTCAGCATGGCCAGGGAGGCGGCAGAAAACTTACAATCACGGCAGAAGGTGAAGGGGAAGCAAGACACCTTCTTCACAAGGCAGCAGGAAGAAGTGCCCAGCAAAGGGGTAAGAGTCCTTTATAAAACCATCAGATCTCATGAGAGCTCACTCACTGTGGTGAGAACAGCATGGGGGAAACTGCCTGCATGATTCAATTACCTTCACCTGGTTTCTCCCTTAACACATGGGAATTATAATTCAAAATGAGATTTGGGTAGGGACACAAAGCCTAACCATCACTCCTGTATCCCTAGAACAATAGAATATTGCCTGATACACAAGTGGTGCTCAACAAATACCCATTGAAAGACTGTTGTTAGAAACATCTAAATTAGAAACACCTGGAAGGAACTAGGATGTGCGGAAGATTTTGCAACCCATATTCCTGAACTACATGTAGCTCAGAGAAGCCTTTTGTCCTTATATAGAGAGAACAAACTGGAGAGGCTGCCAGCTCTAGGGAATGGTTTTTTTCTTTGAACTGGAAAGAAAGGTACAATCCCAGTGGAGAAATTTAAAAAAAAAAGAGGAAGAATAAATTTAAGATTCTGTGGCAGTCAAGGGTTTTTGTTATGAAGGGCCTGATGCAGATTGGGCTTTCCAGAGCAGATACTGAGATGGAATATGACATGCAGGTGATTTATTAGGATTAATACTTCTGAAAGGAAGAGGGCAGAAGCAGAGTTGGGCAGAGGGAGAAATTGGATTGTGATGCAATCTCAATCAACCCCTGAGGGAGTTCTAGAGCATATATGGCCCATCAGAGTTATTTTCCAATTATCTGGCTGAGTCTCTATACCCCAGCCTCATTCAGTCACAGGACAACAACTAACTCAGCAAAGGAATGGCCTTGACTGAGGCAGCTTTCAGCAGTCCAGACAAATTCTGAAGGAGCTGGCTGCTGAAAGCCACTTACTGAAGATGCTTCCAGGAGCTGGAGAAATAAGTTCTGCTTGAAAGAGGAACTGAGTGGTATAGCCATCTGTCTGCCTCGGACCCCACATTTAAAATTCTGCTCTTATCTCTAAATGAGGCTGTGGAAATAGTTACTGAAGTATTCTTTTGCTAAGAATTAGTTGACTAATTGTAAACACTCAAATTATACTGTAATTTTTTTCAAACTTGTTTTAGTATTTATTAGTTAGGAATCTCAAAAAGTACAAAATAAAATGGTCCAGGCATCTCTCAAATTTTACAAGGCTTTGGTATTGCTTGAATGTCCCACAGGATACAAAATTGAGCCCATTTACATGGTTGTAAATTGCTTTGGCATTCTGAATTAAAGACATCCTACAAATGTCAATGATGTACTGAAGATCTAGCTCTAGAAAGATAGATTGGCATTAGTGCCAAAGGGAAATAAATGGAGAAAGCTGTATTAGTTTCCTATTGCTGTTATAACAAATTGCCACAAACTTGGTTGTTACAGCAATGAAAATTTATTGGTTGACAGTTCTGGAGGCCAGAAGTTGAAAATCAACATCACTAGGCTGAAATCAAGGGGTCAGCAGGGCTGCACTCCTTCTGGAGACTCTAGGGAGAATCCATTCTGTGTTTCTTCCAGTTTCTGGTGGCTGCAGACCTTTCTTGGCTTGTGTCTGCATTACTCCAATCTCTGTATTCATGGTCACTCTGTCTTCTATTCTGCTGTGTGCATACAATCTTCCTATTACTTTTCTCTTTTAAGGATAAGTATGATTGCATTTAGGGCCCACACCCATAATTCAGGGTAATCTCTCCATTTCAGGATACTTAATCACATCTCCAACTCCCCCACTTCTCCCCACTGCTGGGCCCAATAAGGTAAAATTGACAGGTTCCAGGGATCAGAATGTGAATAACTTTGGGGAGGCCATTATTCAGTCTACCATAGTGTAGCTTCTCAGTCTTTGCTTTAGCTCTCATTAGGCTGCAGACTTTGCTTTCTACCTACTGCAACAGCAGGACCCAAAAGGACACCCTATGTAAAGTGAAAGGATACCCTATGTCCAGGGTGGGCCTCATGGTGAAAAAACTAGAATTTCAACCTCCAGCATTCTGAGACCCACTTTAGGAAGGCCACCTTTGTGAGGGCAGGACTTTTGCTGTATTTCAATACTATAAGAGGACCAGGTTGACAGTGAAGAACACAATAAAAATTGGCTTGTACCACATTTGACTATTGAAAGATATTTTTTAGAATACACATTACTCTAGATTTACTAGAATAAAAAAGTTTCTAGATGCCCTGACACCAGTTTCTAGCTATTTCTCATATGTCAAGTTGTTTCATTCTCAGAAGCTTGGCTAGCAGTTAGGCAGGAAGGGAACAGGATTATTTATTTACAGCGTGGCCTAGAGAATTTTTAAATAATACACTTCCCATTAAATTGTAAAATTTCTCCTTGATGGATGTTACATTTAACCATTCTCTCCTTCTACTTTACGCCTCCCTAAAGAGCTCTTTCAAAAATGAACTTTAATTTGTAACTGAAGGATAACAGAACAAAGATTCTCTGCTTTCCTGTCTTCCATTTTTCAGGCTTTATATGATGATTTTGCTGATAGAGGAGGAATGAAGGAGATTTGCTTTTCAGGCCAAGGAACAGCACCTGTTACCCTCTGGCCTATGCTCTGTGCGTGTAAAAAACTTTCCTCTTGGCTTAGCAGAAATTAGGTCAATGCCTACATGTTTGAAGGCTAAGATACAACATCCTCACTTTAAAGCTAATCATGTACAGACATAAATCCTGTCTGTTGCTATTGTTATGCTGTTTTTGCTATTCAAATTCATTCATTTTCTTTTTTTAAAATCATGTTATAACATTATAAACAGTGGTCAAGTTTATTTTAAGCATTTACTGCTGAGATTTAAACCATTTCCAGGTTATATAAAATGTATTCAGATGTGGGACTGAACAAATCTCCAGTTTCTTGGGTTATTTACCATTGGTTCAGTTACCTCTTTCACTAGGATGATAACTAAGCTTTACTCTGAAAAGCTGAATTCTCTATTTTGTTTCAGCTCCCACAACAGAACTTAATACTTATTCATGTTCTCTGCAAGAGTTTCTTGGGACATTTCTGCTTACCCACACTTTCCTGCTGTTATTAAATAGGTGGCTATGTTCCAGAGACAACATTATTGAGTTTACATTATGAAAATTTATAAAAGCTAGTTTTCAGTGCTACCCTGTCCCAGGGACAAAGTGGATTCCTGTTTAGGGAAGGAATACACATTTCCTTTACCCTCAGGCCTTTAAATCTAAGTAAGTTTCTTGGTGCCACTTTATATTGATGCTTTAGACATTTATTTTAAGAATACATTCCCAGTTCTTATAAAGCAGAAATAAAACTTAAAGTACCCATTTAAAAATATATTTAGTATTTTTATTTCATCTTTTCAAGGATCATATATTTTCACTTCATTCTTGATTCTAACTCTTTCAGAATCACTGACATGGAAAGATTTTCTGTTGGATATTTTTAGATGTCTATAACTCTGCTGTTAAGAATTCGTGTATCAAGTAGGTGGAGATCTACCAAATGAGCTGTTCTTATCTTAAGATCCCAAAGTGATTGGTCTGATCCTGCTCAAGGATTTAAGATTTTCTTGGACAGCACTGTTAATCTTTTAGATACTCTATATTAGTTTTGTTTATTGGTAAGTAGTAAACTTGTAGTCTTTAATTTTTGGTTAACTTCTTAGTGTTTGCAACTATTGTTAACAATGGATACGATTATGTTAGATGCATATATAACATAACTTTCTAATTCATGTAAACTACCTAAACTGTACCCAAATTAAAGAATATAATGAAAAAAATATGTGAACATACAAAGCTCAGAACAAAGTGTTTTGGCAGGATATGCTTGTGATCTAGGGAGGAAAACTGACATTGGTAATAGTTCTATTGACAACTTATATACCAGGCATTTTACAAATATTATCCCACTCAATCCCAGTTTGGCCATCTGCTAGGTGTGGTGTCTTCAGCATATTACTTAATAGGTTTGTACCTTAATTTCCCCATTTGGTGGAATGAAACAAAAGAAAAAAAAACAGAAAAACAAAATACTTACATAGTTATGCTGAGGATTAAGGATTACATCACCTTGTTAAGACTAGTGCCTGAGATAAAGTAAACACCATATGAATGTTTGATATTAACATCCTTCACTGATAAGGATACCGAGGTTCTGGAAAGCTAGAGAACCAGACCATGGTTGAAGAACTTACAAGAGATGACTTGAGCTCACACAGTGTTCTCTATACCAAGCAGTTTCTCATTTTAGTCTTGGCTCCATGTTTAGCTAATGTTGTAATACTGCTGAGCTTTGGTTTTGTTTCTTAGAAAATGAAAGTGTGGGGTTAACATTTACAGCCCAGTTCAGTTCTAGTATTCCATACATTTTACTTTGAGCTTTGGTAACCAATGAACACTTACCTGGCTATGGGAAAAATTTGTTTTTCTCTAGAAATGGGCAAGGACTAAAATAGTTGGCTCTAGACATGTGGTGATCATTAAAAGTACATGGTAGACTCATCACTGGAAAGTACCCACATGGTGGGAAAAGGTCAATCCCAGAAGCTGCGTTTAAGATGTCTTAGTAGCAGGTAGCCTACTCTCCAAGTTTGGGAAGGAAAAAACTTCTTGCTCATTTTGTTACACCAGGATATAGGTGACAACCTAAATTCGTCTGACAACACAACAAAAACAAGATAAATGAATGGTGGACCAACTTAGGCTTCTGTAAGACAGGTATGGGTGAAAAAGGGAAAGCTTTTCAGATTTTTGTGGCCATATGAGGATGAAAACCCATGACTGTCCTTGAGTTTTCTTAGGCACAGGAGAAAGGAGTTAGGTGGCACCAAAGTTATTTGACACCAGAAATCTGAAAGACAGTAAACATAGTTTCATTCCAAATGCTGAGTCATTCTTATGGGGAAGAAGAGAAACACTTAAGACTCTCACTTCCCTGAGGTCTTGGTCTTCACTAGATTGCCTTCTGCTGAAATAATTACTTCATGTTTTAAAATTTGGTTATGGTCATTGTTTCCTTTCTCATAACCCCACTTAGTCTTCCTACACTTTTAGTTTTAAACCTCTTTATTTGTTTGATTTGGTTTTAATACTATAAGCAAAAAAGAAGCAGTAGCAAGTGTTTGTTGAGAAGGGAAGGTTTTTGTTTTTTGCTTTTTTTTTTCAATATTGTCTGTGGAGCTGGCATAGTAATTACTGAGAGCAATTCCTAAATTAATGATTATCTCCCACTTCTCCATGAAAGTATCTTAATAATGAAAAGAAAGTGCTTAGGCATATAGGAAATTGTGTTCCTGTTACATACTCTAATCAGCAACCAAACCCTTTCAGTGGAATTCTTGTTATATTAGGAGCAAGACACAGGGCTAGAGATAGGGAGGCAGAAAGCTACTTAGATACTCATAAAAAGAATTGTCAAAAAAGGCTTTAAAGTGTTATGTATTAGGCTAGAAAGAAAAATTTGTTATTATATTTTATTCTCTTTAGAAAAGATTCATGGAATAAATAGGGCATAGTGTTTTATTTTATACGTGTCTGCGTGTCTGTGAAATCTTTTTTTTTTTTTTTTTTTGAGATAGAGTCTCGCCCTGTTGCCCAGGCTGGAGTGCAATGGCGCAATCTCAGCTCACTGCAACCTCTGCCTCCCGGGTTCAAGCAATTCTCCTACCTCAGCCTCCCGAGTAGCTGGGACTACAGGCGTGTGCCACCAGACCTGGCTAATTTTTGTATTTTTTACTAGAGACAAGGTTCCACCATGTTGGTCAGGCTGCTCTTGAACTCCTGACCTCAGGTGATCCTCCTGCCTTGGCCTCCCAAAGTGCTGGGATTACAGGCATGAGCCAACGTGCCCGGCCAGTATCTGTAAAATCTTAAAAGAATGATCATAAACCTCTACATTTTGAAATTAATATTCATTAAAAATTTTTTAATTTCCATTTTTATTTTAGATTCAGGGGCTACATGTGTAGGTTTGTTTCAAGGGTAGATTGTGTGGTGCTGAGGTTTGGACTTCTATTGATTCCATCACCCACATACTGAACATAGTACCAAATTGGAAGTTTTTCAGCCCCTGTCCCCCTCCCTCCTTTTGGATTCCCCAGTGCCTATTCCCATCTTTATGTCTGAGTGAAACCATGATTTAGCTCACACTTACAAGTGAGAACATGTGATACTTGGTTTTCCGTTCCTACATTAATTTGCTTAGGATAACGGCCTGCAGCTGCATCCATATGCTGCAGCTGCATCCATGTTGCTACAAAGTGATTTTGTTCTTTTTTAGGGCTGTGCATTTTTAAGAATTAACAACTTTGAAAATATGCTCTAAATAACTTATGCTCTAATTGCAAGTCAGCAATGTTTTATTGGAGAAAATTATCTACTATACAACAGTTTCCTATTTATTTTATTCAAGTCAATAGTTGAGATTAGATGTGTGTGTGAAGAGTGGGAGAGTGGGAACTATAGAGCAGAGGTGCACGGTCTTGAAAAAGAAGATTCAGAGTAAATTGTATGCTGATCAGGTGAAGCTTCTTTCCTTGTCTGTGCCAATTGACCCCACTCTCATGCACACCTTTTTCCTTCTGTGTCCTTCCTGAATCCCACCAGATGCCAACATCTTTCTGCTGTCCTTTGGTTGTTCTGGGCCCCAAATTTGGCAAGAGGAATCACGTCCAGTGCTCCTGACTTTTCTCAGGAAAAGGTGGTTAGTGAAACCACCTTTGCAAAATTATGACCTAGACAGTGAAAGAGATCTAACTTAACCGACTGCAACTTGTTTCTAACCTACAAGCTGTCCTTGTTCATTCCTGGGCGTAGGCTGAACTAACTTTGGGAAAAACTTAGTTTACAGTTTATAGTTTTAACAAAGGTGGTAACAGCCCATTCCCAAAGCAGACCTCCCTCTTGCCTGGGGACTAGATTGCCTTTGTAGGACTAACAGCCACAAAAGATTAGAAACTATGGTTAAGGAGTCATTCTGACGCTCCCTAAACTGCTTCTAAGATCAGTGCTTGAGATATTTTGCAGACCCTGCACTTGACGGATCAGCTGGTACCACCTAGATCAATAAACTGACTCCTCTGACCTTGTGGCCCTCCACCCAGGAACTGACTTAGTGCAAGAAGACAGCTCCAACTCCCTATGATTTCATCCCTGAGCAATCAGCACTCCTGGCTCACTGGCTTCCCCCAACCCACCAAGTTGTCCTTAAAAAATCCGCTCCACGAATGCTCCGGAGTCTGATTTGAGTAATAATAAAACTCTGGTCTCCCGCACAGCTGGCTTTGCGTGAATTACTCTTGCAATTCCCTTGTCTTGATCAATCGACTCTGTCTAGGCAGCGGGCAAGGTGAACCCCTTGGGCGGTTACACTAGCTAGCAGTGTGACTAGGACTAGTGGGGAAAATAATCAGCTGACATAGTATGGATTGGACCAGATCGCTCACCTAAGCATTCATTTCAAATCAAGAAACATTTAAACATCAGTTATATTCAGGCACTATGCTAGGCACTAGAGTACAAAAGTGAGTAACTGATGGTCCCATTTCCCAAGCACTGAACTGATCTGGGATAATCAGTGAGAAGGAAATCCAGGACTGGCACCCAACTCAACCAGATTATTCCTTTTCTGGGTAACATGTTGCATTTCTAGATAAATGATGAGGGTTTGAAAAAAATGATAAAAATATTGGTTTGATTTGTCAAACTAAAGAAAAAAGAACTGAGGCATACTTAATATAACCAGTCTCATGATGTTGCCCAGTCACAAGTTTTTATTTATTTATTTTTTGAGATGGAGTCTCACTCTGTTGCCCAGGGTGGAGTTCAGTGGTGCCATCTCAGCTCACTGTAACCTCTGCCTCCCAGGTTCAAGTGATTCTCCTGCCTCAGCTTCCTGAGTAGCTGGGATTACAGGTGTTTGCCACCATGCCCGGCTAATTTTTGTATTTTTAGTAGAGATAGGGTTTCACCATGTTGGTTAGGCTGGTCTTGAACTCTTGACCTCGTGATCTGCCCACCTCAGCCTCCCAAAGTGCTGAGATTACAGGCGTGACCCACTGCGCCTGCCCGGCCACAAGGAAGTTTTTAAAGGAAAAGAAGAGGCAGTTTCTAAATTGTTTACCAATAATTTACATAAAAAAACAAACTATTAATTGTCTATAGATTGTTCTTCGTATCACAAATTCCAGGAACATGAAGATATGGTTGGGTAGTCAGTCATGAACAAAATGCCTTTAAACAATCGCCTCTGAGCATGAGTGTGGGGGGTGCAACTTATGTCCCATATTCAAGGTCTCTCTGGGCCTGATAAATTTTGCATACCTCACATTGCTCAAATGCTCTGAACTATTTTTCTTTTCTCAACTACAATTTCCTTTTTCTGGTTGCTCATGATTCAACTGGGGGAGCTTTTAAACCGTGGTTCTCAAACTTTAATGTGCATCAGAACTACCCAAAGGGCTTGTTAAATCTGGGTAGCTCAGCCCCAGCCCCAGAGTCTATGAATCAGGTCACTGGAGTACAGTTTCTGTCAAGTTCTCAGGTGATGCTGATGCTGCGGGCTCCAGTGACTACACTTTTAGAGCCAGTTTTAAAATACAAGGACTTGCAGATCCCACGTCCAGACTGACTCATTGGACTTGGGGATGGAAATCTGGCATTCCACCCCTCCCTGCCCCCTCCCCCCAATTTTAATGTGTCCAAGGGTGAGAATCATTGCTCCTCTGTGGACTATGGATGGTTCCCTGAAGTTACTGAGTTTGGGATTTAATAAATATATGCATTCCTCTGGGTCAACTACAGGAATTCTGCGGTATTTAAGGACATTAAATGAGTGACTTAATACTTTATTTAAAAAAATACCACTGCTTTTTGGTTCACACTAATTTTCTTCCTTCTTTTGGAAAGGCATTTCCGTCCATCTCCTGGATATTTTCCAATACCACGATAGAAAGGTTATTAGTACAGCACCCAGAGGTCTTCGGAGCAAAGCTGTTAAAGAAGTGGGGTCCATTTGAGCCCCAACTTTGCCTTCCTTAGGTCCCCTTGGGCTTGTCTAGCCCTAGGAGTTCCAACAAGTAAGCTGGGCATGCTCAGTGGGCAGGGTCGTTTTTTTTTTTTGGGTGGCGGGGGGTTGCAAGTGGGAAGCCTGCTGTTCAGCTGCCGGGGCTCTCCGCCTCCCCCCACCTGTATGAGGCTGGGTCTGGGGAACCTGTGCTCAGCATTCCACCCCCTGGAGCTTGGGCTTGGTCTTCCCTGCGGGTCCCTGCGCTGACATTCAGGCGGGGAGCCAGGAGGCCTGGCGCGCCTCCAGAGCCCGCCGGGGGAGCCGGGCGAGGGTTCTGGGCTCTGACGGCGGGGTCGCAGGGTCGCCCGCCTCCTGGACACGTCTGTAGGCCTAGGGAAGCCTGCCGGCCGGGAGGTACAGAGTAGGAGAAGCCAGATCCCAGGGCGGACAACGAGAAGTCGTCAGGTAAGCCAGCCCCGCCAGCGTGCCGGCGGACGAGTGTCTCCTCTCCCGCAGGCAGATGGCCAGGGCGGCCCGCATGGGCGAGGGCACAGGAAATCGGACACCGCCACCGTCTTCCCCAGCCTGGCCTAGCTCAGGCTTTCCAGTCCGCCAGCCCGCTGGCAAGGCGGGGCGGAGGTCTGGAGTCCGGCATCGCCGAGGCACAAAGCAGGAACTGCAGCCAGGGGCGAGGGCCCTTGCGTGTGGCGCTGCGCGACCCCACCCGGCGGCAGGACCCGCGTCCCCGTCTAGTCACGTTCATTGGGCCACGGAGACCACCTCGCTCGCCGCCCGCTGTTGGCTTTTCCCTCCCACACCCCCGCCAACCCCGGCCCCGGTTCCCGCCCCCACTTCCGCGTTTCCCCGCTGGGCCGGAGGAGCCTGGGCCCGAGGTATCCGGGCAGGAGGTGGCGGCCTCGCCGCCCTGGTCAGGCCTCCGGGAGGGAGCAGGCGCGGGAGCGGGAGGAGGAAGTCGGGAAGAGGGAAGGCGGGGGCGCGGCCCGCCCGGCGCTCGAGTTACACCCGCCCAGCCCGCCTCGAGTGACAGCCCCGCGCGCCTCGCTGGGAGCACCCGGGCCGAGGCTCTGATTCTGGGGGGAGGCCGACTCCACCCTGGCTGGAGGAACTGGGTGCTCCTGCCCGCTGGCCCCTCGCGCGTGAGGATCTATCTCAGGTGTGTGCTTCCTGGGAGACCCCTTCCCCCGCCTCTAGTATTCTAGGGGGGGAGTGGTCCCTTTCTGACCCGGGCGAGTGTTCTGGGACTCCAGTCTTGGCGGTAGGTGGTGGCGGGAAACGGGAAAGATTTAGAATTTCTTCCCACCAGCAGAAGATGGATTCGCTCTTCTCTAGGGTTTCGTTGTTTATGTTTTGGAGGCGGCATTTGTAAAATAGTAAAGTGGCAGGACTTTTGGGGCGAGGGTTGGTACCCCATTGAAAGTTCATGCAAACTTTTAGCTTGTAGATGCGGCTAGTCTGATAAGGATTGTTGCTCCCTTCCGAAGCAAGAGTGAGAACGAGTCTGGAGGAGGGCTGAGGCTTCTTTGAGAAACTCAGCTGCTGGCGTGTGACCGTCCTAGGAGGAAATGGAAGGTGCACACTGATAACTTAAAACAGCCTCCACTCCCTATGTAGTAACTTCTACCAGCAAAAATAGATTTGCAAAGAGTGCTTTGGCAGGAAGGTGTAGCTGGGTGAATGAAGTGCTGCTCTTAGCAGATGGTCTCTAGTCTGGCTTCCACCTTGTGCAGTGGAATATTCACTCCCAGAAGAGTTCCAGAGTAATTTACAAACACAAATTCTTGCAAAGTGTTAGTGACATGGGCAACCCAAATCACACACAACACATTATAAATATCATAGGAGGCAGCTATAGAAATAGCAGCTAGTCAACTTATACTTGTATAAATAGGTGAGGGAAGGAAGTTAGTAAGTGACAGGGAGTCTTTATTGCTAAAACAAAACTGTTAGTATTTTGCATGTGTTCCAAGTTTAAAGAGATGTGAAGTTTCTTTTTGGCGTGTGGACGGTGCTGGCAGCTGTCACACTGGGCCCAGGCACTTCTTCGTAGCTACTGACCACTCTAGTCCCAGTCCTACAGTTCTTGCTGGCTACCACATGACATCTGGATGCCATTGCCCAATGGAGACCGTGTGCAGTCTGGGGAACCTTGTGATGTGGATGTTGAAACCCCCCTCTGTTTCTCACAGGGGCGTTATGTCAAATTACAACACTCCCTTGACTTTTACAAATCAACTCGTGAAATAATACAGCAATATTTTAATGAATAAATGGGTAAATATGGGGTTTTGGGTTTGAGAACCAACAATGGATTCATTGCAACTGTCCATTCTCATAGCTTATAGAGTCACTTTATTTTATAAAGAAATTCTAAACAGCATTAGAGCTCTGCTTCCTTCTTTCTCCCTTGTGATTCATTCAAAGATGCAATGGCTTGGTTCAGGAATTGACAAAAGGGCCACAGTGTTACCAATTGTTAGTGAGTGTTACCACCCCCTTTAGTTTTTTTTGTAACTATTTAATCTCATTGTAGATATTTTAAAAGATTTGATGATTATTGTGCATAACTCATGTTGGCAAACTATTATAACTCTGAACTTATCCTGTTTGGTTGTTTTCTTTCATCTCTAGCGTGTAAGTTCTATGAGAGTAGCAGGGCTTGTTCTGTCTTGCATACTTTCAAAACTCTAATGCCTGGAGTGGTGACTAGCTTGTAATACACCCTCAATAAATGTTTTCTCAATGAGTGACCTCCAATGCCTAGAGGGGTGACTAGCTTGTAATACACCCTCAATAAATGTTTTCTCAATGAGCGACTGAACTGTGGAACAAACTCCAGCTGAGGGTAGTTGTGGAGCGGGGAGCCAAAGACTTTGGCCTTAGGTCATCTTTTAAAACTCAGCCTCAATTGTCTCATTGGCAAAATATGGATAATAAATGCTATGACGTGTGTAAAATTGCTAGCAATGTACCTGGCAAGTAGTAGACTTCAAAAGACTAGCTTCCATCCTATATTTTTCCTTCTTATACTCAAGTAGGAAAATATGGGCAAAGAATGTAGTTAGCTTGAAAATTTGGGCAAAGAATTCTTGCATGTTGTGCATGAATTATCCGTACATTTTTTTCGGTTAGTTGAGTGTGTTGGGATGGGGAGAGGAGAGGCGAGTTAGTGGTAGCTATGGTTATTAGAGAAGGGAAGCAATTTTCAGATCAGTATCTAATTTCTCAGTTTTAGTTTTTGAATGTGATGATGTTTCTGTTTAGGTTTTCCAAAACTTGATTCTTTCTGTTTGTCAACACCTGGACTCATGGGGCTATCCTAAGTGCAGAAACAACACTTCAGAAAGAGGACTAGAAATCAAATATATGAACACTAGTCTTCTTAAATGAAATTTTCTGTATTCTTGTGCAGCATTATATTGTGTAATAAGTGCTAAATAAAAAAATAGTTAACCTCTTTTGAGAAGCTTACAGTTGTTTAACAAGGTAAAACATAGATGGAAAACAATTGGAGACCAACATAAGACCTCGTACAATCATTTTTCCAGTGGTAGGATGTTGGCCAGAACTGATGTGATTATGAAGGAAAAGGTTAATATTGGCTCAAGTAGTTGGAGACAGCTTCCTGGTGAAGGGAATGCCACTTCAGTAACAGAGAGACTTAACATGTCCTGAAGACTATTGGAAAGATCACCTTTGTTTTAGGAATGTTTGCTATTGTGTACTTCATTGTATGAAAAAGCCAACATAATCTTGTACTTTCAAAAATGATCTTTCTGTTGAAAATTATATGGGAAATCTTCAGTAAAATTCTGCATATGCAAGAAATCAATACTTGTCACTATGTCTGTGAAGTTTAAAGCTCAGGATTGGCGTGAAAATGGTAACTCTTCATTCTTGTCCACCTTTAACACACTTGCTTAAAAATGTGTCAGATAGGCCAGGTGCAGTGGATCACACCTGTAATCCCAGCACTTTGCTTTGGGAGGCCAAGGCAGGCAGATCGCTTGAGCCCAGGAGTTTGAGACCAGCCTGGACAACATGGAAACCCCATCTTTACAAAAAAATACAAAAATTAACCAGGCATGGTGGCACGTGCCTGTAGTCCCAGCTACTTAGGAGGCCAAAACGTGAGAATTGCTTGAGACTGTCTCAGAAAAAAAAAAAAAAAAAAAAAAAAAACAAAAAAAAAAAAACAAGCCAGGCAGGCACAGTGACTCACACCTGTAATCCCAGCACTTTGGGCTGGGAGGCCTAGGCAGGCGGATCACCTGAGGTCAGGAATTGGAGACCAGCCTGGCCAACATGGCAAAACCCTGTCTCTACTAAAAATACAAAAATTAGCCGGGCATGATCGTGGGCACCTGTAATCCCAGCTACTAGGAAGGCTGAGGCAGGAGAATTGCTTGAACCCAGGAGGCAGAGGTTGCAGTGAGTCAAGATTGTGCCATTGCACTCCAGCCTGGGCGACAGAAGGAGAATCTGTCTCAAAAAATAAATAAATAAATAAATAAATAAAGTGTCAGATGGCCTGCCAGTTATTCTATTCAGTTTTGACAATGGGGTATATTTTATATATTTTTTACCTGGAGTATAAGGAGAAAATTATTAGTCATCAGGGTTGAGACCCCTCAACCCGCTAAATTCAAAATTGTTACTTGGGAGATAGAGAAGAACTGAATGGAACTAAACTAAGAAGATATTATTAAGTAAGTTTTAGTTGCTCATCAAAATACTTAAATAATTCCATCATGTCTTAAGACTTTTGAGATAAGAAGAAAACTTGGAAGTGGTATGTTAGGGGAAGAAGAAACTAATAAAGTGTGTTTTACTTTTCTTTGTTTTAGAATTGTTGACATGATGCGTGAAAGAAATGTATGAGGAAGATATGATCAAACTCAACTCCAAGTGAGAAAGACAAGGGCCAATGTGACTGCAAGCCAGGAAATCTCTAACAATTTTAGAATAGACTTCTTCCTGTACTATATGACCAGGGAGTGATCTCAGGAACATTTAAGAAAAAGAAAGGAAGAGATGTTGATGGTTTGAATACCTGAGGATGTTTAGATAATGATTGTGGTCAGAATGCATCCAGAATTCTAATTTGTGTCCTGATGTGAATGTGACCATGTTTGTTTGTTTGTTTGTTTTTGTTTTCCCTTTGGCTTGTGTTCTGGGATTTGATCTCTCGTTAGAGACTCTTACTAGTTCTTTGAGTTGTGTATTTCTTTCTATATCATATCGGTGCTCTTATTTCCTATTTTTCAGTAGAGAATTTTATGTTCTTTCAAAACCAAATTTCTGATTTATGCAGCAAAAACATGATTTCTGATTTATTTAGGTCAAGCTTCGGTTCAATTAGTTCACAAAATTAGTGGGAAAAATTGGTTAATAGATGTCTCTCCTTCTCAAGTACAAATGTATTGTGACATATTGTGATATAGTAAGAAAGATACTTGTCCCCAGTTCTGACTAAAGAACTTTTAAGACCCTTCGAATCTCTGGAATGATGAGTGTCTTTTTCTACACTGCTGAGATGACAGGTGACTCTTGGTAGAACCCTAGATAGCTTCAGGATGGAGATGGGAGCTGGTGCCAGAGGAACCAACTATGTAATTAGAGGGTTGGAATTTCAGCTTCACTCCAGACCTCCGGGGAGAGGAGAGGGGCTGGAAATCCAGTCAGTCACCAGTGGACAATAA
This sequence comes from Homo sapiens, assembly GCF_000001405.40. NCBI lineage: Eukaryota > Metazoa > Chordata > Mammalia > Primates > Hominidae > Homo > Homo sapiens. Next base: position 156,441,060 of record NC_000002.12, read on the forward strand.
TTTAATCAATCATGCCCACATCATGGAGCCTTCATAAAAACCTTAAATTTTGGAAAGCTTCTGAGTTGGTGAATACATGGAGGTGCTGGAAGGAAGGCATGCCCAGAGAGGACACCCCTTCTCCCATTTCTTGCCCTGTGTACTTCTTCATCTGGCTGTTGATTTGTGTCTTTTTTAATACCTTTTGTAATAAACTGTTATATGTAAGTAGGCCTGTTGTGGTGGCTCACACCTGTAAGCCCAGTACTTTGGGAGGCCAAGACAGGAGGATAACTTGAGCTCAGGTGTTTGAGATCAGCCTGGGCCACGTGGAGAGACCCTGTCTCTACAAAAAATTAAAAAAGAAAAAACTAGCCAGGTGTGGTGGTCCATGCTTGTAGTCCTCACTACCCTGGAGGCTGAGGTGAGAGGATCTCTTGGGGCCAGGAGGTCAAGGCTGCAGTGAGCTGCGTTAGTGCCACTACGCTCCAGCCTGAGTGACAGAGCAAGACCTTGTCTCAAAAAAAGAAAAAAGATAAAAAAGTAAGTAAATTTCTGTTAGCCACTATAGCAAATTATCAAATTTGAGGATGGGGTTGTAGGAACCCCTGATTTGTAGCTAAGTCTAACAGAAGTGTGGATATCCCGGGGCCCACTATTTTTGACTGGCATCTGAAGTGGAGGGCAGTCTCATGGGACTGAGCCCTTACCCTGTGGCGTCTGCACAAACTCTGGGCAGTTAGTGTCAGATTGAGTTAAATGGTAAAACATTCTAGTTGGTGCCCCTAGACAGAGAGTTTCTTGGTGTGGAAAACCCATACATTTGGTGTCAGAAGTATTGTGACTAGAGGAATAAGTTTTCTTTACATATGTATTGACAAAACTTAAAGACATTATTTGGGTACATCTTTTAATTATTCAGGCAAAATGAAAGAATTACTTATGTACTGTATTTTTGACAGTGAGATACTGTCAAAGTCTGGGTACTTTAGAACAATGATTGTTTGATTTAGATTTTTCAAGCCTTATGTTTTTTGAATACTAGTATGTCCTCTGTGGAATCTCATATTTGATTGTGCACATATATCCTTCTATAAAAGGGTTTAATATAGTGGGAAAAACAAACCTGACAAGCTATGACAGAGAGACTGTTTTCTGAAATCGAGATTTCTAGAAGCTGCTACTGTCAAATGAGATAACCTCTGAGTATTACTTGGTGACAATGGGGTGACATGCTTAGAATGCTTTGCTACTTGTATCTGCTGATGACCACCAAGGCCAAGTAGAAACTTTAGATAGCTATATACTTATGTGGAACAAAAGTTTATGTTCAGGGTAAACTTATTAGGAAAAACTTTGGTCAAGATTTCAAGAAAACATAAAATAAGCTTCTAAGTGTACTTCAAAAGTGATGAAAATAATGCAGTTCAGAGTACTAGGTTCTCAAAAGTTGTTTTCTTTTCATTTTAACTGAATAAAAGAAAGGATATTGGCTAAGTGTTGGCTCATGCCTGTAATCCCAGCACTTTGGGAGGCCAAGGTAGGAGGATCACTTGAGCCCAGGAGTTTGAGACCAGCCTGGGCAACATGTGAGACCCTGTCTCTACAAAAAATAAAAAATAAGCTGCGTCTGGTGGTGCGTGTCTCCTACTTAGGAGGCTGAGGTGGGAGGATCCTTTGAGCCTAGGAGGCCGAGGCTGCAGTGAGCCATGATTGCATTACTGCACTCCAGCTTGGGCAACAGAGCAAGACCCTGTCTCAAAAAAATAAAAAAGTAATAAAAAATAATAAAAAGAAAGGATGTTTTGTTTCATTGTGGTAATGCCCAAACTGCTTTGATCATGTCACTCTCTCTGCTCCATGCTTCCATGGATTACTCTGCCCTATTTGATCACGTTCTAAATATTTGTCTTGGAATTAATTCAGAGACTCCTTCATTCTCACCCTAATATTAAGGTGCTGTCCTTATCTTCTCTATGATCCAGTCATATTGGACTGATTGGAATTCCCTAAATATAAAAGTAGGAATTCCCTACTGTTGTCCCTATTCTGATGTTCTTCCTTCTATTTCACTTTTTGAAATCCTAACAAACCTTGAGTGCCCTGACCCCTGGCTACTAGTTTTATGACATTTTCCCTCACAGCCCCAGTCAGAAATGTCTTGTATATTTTCTAAACCCTTTAGCTACTCTTTTTATGCTACTCATAATTCCCTTATAGATGCTTGTCTCCTGTAATTATTTGCAAGCATGCATAATTTTCTTTCCTATGGAAGATCATGCTGGATCTTACACAATTTTGTAGACCTCACATGCCTAATCCAAGTGCCTTTCATGTGGGTGACACCTAGTAAGCAGTTGTTCATTAATGGTTGCCCCATAATTCAGTCATCCCCAATTCAGCAATAAGTGATAAGAGTGTGCTGGGTGTGATTGGACACCAGATACCACACAGGCAGGTGTATTTCAGGTAATCTATTCAACTGGATACTTTAAGCTTCATCTTTTTTTAGGCATCTCCCTCCCTACACATTTGGCAGTTTTAATCTTTTTATTTTTATTTCAAAATTTTTTTCCCTCCCAAGGTGCTGAGAGGTTTAATATCTTAAGGATATTTAGGAGAGGGAAGGGGCGAAGTGACATTATAAAAGGAATCCTTGAAGAAAATCAGTGGAGGAATCTACAAATAAGGAGGCCACTTAATGTCCACTGAGGACTCAGCACCTCTGTCAGGACACCAGGGCTTCCTTCTCTTCACCAATTTCTCCCTTCCCCCTACTTACCCACCTAATCCAATCTCTTAAGAAAGAATCTGGAAAATGAATTCCTAACAAGATGACTTACAAAAATTACCTTGTCCCCCTTATCAAAGGCGTTGGATTCTATGGGGACAGCGCATTGGGGACCATTTATGTGGGCTAGGTCAAAGGTGGGCAGTGCCTACTTCTGAGCATCCCTGCAGCCACATTATAGCCACTCAAGTGTGGCTTTGGTCACTGTCTGGACCTTTCACTTTTCTCCTTGTCAAATAAGGTGGCTGGACTGGATGAATTTGAAGTCCATGGAGAGCATGAAATGTTTATTTCTCTTGTCCTGCCTAAAAGGAAGCCAGTCATGGCCACTGGGTTCTGTTTGCCTCTGGACCCTGGCCTAGATTTTCCTTTTATTACCTGGAGTTTGGGGTTTCCTTGCTCTCAGCCTCTCCAGGTATAGCATTCACATCTAGAGGCTGCCACATTCCTTTTATCTCTCTTCAGGATTATGCTCATAGGACCTATCATAACAAGTATATTTTCACTTTTTTCTTTCACTGTGTTTGCTAGTATTAACCCCTTTTCCCCATCCCCATCCGCCATTAAGTAGCTGGGATACTTATCTAAAAAATATAGATTCCGCAGGGGGCAGTGGCTCATGCCTGTAATCCCAGCACTTTGGGAGGCCGAGGCAGGTGGATTGCTTGAGGCCAGGAGTTTGAGACCAGCCTGGCCAACGTGGCAAAACCCTGTCTCTACTAAAAATACCAAAATAAGCTAGGCGTGGTGGTGGGTGCCTGTATTCCTAGCTACTCGGGAGGCTGAGGCATGAGAATTGCTTGAAGCTGGGAGGTGGAGGTTGCAGTGAGCGGAGACCACGCCATTGCACTCCAGCCTGGGCAACGGAACAAGACTGTCTCAAAAACAAATACACACACACACACACACACTAACATAATTTTATTTATTATTATTTTTAAAGACAGAGTCTTGCTCTGCTGCCCAGGCAGGAGTGCAGTGGCACATTTATAGCTCACTGCAGCTTTGCACTCCTACGTCACGCGATTCTTCTCCTCAACCTCCTGAGTAGCTAGAATGACAGGTGTGTGCCACCATGCCTGGCTAATTTAAAAAAAATTCTTAGAGACAGTGTCTCACTATGTTGCCCAGGCTGGTCTTGAACTCCTGGCCTCAAGTGATCCTCCTGCCTTTGCCTCAGAAGTGCTGGGATTACAGGCATGAGCCCCTGTGCCTGGCCAGATTCACAGAATTTTAAAATAGGAAGGAGTTTAGCAATTTAACCTAACGTGGTCTTTTTCTTATTAATAATAAACAGCAATGACAAGTATTTATTAAGCAGTTGCCATTTTCTAGGCACTGTGCTGAGTACTTTGTGCACATTTTTTAATGTATCAACAGTGAACCCTGTCATATCAGGGAGCAAAAAGGCACAGAGAAGTTAAGGGACTTAAAGCCATGCATGTGGTTATTTTCTGGTATGGCAGAAACTCCCTTAAAAACTGTTTTAAAAACAATAGAATCGAGAGATAATCCTATTCCTATTTCTGTAATGTATTTCTTGACTTTTGCAACATTGTATTCCACTGCCCAACCATTGAACTGTGCCATTTAACACTTACACTTCCTAATACTTTACCTTGTAGTTCACCAGTTTTCACCAATGATGCTGAACTTGTTTAAATAGTTGCATACATAGCACAGCATGCCTATAATGACATTGCTTATGATTTGACTTGTAGGAATCCACGAAGTTGTTAAAATTTTCTTAGTCTTAATGGATGTAGAAGCAATGTGCAACTTGGTATCAGTCTTCTTTTCTACTCCTATACTTGGGTTTCTGATGGTTATTGTGAAAACGAAAATGATTATGTGTATTGGAGATGTATAAAAATGTATGTTCTCCAGCCTTAGTCATGAGAGAGTTATCTTACCTTTTTCTACACAATACCTTTTTCTATTTCTTGCTGTAGTTTTTTTCAAACTTTCAGCATTTTCTTTGAGTCTTTTATGTCACCCAGGCATTTCTTTATTAAAAGATGATGGTTAGTGGTTAGGGTAGGCTCAACCATCATAACTGAAAGGCCTGAAAATAGATACAAGCTCAAGCACAAGTTTAATTTTTGCTTATATCATGGTCTTTGTTGGTGGATCACTTTCCTTTCAATGATTCAGGCACTCTGGATTCTTCCATTTTATGACTCAGCAATTCCTTAGGGCTTTCTTTTCAACTACAGCCAGCCAGTGGATGGTGAAAGGGAAAGGCAGGAAGCATATCTACTTTCTAAACACACACTTATTTTTTTTGAGATGAGTCTCGCTCTGTTGCCCAGGTTGAGTGCAGTGGGACGATCTCAGCTCACTGCAACCTCTGCCTCCTGGGCTTGAGCGATTCTCCTGCCTCAGCCTCCCAAGTAGCTGGGATTATAGGCATGTGCCACCATGCCCGGCTAATATTTGTATTTTTAGTAGAGATGGGGTTTTGCCATGTTGACCAGGCTGGTCTCGAACTCCTGACCTCAGGCAGTCCGCCCGCCTCAACCTCTCCAAGTGCTGGGATTACAGGTGTGAGCCACTGCGCCTGGCCTTAAACACATAATCTTGAAATGAATGCATTAGTTCTGTTCATATACCATTGGCTGGAAGTCTGTTGTGTAGTGATACTTAGCTGAAAGGGAGATTGGCACATGTAGTCTAGCTGCAAGTCCAGGAAGAAGAGAATATGCATTTTTGATAATGACTTAGCTGTCCCCTTCACAGTGTCCTTGCATTTTTTTTTTTTTTAAGATGGAGTCTGGCTCTGGCACCCAGGCTGGAATGCAGTGGCACGATCTTGGCTCACTGCAACCTCTGCCTCCTGGGTTTAAGCCTCAGCCTCCAGAGTAGCTGGGATTACAGGTACGTGCCACCATGCCTGGCTAATTTTTATATTTTTAGTAGAGACAAGGTTTCACCATGTTGGCCAGGCTGGTCTCGAACTTGTGATTTGCCTGCCTTGGCCTCCCAAAGTGCTGGGATCACAGACATGAGCCACAGCACCCGGCCCTTGCCTTCTATTATTCTGAGAGAATTGAAATAACATGTCAAATCTTAAAATTTTTCTCCTTTCCACATCATTTTTATATCTGAATCCATCAACCCCTCATTAATTCTTGACTTAGAGGTGGTTATCCGAAGTTGATGCTTTCCCCCGTACTCTGGATCCCCCATTCCCTTCAGATGCCTTATTCTATGACATTTTTCTATGCTTACCTGCATGTATTTATTTGTTTGTTTGTGTTGGAGATGCTGAGATGCATTTCAAATATTTACAAGAATGCTCAAGATTCTCCCATTACAAAAACAAACAAGACCAATAACCAACATTGCACCTGTGCCCCATTCTGCCCTCTTGCTACATGCTCTCTTTCTCCTTTCCTTCAAGCTGTTCTTCCTTAAAGTACTTTTTGTGCATTATTTTTCTACTTCTTCACCTTCCATTCCCTCCACAACTGTTGGAATCTGTCTTCGATCTCAGATGAATCTCTCTCTTTTTTTTTTTCCTGAGACAGGGTCTTATCCTGTCACTCAGGCTGGATTGCAGTAGCACAATCATAGTTCATGGCAGCCTTGAACTCCTGGGCTCAAGCGATCCTCCTACGTCAGCCTCCTGAGTGGCTGGGACCCCAGGTTCAGGCCATCATACCTGATTGATTTTTACTTTTTTTATAGAGATGGAGCCTTGCCATGTGGCCCAGGCTGGTCTTGAACTCCTGGGCTTGAGCGATTCTCCCTCCTTAGCCTCCCAAAGTGCTGGGATTACAGGTGTGAGCCTGGCCCAACTCTGCTCTTGTTATGATTATGAGTGTCCTCTTGACTGACAAATCAATGAGATTTTATTATTTAAAATTTCCATGATTCTGCTCATTCTCTTTTCTGTGAAACTGAGTTTTCACTAGGCTACTGTGACATCTTCTCTTGGATTACTCCTTATGGATCTCTCTGCAGGTTCTTTGCCTTGATATTGGAATTCCCAGGGTCTGTCTTTAGTTCACTCTCTTTTCTCTGTTGATGCTTTTTCAACAAGTTCATCAATATCCCTGATTTCAGTCAATCCCAAGTCAACATTCTTGGGCAGACTTATTCGCTGAACTCAGGCATTTCCACTTGCATGTCCCACAGTTGAGTCAGGACCCATAATTTCTTCCTGCTTTCCCATGCTATTCCTTTCCTTATTGACAAATGCCATCATCTTTTCTCTCACTGCCTACATCATCCATCCATTTGTTTGTTAGGTCTATCAATCACCTAATATGTGTCAGCAATTTTCCCTTTTTTTTTTTTTGACTCTTGCTCTGTTGCCCAGGCTGGAGTGCAGTGGCATGATCTCGGCTCATTGCAACCTCCGCCTCCCAGGTACAAGCAATTCTCTGCCTCAGCCTCCCGAGTAGCTGGGATTACAAGCACCTGCCACCATGCCCGGCTAATTGTTTTGTATTTTTAGTAGAGACGGGGTTTCACCATCTTGGTCAGGCTGGTCTTGAGCTCCTGACCTCGTGATCCACCACCTTGGCCTCCCAAAGTGCTGGGATGGGATTACAGGCGTGAGCCACTGCGCCTGGCCTATGTCAGCAATTTTTCTACAAATAAGATTATAGTGGTGTACAAAACAAACACAGTTTCTGTTCTTGTAGAATTATGTTTTAGTGGGGAACAAAGAAATAATAATGCTTAAATAAAGGAGAGACATGAGAAGATAAGAGTTGTATGCATACTTTGGATTTGAATAATTTGGGAAGGCCTCTCTGAGGACTTGACATTTAAGCTGAGTCGTGAATGACTGGAAGGAGCTTGCCATGCAAAGTTGAGGAGCAGAGCATTCCAGGTAGAGGCAGCTGGCCCCAAAACACTAATAGTAATCCTGATTTGACAGACATCAGAAGGCAAATAAATCTGGAACTTAGTGGGTAAGAGTGAGAGGTGTCTGTATTGGTGTCCTGTGGCTGCTGTAACAAATGACCACAAACTTGGTGGCTTAAAACAACAGAAATTTATTCTTTCATCATTCAGGATGCCGGAAATCTGAAGTCAGTTTCACTGTGCCAAAATTAAGGAGTTAGCAGGATGTGCTCCCTTCTGAGGAGTGAATATGGTCCTTAACTCCTTCAGGTTCTGGTGGCTTCTGGCATTCCTTGGCTGTGGCTGCATCACTCCAGTCTCTACTTCTGTGGTCACATCATTGCATTCTCATCTGTATCAAATCACCCTGTCTTCTTCTTACAAAGATGTAAAGTGATTACATTTAGGGTTCCCCCTGGTAATTCAGAATAACCTTTCCCTCTTAAGGTCTTAATTTAATCACATTGGTGAATTTTTTTTTTTCCTTATAACATTCACAGGTTCCAGGGATTAGGATGAGGATATGTTGTGGGCGTCATTATTTAACCTACTGCAGTGAAGGGCTGGATCCTATAGGTCTTTATAATCCAAGGTGAGATGTTTAGATTTCATTCTAGGGTGCTAGAAACCATTAGAGGATTATATGCAGGCAAGAGAAACTGTGTGGTTTTGCTATAAAGTAGTCTTTCTTAATTTCTTCTCACTGTACCTTTCCAAGAAGAAAAATTAAATTAAAATTAATTAATTAAAAACTTAATTTCTCCCCAACAAGAGAGTACTGCTTAAATGCTAAGAAGATTTTGTTGGGTAGAGTTGAAGTTTGGAGGGCCACAGACAATTGTAATATGCAATATTTTTTCACCTGCCAAGAAGCAACTGTGGGTGATATTGCTCTCATTGAGAATACATGCCATCAAAGATTATGCTGGCTGCTACAAGTAAACAGAATATGGGAAGTGGGAGTTAGTTAGTCTGTTTTGGTTGCCCAACCAAGAACTTATTATTGAATGGACAACCATTGTATTAAAGATAGAAAAAAGTGGCCTGGGCGTGGTGGCTTATGCCTGTAATCCCAGCACTTTGGGAGGCTGAGGCGGGTGAATCACATGAGGCCAGGAGTTCGAGACCAGCCTGGCCAATATGGCAAAACTCCATCTCTACTAAATATACAAAAAAAAAAAAGCCGGGCATGGTGGCACATGCCTGTAATCCCAGCTACTAGGGAGGCTGAGGCAGGAGCCTTGAACCTGGGAGGTGGAGGTTGCAGTGAGCCAAGATTGTGCCACTGCACTCCAGCCTGGGTGACAGAGTGAGACTCTGTCTCAAAGAGAAAAAAGCATAGAAAGAAGTGGATAGATTCAGGATATATTTTTGAGATAGAATTAGTTGGGTGAACTTGCCTGCTAGATTATTTGGAGGAAAGGAAGAAGAATAAAAGAAAGGCTTGCATTTTCTATTTGAGAGCTGGTCCACTTACTGAGAAGGGGAGAGCTGGGAGAGAGGCAGACTTGATGGAAGATATAAAGTGTTCTGCTTTGGCTAAGTTTGAAGTGATTATTAGATATTCCTTTGGAGATGTCAGACAACTGGGTGAATGGGGTTTGGAGATTCTGAGAGGGGTTTGGCTGAGGATACAGACTTAGGAATTATTTGCATATAGGTTATATTTGATACTGGATGGAGTTACCTACAGAGAATGTATATAGAGAGAAGCAGGCCATTGAGCAACTATTATATAGAAGAGAAGGAGGAGTTGCCAGTGGGATGGGATGGAAAGCAGAAGAGCGTGGTGTCTCTGAGGCTAAGAATTCAAAAGATATTAAAAAAGAGACGGTTCTACTATGTTAATTATAGAGATTACATTTGGTGAAATGAGGTCATTTGTGATTTTGACAATTTGACATATAGTTTAAGAAGAGGCTGGGACAAAGTTTATTGGATTAAATTGTGGAAGTGGAGACAGTTCTTATAGACAACTCTTTTTTTTTTTTTTTTTATTGCTCATTCTTGGGTGTTTCTCGCAGAGGGGGATTTGGCAGGGTCACAGGACAATAGTGGAGGGAAGGTCAGCAGATAAACAAGTGAACAAAGGTCTCTGGTTTTCCTAGGCAGAGGACCCTGCGGCCTTCCGCAGTGTTTGTGTCCCTGGGTACTTGAGATTAGGGAGTGGTGATGACTCTTAACGAGCATGCTGCCTTCAAGCATCTGTTTAACAAAGCACATCTTGCACCGCCCTTAATCCATTTAACCCTGAGTGGACACAGCACATGTTTCAGAGAGCACAGGGTTGGGGGTAAGGTCACAGATCAACAGGATCCCAAGGCAGAAGAATTTTTCTTAGTACAGAACAAAATGAAAAGTCTCCCATGTCTACTTCTTTCTACACAGACACGGCAACCATCCGATTTCTCAATCTTTTCCCCACCTTTCCCCCCGTTCTATTCCACAAAACCGCCATTGTCATCATGGCCCGTTCTCAATGAGCTGCTGGGCACACCTCCCAGACGGGGTGGTGGCCGGGCAGAGGGGCTCCTCACCTCCCAGTAGGGGTGGCCGGGCAGAGGCGCCCCTCACCTCCCGGACGGGGCAGCTGGCAGGGCGGGGGGCTGACCCCCCCACCTCCTTTCCGGACAGGGCGGCTGGCCGGGCGGGGGTGCTCCTCACTTCCCAGTAGGGGCGGCTGGGCAGAGGCGCCCCTCACCTCCCGGACGGGGCAGCTGGCAGGGCGGGGGGCTGACCCCCCCACCTCCCTCCCGGACGGGGCGGCTGGCCGGGCGGGGGGCTGACCCCCCCACCTCCCTCCCGGAAGGGGCGGCTGGCCGAGCGGGGGGGCTGACCCCCCCACCTCCCTCCCAGACGGGGCGGCTGGCCGGGCGGGGGTCTGACCCCCCCACCTCCTTCCCGGACAGGGCGGCTGGCCCGGCAGAGGGGCTCCTCACTTCCCAGTAGGGGCGGCTGGGCAGAGGCGCCCCTCACCTCCCGGACGGGGCAGCTGGCAGGGCGGGGGGCTGACCCCCCCACCTCCCTCCCGGACGGGGCGGCTGGCCGGGCGGGGGGCTGACCCCCCCACCTCCCTCCCAGACAGGGTGGCTGCCGGGCGGAGACACTCCTCACTTCCCAGACGGGGTGGCTGCCAGGCGGAGGGGCTCCTCACTTCTCAGATGGGCGGAGGGTCTCCTCACTTCTCAGACGGGGCGGCCGGGCAGAGACGCTCCTCACCTCCCAGACGGGGTCGCGGCCGGGCAGAGGCGCTCCTCACATCCCAGACGGGGCGGCGGGGCAGAGGCGCTCCCCACATCTCAGACGATGGGCGGCCGGGCAGAGATGCTTCTCTCTTCCTAGATGGGATGGCGGCCGGGCAGAGACGCTCCTCACTTTCCAGACTGGGCAGCCAGGCAGAGGGGCTCCTCACGTCCCAGACGATGGGTGGCCAGGCAGAGACGCTCCTCACTTCCCAGACTGGGTGGCGGCCGGGCAGAGGCTGCACTCCTGGCACTTTGGGAGGCCAAGGCAGGCGGCTGGGAGGTGGAGGTTGTAGCGAGCCGAGATCACGCCACCTCACTCCAGCCTGGGCACCATTGAGCACTGAGTGAACCAGACTCCGTCTGCAATCCCGGCACCTCTGGAGGCCGAGGCTGGCGGATCACTCGCGGTTAGGAGCTGGAGACCAGCCCGGCCAACACAGCAAAACCCCGTCTCCACCAAAAAAATACAAAAACCAGTCAGGCGCGGCGGCGCGCACCTGCAATCGCAGGCTGAGGCAGGAGAATCAGGCAGGGAGGTTGCAGTGAGCCGAGATGGCAGCAGTACAGTCCAGCTTCGGCTCGGCATCAGAGGGAGACCATGGAAAGAGAGGGAGAGGGAGACCGTGGGGAGAGGGGAGAGGGGAGAGGGAGAACTCTTTCAAGAAGTTTCATTATGAAGGAAAGCAGAGACGTGGAAAAGTTCTTGGAAGAGGATATTGGTCAAGGGAGGGTTTGTTAGAACTAGAGGATAATACAGTGAATTTCTATGCTGACAAAATGATTAAGTAGAGAAGAGGAGCTGATGAAGGTAGGAGAGAGTGGTGGGTAATTGTACAAATAAAATTTCTGAAGAGCCAGGAAGGAAGGGGATCTAGTGTACAAATAGAATGATTGGTCTTTACTTGAAACAGGCACATTTTATTAGTAAAAGGAAGGACTGCAGAGAGAATGAGTACAGAGGTGGATAAGTCATCATTTGGGTGGTGGGAAGATGAAATTTTTACCTAGTTGCATCTACTTTACTTTCCCAGTGAAGTGTGATGATATTGGGGTGTGGAGGGGTGAAACAGGTTTGGGAAAAGAGATTTCAAATGGCTATTTTGAAACATCCTGGGGAAATGTAATAGGATTGTGGGTCAGTGTGGATTGCACATTAATGATTTGCAGCTATGAATTTAAATTGAGGCCAGTTGTGGTTGCATGTTTTTTTTCCCAGGCAGTTTCTTCAGCTGTTTGGGTGGAGATGTGAAACAGGCAGATAGTTGGGTTTAACTGGTTTGGGGGTTTGCCAAGTAAAAATGAAGCATGAAGAGAGGAGCAAGGGAGTTAAGGGTGCTTGGAAGGGAGAAATTACAGTGATGGACCTAATTTAATTCTCAGCTAGGCAGCAGGAGAAGTGACTGATAGTGAAGCAAATAGTAGGGTCAATGGACTGAAGGGCCAGATAATGCCAAGATGGTGGAATGGAAATTCCAGACTACAGTAGATAAACTGAAGAAAGAGAAGGTGGTGTTTACAGTGTAGGGTGCTTGAGGCTGGAGTCTGCGGAGTTGATATAAATAGTGGGGATGCCCAAATCAGAGGTTATGATAATGAGGTAGGGTCAAACAAAGGTCATCAGAGGTGAGGTGGTTGAGGAATTGGAGCCTTCATGTAGTTGTAGAAAACAGCAATGATGGCCGGGCCTGTAATCCCAGCACTTCGGGAGGCTGAGGCGGGTGGATCACCTGAGGTCAGGAGTTTGAGACCAGCCTGGCTAACATGGCAAAACCATGGCTCTACTAAAGATACAAAAATTAGCTGGGCATGGTGGCACATGCCTGTGATCCCAGCTACTTGGGAGGCTGAGGCAGGAGAATCGCTTGAACCCGGGAGGTGGAGGTTGCAGTGAGCTGAGATCACGCCACTTCACTGCAGCCTGGGTGACAGAGTGAGACTCTGTCTCAAAAACAAAAAACAAAACAAAAAAGAAAACTGCAATGATGAAGACAGATGAGTCTGGAAAGGGAAATAGGTATGAAGGTCATCAGCAAATAAGGGGAAATAGCAGTAGTTGGGTAGATGACAGCGAGAAGGGATAATGGGTGGTAAAGTCTAATGGCATAAACTTCAGACAGGTAAGACTTTTGAAAGAGGATAGAAGAGAAATTGGAAGGTGAGCTGGAGAGACACTTAATCCACCTCTAGGTTAGGGGATCTTGGGGTTATGAACAGAGTCGTTACTCAAAGTGTTTGACAACTCATGTGAAATGGTAACCTGCTGATGTCGGTGTTCCATCAGGAGCAGGGTTCTGGGGGCCTTTTGTGAAGCTAGATGTTAACTCTTTAATCTCTTGATCATAGCTAGTTGTCAACTGGTTGAGAGGTATTTTGATACTTTAGCAACTGCCATAGCCATCCTTGTTTATACTGGCTGAAACTAGACCTAAGTATGAGAATATAGGGCCATGTGTGGTGTCTCAGGCCTGTAATCTCAGTGCTTTGGTAGGCCAAATGGGAGGATTACTTGAGGCCAGGAGTTCTATACCAGCCAGGGCAACATAGTGAGACCCTATCTCTATGAAAAAAAAAAAGTGATAATATAACCAAGCTTCTCTTTATATGATATGGGAAAATAGTGTTATTAGTGTTCAGCATCTGAAATTCAGGTTAAATCTTACTTTCTTTATGTTTTCAAGGTTTAGTTTGGTGAAAGGAACACTCAGAGAAGAGAATTTAATGGAATTTGCTGGGGATAGAGTTTAAGTACCAGAGGGCAGAGTGGGAGGGAGGGAGGCCTGGGAAGGTGAGAGATGGGGAAGATTGGTCTTCTGGTGATGACTGAGGAAAAGAGGGCTGTGGAGCATGCTAGGGTTAGTCCTGGTGATGTCTTGGGGGAAATTGGGTAGGTACCATGTGGCAGCTCCTGTTGCTTAGTGGCCAGGGGTGAGCAAAAGCCTTCTTAGTGTGTCTGTAGCCTAGGTCATCTCCTGAAGACGTAGTGGCCAGTTGGAGTATAAAGGCCTCCTTGGGGACCAGCTGCCCTTCAGTGGCTGATAGCATGAGGTGCTCTTAGGGCCTCTTCTCAGCCATGATGGTGGTGTAACCCTGGGGGAGAGGGAGGGGTCTTCTGTTTGAAGGACTAAGGACTGCTGCTCCCAGGGAGCAGTCATCTTAGCAATTCTCCCTCCAAAATGGATTTGGACTTCGTGCTGTCCCCTCTGTAATGACTGTGGTTGTCTTAGTATGGACTCTCAGGAGTTGCGTCCAGTCTCCTGACTGCCCTGAATCCAGTCTTCTGATTTCCTTACTCCCAGATTCATGTTCTTTTAGTTTATCTGTCAAGACTGCTCTGGAAAATTAGGAATGAGAGAATGGTCTTTTAAGTTCAACCATGGTTCTATCTAATCCTACTAGGAATGTTATGAAGATGAATGTAACATATATAAATTGACTAGCACAGTCCTTATAACACAGTATGTAGCCAAAGCATATGCTTAAAGCCTTCTTGACAATCCTTTGTCTAATGACAAAGTCCAAATTCCTTTGACTCGTATATAAGATTTCCAGTGATTCTTCTGCCTTGCTCTATTGAGTTTCATTGCCTCCTTACTTAGGATTACTCATTCCACCCTATGCCCTAGTCAGACCACACCCTCTTGTTCTTGAAAATGATGTGTTGTCTTATACCATTATGTCTCTGCTCATAGTCACTCTGGACATAATACACCTTCACTGTTAAAGTTACATATTGCCTTCCCTAGAAACCTCCCCTGATGCTTCCTGCCTTCTCTTTCCTTCAGGGGTAAGTAATCCCTTAGCGCCTTGTCCTTATTTTTATCATTTTTGTTTGTGTTAGAATGCTTCTCTCTAAGCCATTAGTTTTTTAAAGGCAGAAACCAGTAAGTGATTCATCTTTGTTTACCCATGGTCTAATACAGTAGGTGCCCACAAATGTTTGTTGAGTAAATGAAAACTCACTGCATATTTGAGTTTCCATATTGCCTTTGTTTGGTGAAATCTAAATTATATATTTTTTGCTTCTTTCTTTTAACAGTGCAGGAAATTTTTCTGATGAAGTAGTAGATGAGTGCAGAAAAAAACTGATGTCCATGTAGTTATTTAGGATGGGAAACAGACTTCATCCTGTGTTCTTTTCCTTCTACTGAGTGACTTTTACTGCTTGATTTATCCAGTGATTTTGCTCACTATTGCCATTGTTTTTTGGTGAATTGTAATCATTAACGTTTTCAGTGGTACACCAAAGAAATGCAAACAAATGTGATTTTCTGGTTGTTTAATTGGGCATTTTCTGGTGCCCACTTAGAATTGTGGGATTGGGGTATGGAGCATTCTAGAATGTTGGTGAAAAGTCTAGTCCTTTAGGTTTCTTCAAATGTTGGTCTTCTTGGGCCAGGCGCGGTGGCTCACATCTATAACCGTAGCACTTTGGGAGGCTGAGGTGGGCAGATCACCTGAGGTCAGGAGTTTGAGACCAGTCTGGCCAATATGACGAAACCTTGTCTCTACAAAAATACAAAAACTAGTCGCATGTGGTGGCGCACAACTGTAATCCCAGCTTCTCTGGAGGCTGAGGTGGGAGAATTGCTTGAACTTGGAAGGTGGAGGTTGCAGAGATCACACCACTGCGCTCCAGCCTGGGCAACGGAGTGCGACTCTGTCTCAAAAAAAAAAAAAGTTGGTCTTCTTGATCCTACATGAACTAATTAATTCTGTATTCCAAAGAATTAAGATAATGCAAATCAGATGGCAGCAGAATGAATCAAGTAAGAGTGGGAAGGGCAAATGTGAAATGAGGGGGCAGGAGTGAGTCACTCTTTTGTGTAGATGGATAGGGAATGCTGGAAAGGGGAGGGTGAAGGTGGGTTGGGGGCTGTGGGAGAGTCTGAGCAATAAGGAGATGGCGTAGCATGGGTAAAGGTGGTTTGGGCGACACAGTGGTTAGCAAGCTCTGTGGTTAGCATGTTCTGCATGAGTGACCAAGCAAGGCCCATTTTGGCACTTGAGATGGGATCACTGACCCTCGTTCCCCAGTTCTCATTGTAAGGTTAAACAAAGATGCAGTGTATGCTTTCATATTTTGAGATTAGGGTATCATTCTAGAAGGGACACATTCTTGAGAAATAGCTTGATTTCTTTAAAAAAAAATTGACTCATAGACTGTTTCCATGGCATTTTGATTTTTTATTAGTATTTTTTCCTAAGGTACTTAGATGGTGTCCAGAGTTTGTGACAGAGCCAGAAAGCAACTCCCCACCTTCTCTGAAATAAAAATAAATACCAAGAAGTACTATTCTAAATAGAGGACCAGAAACTACTCATATGGGTCAAAGTTGTCCCAATGACTTGGGTTAACTCAGGCCACAAACCTTTGCTCAGGCTTCTTACAGGGAATATTTTTAATCTGCCAATTGACAGACTACTAGAGATAGAGGTATAAACGTTGGACTCCATGTGATTAGAGCCTGATCTGAAGGGAAAATCCTCTTGCCTCCTTCTGACCTCTGTAACAGGTAATCTGTGACCCAGAAATAGATCTGCATTAGATGTTGGGCTTGATATGGGTTTATTTTTGATAGAACACTCTGAAATAAGAGTGTCCATTCTATTTGAGTGAATGTTTATTTGGGGGAAAGATGCTAGAGATATGCCAGAAGAGGCCGCCTGCCTGTGTCTTTTCAGGGAAACAATGGGATTTATTTCCCCAACCTGTGAGTGTTAAGTGTACTTGGTTGTTCAGAACAAAGTGCTGGTTAGGCCAAAGCAGGGTTGTGGCCCGATGGAAATTGGTTGGTTGCTTTTGCTCTCTCGTAACAATAGTCTTCTATATCCCAATTCCACGTGCAAATGTGGACAATGTGTGAAAAGGCCAGAGCTTATTGTAGATGCTCAGTAATGTTATGTATTAGCAGTGGGAGTTGTTGGATAGCAGATGTATTTTTATGCTTTACTTATATTACCTCGAATTCTCAGTATAACTTGTGACAAAAGAGATTTTATAAATGAGGAAACTAAAGCTCATAGTCACACAGCTAGTAAGTGGCTAAGTTGGAATTCACCCAGGGCTGTCTGTGTCTTCTGTCTCCTACACTGGCTGCCTCCTGCACTGAATTTTCTCCTGGGTGTCATTGGTGTCATTTGAATATGCCGAGGACAGCAGCCTAGGACTAGCAGGTCCCTGGCTGTGCCTATAGGAGTAGCTGTGTTCCTGCAGGCAAGCACTAAATTATCACAGGGTGGGGAGAGAGAGGGAATGTTGGCCCCCATTTTAGGATGGTCTGTCTCTTCTCTGTGCATCTGTGGACTTCCTTTAGGGCCTGGCACAGTGGAGGGGCCCCCTGGGTGTGTTAACTAAAGAGATTCTGTAGTTATGGAGTTGAAATTTGGGAAACACCCAATTCCAGGAAGGTTGATCAGCTTTGCAGTTTCTGGTTTGATTTGTTGTTGGGATTTCCAGTGTTGCATTAAAACTGCAAATCCCCGAGGGGCTGTAATGTGCAATAACTAAAAATGTAGGGCGAGTTTAGGTGCAGCTTAACTCAAGCTTAAATGGTTATTGTGTCCCATGCTCAAGGCAAATTCATTTTAGTTAGGGTGGAGATTTTTCTAGAATGAGGCAGATAATTCTGTGACATTTTCCAGTTCTTACTCAAAGATTCCTAATAAATTGTAAAGGCAAAGTATTCTTTTTCTTTTTCTATATGGGTCTTTTACTGTAGTTCATTAAAGATGAGAAAAAGTTGTATAACAGGAAAATCACTCAAGTAATGGTCAGATGATATGGGATTTGGTCAAATGTCAGCTATCCATCTGCATGGTGCTCTTTGGAATTCTTTTTTTTCAGGTCTCTTTCTCTTATATGCATGCACACGTATATTCCACATTTTTTTCTAATTACAAGAATAATTCATGCTTATTTTAGACATCTAGAAAATAATGCACACAAGGAAGAAAATAAAAATGATTCATAATACTACCATTCAAAGATGAGATTTTTAACATTTTGGGGTATATTCGTCTAACCTTCACTTGTGAGTGTGTATGTGTGTGTATGTACATATACTTTAAAATAGAAATATATATATATATATATATACACACACACAAAGATACTGTTTTATTTACTTTTGTTCTCTTCATAATTAATTTTCTACTTGTCCGTTACCCCATCTCTATCCAGAGTGTACTTAACTCAGAAAGGATTAATTCCTACAAGGTGAAGAAATTCTAGAATGTCTAACTTATTTAAGGGTGCCATTTATTTTTTTAGACTTTTCTTTATTATGATTCTTTTCAGTATGAAAGTGTTGCTTTTTCAAGTCAGAGTGGGTTAAGGGGATGTTGATGGCAGTCATTTGGCATGGTGAGTGACTTACGCCTACTGTCCGGTTTAGGTGGTAAAAATGGCAGAAGGCCTTGGAGTGCCAAAGGCAAGGGTTATGGGTCCAGCAGTACCATGAAAAAGGGAATATAGGCTGGGCGCGGTGGCTCACACCTGTAATCCCAGCACTTTGGGAGGCTGAGGTGGGTGGATCACGAGGTCAGGAGATTGAGACCATCCTGGCCAACATGGTGAAACCTACTAAAAACTACTGAAAATACAAAAATTAGCTGGGCATGGTGGCGCATGCCTGTAATCCCAGCTATTTGGGAGCCTGATGCAGGAGAATCGCTTGAACCAGGGAGTCAGAGGTTGCAGTTAACTGAGATCATGCCACTGCATTCTAGCCTGGCGACAGAGCAAGACTCCGTCTCAAAAAAAAAAAAAAAAAAAAAAAGAAAGAAAAAGGGAACATATAGAAGATCTCAATCTTTTACGTAAGGACATTGAAGTCCAGGGAAGTCTGATGGCTTTGTTCAGGCTGAGACTATCGTAGGGTAGACTGACATCTCAGGTTGCTGACTGCCCATTCTGTAATCTCTGCAGAGCACTTGGCTGCCACATAGTATAATCTGAAAAACTGGCAGCTGCCAGACGAATGACTGAAGGAGTAAGCTCAAGTGCACTAGGTGAGGTCAGGCCTGAAGGTCATTGGACTGATACTGAACCTGGCGTTTTGACAGGAATCCTATTAGAAATGCCACTTAGTCACTTGCCTCCTGACTGCTTCATGGTAGGAACAGAGGCTCAAACTATGGCCTGAATTTTTTGGATTAAGTTTAAGTTTTACTTAATATTATCCCAATTTTATCTCAGACATTATCTCAAAATTATTTCAAAATTTATGGTTGAAGAGAGGCTGTTGAGTATAAATTGCTAATGTACTCTGCTGAATTCCATCAGCTATGTGATTTGACTGAGAACAGTACGATCCTAGCCCACTGGGGTCTGGTGAATTGCATCTGCTCAGTCAGAGTGTTCCTTGAGCTGGAATTGAAATGCATGGCCCTTTAGTTTCCAGTGTGATGCCAACACTTCAGGCAATTGACTTTTGCTCTTCAGTCTCCAATAGGGGGAAAATTATGAAATAAAATGGGGATAGGCCAGGCATCCTCAAGATTCAAACCCATAAATATAAATAACTGTAATTAATCATATGCAGTCTCTCTTGCCTGTTGGAAATTTATACTCAGCTGGGTCAATAAGCTTCACACAGCTCTTAACTTCCTGGCCTGTAGTTGGTGGGAAATGTTCTGGGTGCGTCAGCCTTTAGAGATGTGACCTAGGGTTCTTTTCCAATATGGGTCCAAAATCAGTGCAAATTATAATGAGTTGTGGGGTGAGAAAAGTCACCTGGAAACAACCCCAGCCCAAGGGGAAATAGAAATATAAAAAAGACTTCTGTTGGCATTTAAGAGGCTCTCTTAGATGACACTGTCTGTTCATTGTTGTTAGCCTGTTAGACTGAGTGAGATGAACAGTCTTTCAAGTATGTAAGTTCAGTACATATTTACATTCAAGTTTATCCCTAAAGTATTTGTTTCCCTATTATAGAATCTTGTAGATTGCAGTTGGTATTTTTGCCTGTTTTCTCATATAATTTGTTAACTCTTTCCCCCTCTCCCATTGTGTCCTTTTTTCTATACTTGCATCTACTCATTATGAACATGGCTAATGGTATCCTAATGAAAAAGCAACCCTCTCTCTCTCCTGGGGGTCATTGGTGTCATTTGAATATGCCAAGGATAGCATCCTATCACTAGCAGGTCCCTGGCTGTGCCTGTGCCTATAGGAGTAGTTGTGTTCCTGCAGGCAAGCACTAAATTATCACATTATCTCTCTCTATCTCTTTTTTTTTTTTTTTTTTTTTTTTTGAGACAGGATCTCACTCTGTTGCCCAGGGTGGAGTGCAGTGGTGGGATCTCAGCTCGCTGTAGCCTTGACCTTCCAGGCTCTACTTTTACTCTTATTACCCTAAAAGGCATCCTCTATACTGCAGCTAGGGCATTTCTTCCTTTCTTTCTGAAATATAAGTTTCATCGTATCATTGTACTGATTAAAATTCTCCACTGACTTTTTTGTTTGTTTGTTTTTGAGACAGGGTCTCACTTTGTCACCCAGGTTGGTGTGATCGTGGCTCACTGTAGGCTCCAACTCCTGTGCTCAAGCAATCCTCCTGCCTCAGCCTCCTGAGTGGCTGGGACTATAGGTGCATGTTACCATGCCCAGCTCATTTTTTCTATTTTTTGTAGGCACAGGGTCTCACTATGTTACCCAGGCTAGTCTCAAACTCCTGACCTCAAGCGATCCTCCCACCTTGGCCTCCCCAAGTGCTGGGATTACAGGCATGAGCCATCATGTCCAGCCTACCCCAGTTATCCTCTAACCTATTATTTCATCTTTATTTTCTCCTAGTAATTCTCACTTTCAAAATACTTAATTTTTATGTTTGTTTACATGTTTATTTTTGTCTTTTCCAATCCATGAGAGTAGAGGAATTCCCAGCCCCTGGAACAGTGCTGGGGATCTGCCAGGTATTCAGTCAATCCCAGTTGAATGTATGTTACCTGAACCAATGCTCCTCCTCCTGTCTTCTTCACTTGGGTAGGTCCTTCACGGATACTTTCCTGAGTATTTGATGGAACTCTTGCTTTGGTTATATTCTAAGAAATTACAATTTTAATCTTTCCTTTGCTATTGGTATGTTTTCAATAAGCCAGTTCTCAAGGAATTTTCGAGTTTTTTAGAAGCAGCAGATGGATTTTTTTGGTCCATTTATCTGCAAATATTTCTTTAAATGCAGGAGAGCACAGAAAAATATACTAATTGTTTCTAGCACAGAAGCAGAGAGTGTTGCCATGTTTTTTCAAGATAATGTGGATCTATTCAGATGAGGTAGAATTGAAATAAGAATTTTCTTTTTCTAAGGCCTGGACTCTGTGCATGTACCTGGTTTGACATTCTTTTTTTCTTTTTCTTTTTTCTTTTTTGAGATGGAGTTTTGCTCTTGTTGCCCAGGCTGGAGTCCAATGGCGTGATCTCGGCTCACTGCAACCTCCGCCTCCCGGGTTCAAGCAATTCTCCTGCCTCAGCCTCCCAAGTAGCTGGGATTCCAGGCATGCAACACCACACCCGGATACATTTTTTTTTTTTTTTTTTTTGTATTTTTAGTAGAGACGGGGTTTCTCCATATTGGTCGGGCTGGTCTCAAACTTCCACCCTCAGGTGATCTGCCTGCCTTGGCTTCCCAAAGTGCTGGGATTACAGGCATGAGCCACCGCACCTAGCCTGACATTCTTAACTCTATGTAAGAGGCTGGGGTAGTTTGTTTCATTCACAGTGTGTACAGCAAAATCCAGATGTTTTCTAGTAAGCTCCACTAACCTGAAACACATAAAAGAAGGGGGTAAAAAGATCCCTGAAGAGTTAGAGCCAGAACATTGAAAACCAAGTGTTAAAATTCTAGTAAGTAGCTCCTTTAGCCTTACTTAGAGCTATTTACTTGTATTTGAAACAGTTAAACTAACTTGGCTCTCATTTTTCTAACCACAGTGGTAACAATGACGAGTTAATGGGTGCAGCACACCAACATGGCACATGTATACTTATGTAACAAACCTGCATGTTGTGTACATATATCCTAGAACTTAAAGTATTAAAAAAGAAGTGAGCTCAAAGATAAACAGGGAAGATTATCATCAGCCTGATAGTTTGGAAGAAGCAGGAAAATTGTAGGAAGCAGAGAGAGGAAGAATTCATACAGGAACAGACTGGGACCTGAGACCACTAAGTAAAGGCATTAATAGTGTTGTCACTCCTATTATTCCTGAGGCCATCACCATATCATAGCATGTACATATGGATGGCTGTAAGTCGTCAATAATTGAATTCATGGTTAATATTATTTAAGAAGCCAAAGTGTGACTTACATTCTTGAAATATAGTATTTTAATCCAAAAGAATACAGAATTTTTTTTTTAACTGTATACTCCACTCAGATGTAAACTCTTGGAATGCAGGGATTTTTTTGTGTGTGTTCTTTGTTTGCTCAGTGCCTGACACATGATGGATGATCAGTAAATAATTATTAAATAAAACCATGAATGCAAGTTTTAATTATCTAACAGTGCTAAATAAATAGGACATTAAGATAATGCCACATTTAATGCATGAGGGTTGTTTCCCCTTCTTCATCTATTGAATGAAGAAAAACCATAAAGTAATAAACTTTTAAAGTTAAAATAGCTTTGGACATTTTGAAGGCTAGCTCATATATAGTTGGAGTGAGGATCAGCAAGTTCAAGTGATTTGCCTGAAATCGCAGAGCAAGTTAGTGGAAGAGACAGAATTACAAGCGTGTCTTTCCTTCCAGAATACCCCCTGATGATTTTCTTTTTTAATTTAGAGTTTTGGGAATACAACATAGAGAATTATATATTTTTGGGAAAGACTATAGAGTTCTTTTTTGAAAAAAAGATCAATGACAGCTTCAAAAGGAATATTGAGTCGAACCCTTTATTTTCTCTATTTATGCTATTTAAATTTTAGACCTGTCACCTCTGTGCTATTAGCTCTGTAGTGTTGATACCAAACATCTTATGCAGAATAACTAGACTATAGTACTTGAATGCTTTTCATGAGGGTTTGTGCTAGCCCTTTTAAAGAAGAAAAGAAATATCTTTTTCTTTAGTTTGGAAAGGATGCGTTATTCAACTGAGGAGAGTAAGATCTTATGACCAAGATCATTTTAGCCAAAATGACTGAGATAGAAATACAGCTTTCCTCATTATTTTTGCATAGGTGAAGGAAAATGTAGTATATTTTCTTCACTTTTTTTGGAGTGGGGATGGAGCATTTAGGAAATACATTGTTTTCACTTACTTTAAATGGGAATTTTGTTAGCAGTATGAATTACTTCAATCTGTTTCTCTCATCTGATTCTTATTTCCTTGTGAGTCAGACATTTTTAGGAAGTGTAATCAGTAAGCTAAATATTCTAATACATGATTATTTTCACTACAGTACGTCTCAGGTTTCCTTTTTCATATATGCATTGTATCTGTACTTTGGCTCTTTGTTGTAGTTCCATTTATACTTGTGGATTATTAGATGTACAGAGGAGTAAATTTTAAATGTAAATTTCAACAGGTTACAGGAGAAAAAAGACTGCAGGATGGAAAAACTAGTCAGCTTTTTTCCTAGGGATCTTCTCTCTGTTAAGGAAACAGAGTGACTGGTCTTCCCACCACAGCGCACTTCTTGATCTCTTATAACTCTCAGTCACCACTTATACATTAAATATATGTGTAGTGATGTTTATAATAGAGCTGTATTCAAATTGAGAACTTTCTTTTACAATGAACTGAACAATAACTGAAGTTATTGTGCTATAACTAATTATTATTAAAAATTCAGTCATAATTTAAAAAAATAAGCTCAGGATTTCTTAAACCATCTTCAACAGATACTTCCCCAAATATATTTCTAACGGCATATAATGCAGTTGCAACAGGAACTTTTGAAAGAATTGGTACATTTTCTTTTCTTTTTTTTTTTGAGATGGAGTCTTGCTTTGTTGCCCAGGCTGGTGTGCAGTGGCATGATCTTGGCTCACTAAAGCCTCCACCTCCTGGGTTCAAGTGATTCTCCTGCCTCAGCCTCCTGAGTAGCTGGGACTACAGGCACCCATCACAACGCCTGGCTAATTTTTGTAGTTTTAGTAGAGATGGGGCTTCACCATGTTGGCCAGGCTGGTCTCGAACTCCTGACCTCAAGTGATCCACCCGCCACGGCCTCCCAGAGTGCTGGGATTACAGGCATGAGCCACCGTGCCCGGCCTGGACTTTGTTTTCTTACAAAACATTTTACAGTATGTATTCAACAGCCATGATTGTAGTTACTCTGTAAGGCTTTGTTAGTTTTAATAAATTTTGAGGGAAGGCTTGATATGTTTTAATCTTAAGACAGACATTTAAAACTCTTTGATTTGCAGCTTATTTTATAGCAAGGTAAAGGACTTTTTCTTTTCTTTTCTTTCTTTCTTTCTTTCTTTTTTTTTTTTTTTTTTGAGACAGGATCTCATTCTATCACCTGTGCTGGAGTGCAGTGGTGCCCTCATAGCTCACTGCAGCCTTGAATTCCTGGGTTCAAACAATCCTCCCACTTCAGTCTCCTGAGTAACTGGTACTACAGGCATGTGCCATCATGCCCAGCTAATTAAAAAGATTTTTTCTGTAGAGACAGGGTCTCGCTTCCCAGGTTGGTCTTGAACTCCTGGCCTCAAGGGGTCCTCCTGCCTGGGTTTCTCTGAGTCTGGGATTATAGATGTTAGCCACCCACCACTCCAGGCCTTTTTCTTGTTTTGATTACTGAAGTAGATTCTGTAACAGCATGTAAAATGTAAAAAGAGCGTTTATGCTGCCAAAGGAATGTCAAACATTATCTTAACCCAATAAAGGGTTAGTAAAGGGGCGGAAAGACTGAAAGAAGCACAGGACTAGTATGGTCTGTTTGACTAATGAACTTCTTTTGAATGTTATCAATGAATGTGTTTCATTGATAACATTCCTGCCTCCTCAAGGCAGATTTAAAGTTTTTCTCCCTGTTGTGCTATCTCCTTTTCATGCTAAGTCAACCATTTCTTGTTAGTTGATATAAATGCAAGTTTGTTTAATTCTGTACTAGGCATGTTATCTACTCAGCTCCTTAACCTGACTTGTGTTTTTACAAGGGGTTGGCATTTTTGTGAAGGAATGCTTCAAGTTTTCACTTGGGAGGGACATTTTATTTTGGGGCTCTCAGGGTTACCCTCAATTATGTATATGGTAAGCAAAGAAGGCAGAGATAGATTTTAATGGAATATTAAAGATAGGATTGTACGACTTTAAACACAAATCCGTGAATATATCTGGAGTGATACAGAGTATATATTAACTTTGCTTTTAAAATGAATTTAAAATGGAATACAAATTCACTTGCGTGCACTAACTATAGTTCTTTATGACTTTTATAGCAATTGTATGGAAAGCAAACATAATAGAAACTATTCTATTATGAATTAAGCTGTGGTTATTTGCATTTAATGAATATAATGAGCTTCATTGATTTCTTATAATTCTATAGTGAACCTCATGAAATAAAGAAAAAGGGTCAAATTTGTGACTATAGTTCCAGTGTGTATTTTAGAAATGGTAGAAAGCATAAGTATGTTATATGGCAATTGCCTTGGAAATGGCATATATTTTGTAAAAAATCGGGTCTTAAATAATGCATCACTACTAGAGTGCAAACGTGTATCCTTGTGTTCCTCTAAGGCTCCCTCCCTTTCAATGCATTTTTTGTTTTAGAGGACTTTGTGAAATAAATGCTCGATTAACAGTTATGACATTATTAAACTTAACCCCCCATCACACATCAGAAATCCCATGTAATAATGTTTGCAACAAATTTTTTATAAACAGAGACTTTTAACTGGCTCACTTAAAATAGTTATTGACCTTATTTTCTCCTTCTTTTGTACCTTTTACTTGCATTTTTTGAACTCTGCCCCTGAAACTAGCTCAACTCGTTTCTTAGCCAGCTTCTCCTGTCAAGCTTCCAGGCTCCTGCCCTCCTTTGAGGCTGAGAAGTGGTCCTGGGCCAACCTCGTTCTCACTGTTGGTTTGCTTCTAAAATGATATAATTGACATAAAGGTGACCCAGGGAGACTCAGAATTTTCTAGCTTTACACTATGTGAATTGATATAAATATAGTGTTTATTTTCTTTCGCTTTCTCTTTGTTTCATGATTTTTTTTTTTTCTCATTCTTCTTTATGGAAATACTCTTCCTCTGCTAAAATTGTTTACTTTCTCTTGGGCTGGGGTGGGCCCTTCTGGCAGTAATTGCCTGGGGAAATAAATGGATTGGAAGTGAAAGAACCTGCCCTTCTTGGAAGCAGGCTGGCCTTTTGATAGGGTGTGGAAGTCAGGGACAAAGCTAGAGTCTGGATGCCTTCCCAGCAATGTGTGAGTGTGTTGCTTTAGCTTCTTCCACCACAGTCCAAAAATTTGTGTATTTAGAACCTGAGGATTATGTTTCACACATTTCTGTTGACTTTTACTTGGTTTTTTGATTTATCTTGCGTTATCAGGATAATGCTTTTCTCAGTGACTTCGGAAAAGCCTTTTTGTTTGTTGTTTGATATCCTGTTCAGTGTATATATTCTTTACAACTATAGGTTGTTATTGTTGTGTTTGTGTGTTTTTGCTTTTGATATAATAGAGAAAAGGCTAAAGAAGGTGACGGAAGGATAAAAGTGTCTTCTGTTTTCTTAGGACTTGATACATTCACTTCTTTCCATAGGGATTGTCTTTTGTGAAGAACCCTTGGGTCAATTTCCTGTCCAGTCTTGGCCTAAATCCTTTTTAAAAGCAACAACAACAAAAGAGGAGAATTCACCTTCAGTTTACAGAATAGACCTCCTCTCTGTTTCCAGAGAACAGGCTAATGTGCCTCTTCTGTTTGACTGTTTTGTTCATTTAGGTCTGATAGCTTTCAAAAAGTACACTTGAGGGCTCTCTGTGTGTTTCTGTAGGAATCACATGTGTAAGATACAGGTGTGTAAGTCCTTCTCTGCTTGGCTGGGGGGAATGCGTTTGCAGGCAGAGTACTAATCATGATCCCCACAGTAAAGTAAAACTTGGGGAAAGAGTAGTACATGGTATGCTTTGATTGTTACTTGTCTGAGTAAGCACTGTATCAGCATATGTTTGGTGTGTCTGAACTATGAGATACCTCCTTCAAGGGAATTGTACAAAACATTTGTTATCACATTAATTGGAATAATAAAAGGTTTGCTTGCTAAAACACATCTAGTTCAAGCCACCCAGTGATCTTGACTTTTATAGTTAAAAGGGTGCTGCTGGGAGGGAAGAGGCTTTTGAGCTCACTCCTTCTTCTGTTTTACTGTGGACTTGCT
Organism: Homo sapiens; assembly: GCF_000001405.40. Taxonomy (NCBI): domain Eukaryota; kingdom Metazoa; phylum Chordata; class Mammalia; order Primates; family Hominidae; genus Homo; species Homo sapiens. The sequence continues at coordinate 156,468,271 of NC_000002.12, forward strand.
GTCAAGCTATCCATGATTACAGACCCGTTTGCTAGGACCTTCTCTGATGAGGTTCTATATGCTTATTTTGTAAGACTCATGCACTTTTCTTCAATAAGTCACTGGATTTGTATGCGAGTGTGAGGCCTGGCCCTCTGAGTTGTGCCTTCCATGGGTGTGACAGTGTGACACGACTCAAAATAGTTGAAGGAGTGGGTTTTGCATGCACAGCTACAGGAGCAGGTGGCTGCACAGATGAAGTGTAAGGAGCATTTGCTACCTTTGGACCACAAAAGGCTTAGGTAAAGGGCTTAGTGATTAAAGGGCTACCTCTAGGTTACATCTTGGGGTTTTTATTTAATGTTTGAAATGCCTTGTACATCTGGATTTCTCAGTGTAGGTGATTGGAAGAGCATGGATCGCTTTTATTTATTTTTAATTTCTTTTTTCTTTTTAATTTTTCTGGGTACATAGTATGTATACATATTTTTGGGTACATGAGATAATTTGCTACAGGCATGCAATGAGTAACAGTAATATCAGGGTAAATGGGTATCCATTACCTTAAGCATTTATTTCTTTGTGTTACGAACATTCTCTTAGTTATTTTTAAATGTACAGTAAGTTATTGTTGACTGCAGTCACCCTGTTCTATCAACTTCCAGATCTTATTCATTCTAACTATGTTTTTATACTCATTAACCATCCCCACCCCAACCTCACTACCATCTCCAACCTTTGGTAGCCATCCTCTACTCTCTGACTCTCTGTCTCCATGAGTTCATTTGTTTTTATTTTTAGCTCCCACAAATGAGTGAGAATATGCAAAATTTGTCCTTCTGTGCCTTATTTATTTCACTTAACATGATGTCCTCCAGTTTTACCCGTGTTGTTGCAAATGAAATGATCTCATTCTTTTCTTTTTTGAGACGGAGTCTCTCGCTCTGTCGCCCAGGCTGGAGTGCAGTGGCGTGATCTCAGCTCACTGCAACCTCCACCTCCCAGGTTCACGTGATTTTCCTCCTGTCTCAGCCTCCTGAGTATCTGGGATTACAGGCACCCACCACCACGCCTGGCTAATTTTTTTGTATTTTTAGTAGAGACGGAGTTTCACCATGTTGGCCAGGCTGGTTTCGAACTTCGGAACTCAAGTGATCTGCCCACCTTGGCATCCCAAAGTGCTAGGATTACAGGTGTGAGCCACTGTGCCCGGCCTGATCTCATTCTTTTTTATGGCTGAATACTACTTCATTGTGTATATGTACCACATTTTTGTTATCCATTTGTCTGTTGATGGACACTTAGGTTGATTGAAAATCTTGGCTACTGTGACTAGTGCTGCAATAAACATGGGAGTGCAATATGGGATGCCTTTATGTCTTGCTGGAGAATGCATGCCCCGAGGACAGCAAGGCTGGTCGTTGAAATTACTCTTCTGTAATTGATCTTTGAGCTGTACTCTCCGCCCCTCCATTGGTCATGCTTGTAAGGGATGGAGAGAAATATGCTTACTTCTATGCTGGCATAAGAATCAAAACCCTGAGAAGTTCTAAACTAATGGAGAGCATGGGGATTAGAAAGGTAATTGAGGTTTCTATATAAGAAACCAGAAAGATAGGAGAGTTTTTGTAAACATGAAGGTGTTACAGGAAGGGGGTCCCCATCCAGATGCCTAGAGAGGGTTCTTGGATCTCACACAAGAGTTAAGGGTGAGTCCATAAAGTGAAAGTGAAGGAATAAAAGAATGACTACTCCATACACACAGGGCTGCTGGTTGCCCATTTTTATGGTTATTTCTTGATTATATGCTAAACAAGGGGTGGCTTATTTTACCCAGCTCCTATTCAAGATGGAGTTCCTCTGGTTCACACGCCTCTGACAAAGGGACCCAGGGCTTATTCCACAGAGGAGTGACAAATGTATTTGCATGGAATCTTTTTCTTTTTCTTTTTCTTTTTTTTTTAAGACAGGGTTTTGCTCTGTCGCCCAGGCTGGAGTGCAGTGGTATGATCATGGCTCATTGAAGCCTTGACCTCCTGGGCACACATGATTCCTCCCACTTTGGCCTCTTGAATAGCTGAAACTAGAGGTGTGCGCCACCATGCCCAGCTAATTTTTAAATTTTCTTTAATAGAGATGGAGTCTTGCTTTGTTGCCCAAGCTGGTCTTGAACTCCTGATATCAAAGAATCCTCCTGCCTTGGCCTCCCAAATTGCTGGGATTACAGGTATAAGCCACTGGTCCAGCCCATTTGCATGATTCTTACTTATGCTAAATTTGTATTTTGATAAGTAAGGCTTCTGGAAGAGAGAAGACAGGGAGATGAGTAGGAGAGTGAGTACTTTTTAAAGAGATTTCAGAGGCCAGGAAGTGCGATCTGGTTCTGGAATAAATTTGCTTGTGCATAGTTGCCTTGCCTATGAATGGGAGGAGGTAGAAGTGGTGGATGCACTCAGGGACTTACATGAAATAGGATGTGAGGAGTTGTTCTTTGTTAAAAGTCACTGTCTATAATGGGAGCCCTACAAGGACATCTAAGAATTCATCTGAGCCAGATAAGTTGCAGCAGTCAGGTACAAACAAAGGTCAGCAAACTTTGAGAAGTGGCAAATTTAGTTTTTGTTTGCTAGCAGTAAGTACATTTTGTTGTGTAGCAATTACATCTGTCAGTTCTAGGCAAAATTTTCCCAAGTACCTATTACTCTTGGGAGTTTTAGACCCAAATATTCATCTGTGCTGTTTTCTGAGTAGATGTTCCGTCAAGATCTCAAATTTTCTTAGTTGCAAGCTGAGCTTCTCTTCTTCCTTAAACCTGCTTCTCTTTCTAGATCTTAATATTGAAATCTTGGGGTCATTTTCCAGCTGCCCAAACTAAAACCACTTATTGTGTTCAGTCTCTTCCTGCTGCCTCCTGTAATCGGTTGTCAGGTCTTGTCATGCTGTCTAATTGAGTGCTGTCCTTAGACAGTTGTGCAAAACATCAGTCTCTAGATTTGCACTCTTTAATGTTGCCTTAAACCAGGCTCTTCTCTCACATGGGATCTATTTCATTGCCCTCTAATTGGTCTCTCTGTCTTCGTAAGCTTCAACACTAAAAATCTACTTGAACAGTCTTTACAGAACGTTAGACAAAACATCTTACTTCCTTAATCTACAGCCTCTACTCCCCGTTGCCAACAGGATATCATAGAAATATTTTACTTCACGTGTACACAGTCTTCCTCTCTCTTCCCTCTGGACTTCTTTTTAAACACCATTTCTAGCTGTACATCATCTCCAGCCAAACGAGATAACTATTTGTATGCCTAGAACGTACCATGATGCTCCCCTTTCTCCACCAATTGTCTTTCTCTATAACGTTCCCTACTCACTCCCCTCCAAATTTTTTCCCCTTCAAGACCCTTCTCCAAAATCCTGTCTTCACTGAAGCCTTCTTTAATTCTTTTAGTCAGAGTCAATTTCTTGCAACATTAAAATGATATAGCACCTTGCTTTTTTTTTCTATCAGACTATAACACTCAGTATAGCACAACTAGTTATAAGACAGAGTGCAGAGTTACAAGACACACTTTGATATTTAATCCTACAGATAGATTAATTGCTTGTGGGCAGTTAGTTGATAAACTCACAGATATATTTAGTTGAGCACCATTTGTTTAGGTTTTGCCAACTGAGCTGGTGTTCTCCTTGCAAGAATTAGAGCTAGCTCTGGTCTATGTCAATGCAGCAGCTGGTCCTGAGTAAGCATATATGTGATTTAATTAAAAGGCTATAAAACATGGATTTGAAGCTATGATAAATAAGCTAATTCTATTTTTTAAAATTTTTTCACCTCTGGTTTCCTTGAACATTTATTGCAGAAGTTAGTAAAGATTTGTGTATATTTTTGGTCCCCTTCTTTGCTAGTTTTCTAGTAAAGCTGTTACTTAGAAGGAAATAATCTTTTTTTTTTGTTTGTAATCATTGTGAAAACGTTTCTCCTTACAATGGTAAATGGGTACATGTTGTCCACAGCATTTGGTTTATATAGTTCTAAATTTCATTCTTTCAGCATTAAAACAAAGTTCTTTTTTAAATTTTTTATTTTTTGAGACAGGGTCTTACTCTGTCACCCAGACTGGAGTGCAGTGGCGCAGTCTCGGCTCACTGCAGTCTCCGCCTCCGAGGCTCAAGGGATTCTCTTGCCTCAGGCTCCCGAGTAGCTGGGATTACAGGCGCATGCCACTACTGCCTGGCTAATTTTTGTATTTTTAGTAGAGACAAGGTTTCAGCATGTTGGCCAGGCTGGTCTTGAACTCCTGACCTCAAATGATCTACCCACCTCAGCCTCCCAAAGTGCTGGGATTACAGATGTGAGCCACCGTGCCCGGCCCTAAAACAAAGGTCTTACATTACCTGGCAGAAGATTACTAGTAGATACTTTGCTAGAGACTTCTTCATTGCCTTGGAGATTAACCCAAATGCCAAGGGACTGAACATTTGGGTGACTTTGAGAATAGGGCCTTCTTTTGGGAGTGACAACAAAATATGGTATAGCTTTTGGGGAGAAGTTGCCTTTTGAGACCAAAGGCAGGACAGAACCACCAGGGCTCAAGAACATAAACTCAGTCTTGTTTTCTCACTTAGTAGGCAGTGACTTTGGGGAAATCCCCCATTTCCTCTGAGCTACCACTGCCCCTTTTATGAAATTAGATGTTGTGAGGGTGAAATGAGCTGATGTGTATAAAGAATTAAAAGCACAGTACCTGTTACCTAGTAAATAATAAATGGTGGTGATTATTATTGTAACATTCATAACAATAACAACACTCATAATGATAATCTTAGGAAAGTCAAATGAAACTGGCTGATTCTTGCCTTTGACTTTGAGCTAGCCAGATGACCGTACAGAAGGATTTGATCACAGTAGAAATAATGAGCCCTCAAGCATACATTATTTTTTTAAATTATGGAAAAAGGAAAACTCTTTATTGATTATAGTTGATATTATTGCTAACTCTGCAAGATGACATGAGAATGTAGTTTTTTGATAGTATTAGTGGCTCATTGGGAAAATGCATGAAAATATCTTCCTTTGCAAGTTTTGGTCTCTGACAAATCAAATTAAAACAATACTATCAGGTAGGCAGGGAACATAGGGACCCACACATTTGGAAATACTAGCTTCAAACTTAACTGGCTGAATGAACACCTCTGAGAATGAAACATTTTCATTGACTGTGTTGTATATAACTTCCCTGAGTTGGCCATGTTGATGTGTGGTATCCTTTGTGAGGTCAACAATGACATTATCAACAAGACAGAAGCAATGATAAGTCAATCAGTCACAACACTCATATCCTAGGGACCACCACACTGCTATGAGTCAGGCATGTGCGTTGTTTAAGGTAAATAGTAAATAGAACTAGGACTTTATTCTCTGTCTCCAGTTGTCAGAGGAACCCAGTTAGCCTTGAGATAGCATGCTATCTCTTGGCTGCTAGGGCTTACATTGTTGTGTGATAGGCACCCATGTGAATGTTTACAACAGTACATTGATTGGTGATAGTGAGCTATGACAAATGGGTACCTGCTAAGTTAGGGTTTTTACTATCCCAGCAACCTAGGATATAAGGTTTTGCCTAGGGTTGACTGAATGATGAATGGTGGCCCCTAGCCAGCATACACCAACTTTCCTGCATAATTTGGGAAAGAGAAGATGGTTGATATAGCAAAGGGACAGTAAAGAAGAGACCTCCAGCAGCAGAGTACATATGCTTGTGAAATATTTTCCTAGTAAGAATCATTAAAATTTTTTTTAGAGACAGAGTCTTGTTCTGTCTCCCAGGCTGGAGTGCAGTGGCACAATTGCAGCTCACTACAAGCTCAAACTCCTGGGCTCTAATCCTGGGAAGAATCTTAATTAAAAAGATAAAGTTTAGAATTTAGGAGTTTGTCAGGAAGAATGAGATCAGAAGAAAAAAATTTTAAAAATGCCACCACATATCAGTATATAATTTATAGTATCCTAAAATGAGTTTTCTATAGGATCATAGTTATCAACTATATTGCAATTCTTTATTTAGGATAGTATGATAATAGATACAGTTTATTCAGTATGGACCCAAATATTTAACCGTATCATAATTTATGTTGAGATACTGTTTTTTTAGTATCCTAAGTTAAAACTACCTTCATAATAAATTGTTTTCTTGAGTTGTGAGCTATCAGTAGAATGTAACGTGTGTTGTCCAGACAGGCCAGTGCTCCACCCCTACAAGGAAATAGGGTAGTGGCTTCCCTGTTTCCCTGCTTTTGTGAATGTAAAGTCTTAGGCAGGTCAAATTACTCAACTCTAGAATTTTTTTTAGTTGATCACACAGGATTATCTTTTTACGTTTAACAGTAAAAGCGGACAAAAGGATTTTTGATGGAATTTTCATTTTTATGCAATCTTCTTAGTTTCTGAAAGAGTTAAAGAATAATTTTTAAGTCCTCATCAAAACTTTAGAAAATTCCATTATCAGTCCAGTAGTGGAAAACAAGTGAGAGGAAAGAAAGTTAAGAGCTAAGACAATGCAGAACTTGAGAAATATTCAGTGGAGCAGAGTGTGGGGTGGCTCATGTTTGTAATCCTAGCACTTTGGGAAGCCAAGGTAGGAGATTGCTTGAGTCCAGTTTGGGCAACATAGCAAGACCTTGTCTCTACAGAAAAAAAAAAAAGAAGAAGAAAGAAAGAAAAAAAAATAGCCATGCATGGCGGCATGCACTTGGTAGTATCAGCTACTTGGGAGAATCACTTGCCCAGGAGTTTGATTTTATAGTTTGCTATGATTGAGCCACTGCACTCTGGCCTGGGTGACAGAGCCAGACTCAGTCTCTACAAAAAGAGAGAAAGAAAAAAATATAAATACAGAGAGCACAAATATACAGTGAGTGCTTGATCTGGAGGGTTTTCTCTTAAAATTTTGGTGTCATGCAACTCTGGCTAGAAGAAAACTTTTTCTGTTAAGTTCCCCTAATGAAAGGAATTACAGCAGGTTAAATTGGTCAGTTTGTGAAAGTCTTAAGGCATAATACCTCTGACTTCTTATCTGTAAAGTATACTCTTTTTTTTTGAGACGGAGTCTAGCTCTGTCACCCAGGTTGGAGTGCAGTGGCATGATCTCGGCTCACTGCAACCTCTGCCTCCTGGGTTCAGGCGATTCTCCTGCCTCAGCCTCCCGAGTAGCTGGGATCACAGGCATCCACCACCACGGCCTCCCAAAGTGCTGGGATTACAAGTGTGAGCCACCACGCCCAGCCGACTCTTTCAATAATAGAAATATAACACTGCTGGCTTTTGGCTGTAGTGAAAACTTCATTAGAAAGGGAAAAACTTGGGAAGGGAGTCTTACCACAATTTGAATTAAACACTTGCCAAAGAACCTGAAGCAAGCTGATGTTTATTGTCTTGTTGAGTGACCCAAGACTTCTTTCTGCTGGTTCTCCTTGAGGAGAGGATTAGGTGTTGAGCAAATTTACAAGTATAGCATGCAGTTTTGTTAAATACCCAATGACATTTCTTTTCACAGTTCTTTTGACTTTATACTGTTTAAATATCCTCAGTTATCTCTTAATTTGCTTTTCTTTCTTTAATTCCTGTCGAACCAGAAAGTAACTTTTATGTGATCAATTCCCTTGTCTAGAATTTTTTGGCTATTTATTTTGAGTTGCAGTATACACATTGGTTTGTTAGTAATTTCCTTATTTTATGTTTTCTTTTCTAGTTTAACATGGTTTCATAATCTACACAGTGTCTTATTATTGGGATGGTTATGCGATAACTATCCCAATTAACTTCTTTTTGTTTCTTATTTTTCTTTGTAGGCTAAGAAATGGCATTTCAAAAGGCAGTGAAAGGGACGATTCTTGTTGGAGGAGGTGCTCTTGCAACTGTTTTAGGACTTTCTCAGTTTGCTCATTACAGAAGGAAACAAGTAAGTAACTGTACTTGTGTTGATTACAGTATGCAACTTAAATCTGCTAAAGAGCTGTCTATGGGGAATGTGTGCACTAACGGTTTTGTTTAGAAATTACTTGTGAAGTTTCTCAGTTTGATCTGAAAGATACTAATTTAGAACAGTGCCTTAATGATCCTGGAGAACTGTGTGTATCTCCTTTTTTAAAAAGTGAATTTCTTTTTCAGGAAGCATTATTTAGCCTGTGTTTTGGCTCTTTGGTTTTTAAAAGACTGCTTCATTTATAAGTGCCAGGATTTCTTCATTTAGACTTTCCTTGTCTAATTCATCGAAATGTCTGGATACCTTCTATGTTCCTGCCAAAAGTTTGTCTTATTAGAAGGCAGGCAGCTGAGAAAGGAAATGGAAAAGAAAAGGCCCAACTGAATCCTGGTTTTATTTCTTCAAGGTTTAGTTACTTATGAAGTATTACTTTGTGTTAGGTAAAAATTTAAATGAAGGAAAGCCAGGAAAATGAGATTGGTAAGAAGTTTCCAAATATTATGAAGTGTTCAGTTTGTTTTCTTTTTTTTTCTCTTTACCTTACAACTGTGACTTCCCATAGTTCAAACTGATGCCCGGAAATAATTTTGCTGAATGGCTTTGTTCTTTTCAGGCTTGAAATGCTGGCAACCACCGTAGTAGTTAGTATCAGTCTCTTGTTCCCCCATCCCATGTCATTAGGACATTTTGTGATACTAGCTGTGTAGTGCATTTCTTTCTCAAAGATGAAGGTGAAGGAATTTGGCAAACAATTTGTAACTGAGTGATTCATTTTTCACATTTTTGTGGCTGCCTTTAAGCCATGGTTTGTCTTATACTTCTTGTTTCTGTTTCTTTGTGCTACAAGGTGGTGGAGCCAGGCGCATTGCTTGCAATCCCATATCCTGAATGAGGATCACTTTAAAAACACATATTATGGCCAGGTTCACTGACTCAAACCTGTAATCCCAGCACTTTGGGAGGCCAGGGCAGGCAGATCCCTTGAGCCCAGAAGTTTGAGACCAGCCTGGACAATATGGTGAAACCCTGTCTCTACAAAAAAATACAAAAATTAGCTGGGCGTGATGGTGTACATCTGTAGTCCCAGCTACTCTGGAGGCTGAGGTGGGAGGACTGCTTGAGCCTGGAAGGTGGAGGCTGTAGTGAGCTGAGATCATGCCACTGTACTTCAGCCTGGGTGACAAAATGAAACCCTGTCTCAATCAATCAATAAAATGCATAAATAAAATCACATATTAGGAAGAATTAGTATGCTGGCCTATCATTAAAAAACCCAACAAGCCAATTTTTATGTGATTCTTGCTAAAGATGGGTGATACCGAAAGTCTTTTGATTAGCAATAGTCTTTTGATTAGTGTTAGTCTTTTTCTGCATTCTGAACTGTGAGGACATCACTCTCAATGCATGTATGTTGCAGTTTTTATTTTTTGAATTGACACATAATCATTATACATATTGATTGGGTTCATAGTGGAGTTTTGATACGTACAATGGTATTATTAATTCACTGACTTGGTATTGAAACTCTTCCTCATCCATTGATCATGCTTGATGTACTATTTCTTTTAAAAGATTGCCTTGGTTCCTTAAAAGCAAGTGTGAAAAGATGTGGCTTCTGCTGAGGCTATTTCAGAAGTGCACTTCTGTTTGGGACATGGGCATTAAGGGATTAGATTACTTCTGCCATCTTTACTGGTGCTATCTGAAATGATACTGAAAAATGCCGATGCCAAAGGTCACAATATCTAATATGATGAGTTGTTGCTAAATTTATATGTGGTTTATATCTTTTAACCACAGTAAGCATGTTCTACTTCAGAGTTTATAGCTTAAATTTGTACCTAGGTAACACTGTTTTATCCCTTTTTTTGGTTTGATTTCTCTCTAATAATTGATCTTAAAGAATAGAATAAACAGAAGAGACTCTGGCCCCAAGCAGTCAAGTTATAGGTGGATTTTATTCAGTAAAATCAAGGCAAAATAAAGACCTATTGATTCCTGGGACATTTTGTCATTTTATCTTTCCTGAGTTAGACATCCTGACCACCCTAATAGCCAAATGAAATGGATAGCAGCAGCTTGAAGTCATTTATAATTTTAACCTGACAAGTTCTGTTGAAAAAGATTACTACAGGCATATGCAATCAATGAGTTGCATAAGAAATCCAACTATGTGCATTTCTTTTCTGGTGATTCCTGTCCCTTTAAGATACTGCCATTAGCATGTATTTGGGGGGTAGCAGGTGCGATGTAGCCATAGGGACTGGCAAAAAATAATAATAATAATAAAAAATAAAAGCAAGAATGAGAAGAGGAAACAACCTATTCCAGACATTGACATAAAATGACCACAGGCCTCCATTAACTCAGCTGTCCTCTCTCAGAAAATATCTGCCAATAAGAGCCATTCTAGCGGGGGGGAATTTTCCTGACTTCAATAGTCAAAAAAAAATCTGCCCTTTGAGATACATTAATTGGCTACACTTTTGTTTGTAGAAGCTGGGGCCTTAAATGTGACTAGGTATGCTCCATTTTTCTGCAGAGTGATGTTTAAGTATTGGCTTGTTACAGGTATATTTACCTACTGTATTTTTGTATTTTTTCTAGTTTCCTAAGAAGATTCCAACTGATAAACTGCCGTTTATTAAGAATAAGTTAGTTTTGAAACCCCAAGTTCCTGATGTCCTAGAGAGCCACCTATTGACTTTGGTTCTGGCACATTTTGCTGTGTTCTTGCATGCTCTGTCTTCCTGGCCCCTGGCTTGTGCCATTTGGTACTCCCAGGACAAAGCTTCTTCCCTGAAATAAAAGCAGGGGCTATATTCTAAATACAAATGGATTGAATATAAAAGTTGGTACATTGTTAAAACATTTTTGGTGATGAGATAGTACTATGAGTGTTTAGGTGCCAGGTCAGCTCCTGAAAACCTTTGAGTCAATTCTGTAGTTAAATTACCTTATATATGTAAAGAAAACAATTGTATATTCTTTAAAAATTAATTAAACATAAGACAGATTGAAATTGAATAAGATGTGGTTTCACTTACCTTTAATGCAGTTGCCTGAATCAGAGCCATTGTAGGTGGGAGAATAGAGGCCTCCATGGAGACTGGTGTTTCTGGGAGCAGGTTAGGGGTTAGAGGTGGTAGCAATGATGCTTTTGTCTCACTCTACTTCATAGTATGGCTTTTCTTCATACAAGCATATTAACAATGCTATTACTTAGGTTTATCAATGATGAATAGTGCCCACTGTTGAGCCAAGTGAACTCTAGAGGTTTATTATTTTTATTTTCTAAGGGAAACAGGTCAGATTTAGAAGAGATAGAGGAATGTGAGGGTTGTTATAGCCTAAGGAGAGGGCAATTATTATTATTATTCTTTTGGAGCTGAGCAGCCTAAATCTTCAATTCCAACCAAGGAAGTTGATGAGGAAAGGAGATGAAGGTTGGCTGACTTCTTTTGCTTGTGTCCACCTGCAGAGGTTTGTGGCCACAGATAACATCCACATTCCAGGCCTTCCTCAGTTAAGCATCTGAGGGCTTTTAGCGTGGTCTTAGAGTGGCTTCTTCTTCATTTTCTTGTCCCCTTTTCTTTATTTTCCACCCATAAGCAGGTGACAGTTTCCACAAAGGGAGCTTGAGTTTTCTTCTCCCCAGACCAGCTGTATGCCAAGGAACAAGAGTCTTAGTACTGCGATATAAGCATTTTACCACTCAAAGAAACCAACCCCACTGGGAATGGAGCAAGCAGAGACACTCTGTGGTGGTGTGGAGATTTTTTAGATCAAGTTGATTGTGATTCACTATTTAGTATAGGTTGGTTTAATAATACACTTTTAATTGGATGAAACTTGGAGGTCATCTTATCCAGTCTAAGGTCTACTGAAAGGAAGTAGCACTTCATAGAGGAGTCTCCTTTTTCTAATTCCAGGCTGGTGGGAGAATGGAGTAGATGAAGAGGGAAATTTAAATTAGGAAAAGGGGTCATGGGATACTTTTAGAACAAGTAAACCTTTTTGAGCAACAGCAGTAGAGAGCATTAAAGTCAGGGCTCCATGAGGAGTCCTCAGGAAGATGGGAAGGTTGGGATGGGAGTGGCCAGGGAGAATGAAACAAGAATAGAGTGGGAAGGAGTACAGGGATTTCACACGGGGCTACCCTAGTCTTTTTTCTTTTCATTATAGCCCAACGGCACTGTTTAACACTTTTTTTTTTAAGTTAACATTTATTTCATACCTTCTAGGTCCTAACTGGAAAAACTGATGTGATGATGTAGGCTTTTCTTTAACCTCAGTGATGTGGTTGATATGACAAAAATCTATTCGGGTCAGAAGAGTGGTCTTTCTCACATAACACATTCTAGGTTTGTTCCTTCCATGACCTGGTCTGAAGGTGTGGTGGCTTTGGGCTTTGTGAGCCGAGGTAAAACTTGAGAACCACTGAGAGCTTTCTCAAAGCCCGGATGTGAAAATTTTTTTCCCCCCTGCACCATAAATAGGCAAGGAGTGAGCTTCAGAATATGAAAATCAAGATCTCTCTCTCTTTTTTTTTTTTTTTTTCCTGAGATGGAGTTTCACTCTTGTTGCCCAGGCTGGAGTGCCAGGGGCATGATCTCAGCTCATTGCAACCTCTGCCTCCTGGGTTCAAGCGATTCTCCTGCCTCAGCCTCCCAAGTAGCTGGGATTACAAGCACCCTGATTCTAAGAAGATCATTCCTCCTAAGGTCTCTTTTTAATGGGAGGAATTATCTTCTTAGAATCAGGGAAGTAAGAAATTCTCATTGATTGGTGTGCCATTCATAAGCAACGGAACAAAAAGGCCAAGAGCGTTATCTTTAGAGCAGTCTCTGCAGACTGCCTGCATCTAACACCTAGCTGTACTTTTCTTTTTTGAGGTATGTTTCCTTACCTTTATTTATTTACATATTTATTCCTTTATTTTTGTTTGACATGTCATAATTGTACATATTTATGGAATGCAGAATGATATTTCTGTGCATGTATACAACATGTAACGATCAAATCAGGGTAATTAGCATATCCATTACCTCAAACATTGATCATTTCTTTGTGTTGTGAACATTAAAAATCCTCTCTTGTAGCTTTTTGAAAATATACACTAAATTATTGTTAACCATATTCAGCATATAGTGTTACAAAGCCCTAGAACTTATTCCATCTAGCTGTAACTTTGTGTGTATTAACCAACCTCTCCCTGTCTTCCCCCTCCCCTCCCCTTTCCAGCTTTTAATACCAACAGTTCTACTCTCTATTTCTATGAGCTCAATTTATTTTAGCTCCTAGATATGAGTCAGAACATGAAGTATTTGTCTTTCTGTGCCTGACTTATTTCACTTAACATAATGTCCTCCAGGCTCATCTGTGTTGTTGCAAATGACAGGATTTCATTCTTTTTCTTTTTTTTTTTTTTAAATAGAGATGGGGTCTTGCCATGTTGCTCAGGCTGGTCTTGAACTCCTGAGCTCAAGTTCACCCACCTCGGCCCCAAAGTGCTGGGGATCACAGACGTGAGTCATTGTGCCCGGCCTATTTCATTCTTTTTAATAACTGAATAGTATTCCATCATGTATACATATACCACATTTTCTTTATTCAGTCATCTGTTGATGGACATTTAGGTTGATTCCATATCTTGGCTATTGTGAACAGCTAGTTCTGTATCTTTATAGCTGAGTGACTATAGGTGATTTTCTTAAATTCTCTCAGCCTCATTTTCTCCCTTCTATGAAATAGGGATAACAGTGGTACTTCCTGCACAGGTTTATTAAAAAGCAGTGAAGCCTGGGAGAGTTCCTGGAACATAGGAAGCTTTCAAAAAGTGTTACCTCTTATGAGATTCCCAAGGGATATGAATATAAAGTGCGGTTGTAGTCAGCAAGCAAGTTGCTCTTGTCACTAGAGATCTTGCATTCACGGATACTTTGTTAAAACTTTTGGGATTAGTAGCAAATGATATATCCTTCATTTTAGGTTATAGAAGAATGGCTCAAAGACAGGTGTACCAACACTCTTCTGTTTTCCTTTCTCCTTGCTTCCGGATCTGAGGATGAGCAAGAATATCAACACCAATTGTTGACTTAACCTCTCTAACTGTTATAATAAGTTCCTTGAATTTCCCACTGTTTCTTTCTTTTTTTCTATGTAGGCTTATATGAATTATGGCATACTTGATTTATATAACTGATATGTTGCTAAAAAGTTACAAGAATATAGTTCCTTTGATAAATTAATATCAGTGCCATTTATTGGAATTCTGTGGTGAAACATTCTTTAAAAACAGGCAATATTAGGGAAAAAAGCTCTAACTTTTTTTGGGGGGGATAAATCTGAATTTTCATATATCATTGTAGCTTGAAATGGAATGCAATTAAACTAATTTCTTCTTTCCCAAAGTCAGTGATGTTCGAGCATGTTGATATTATAATAGGTGTTGATGACAGGATCTTCATGATTTGCAAAATAGCCTCTCACTTTGTAAGAGACATCAATTCTCTATGCTTGTGAGTGGCTTAGGAAATACTATAGTTCACTCTGTTATATGTGTTAATTAAGGGAATATGAAAAAAAACCCTGATAACAGTGATGTGTTAGGTGAGTTGAAATACAGGTAAGCCTATACTACCTTTGTTAGTGTCAGCAAAACCCAGGAGGAAAAATATTTATGCTAATGAGAGGCAAAGTGATGCATGGATAATTAAAATCAGCAGGAATTTTGAGAACGTTGTTTTAACTTGTAATTGCAATCTCTCCCTCTCCATACCTTATTTGTAAGAGCTCTAACGAAGTAGTGCTTTTTGATTAGTAGTACCAATGACTCAAAAGTTTTAAAGGCAGTAGCAAAAGATAAGATTGGACAAGAAGCAAAAAACAAAAAAAAAACAAAAAACAAAAATAACAAAAAAGAATGATCAACTCTAGTCAAAATAAGATCTAATTTAGGATTTATTTGAATAGACCCCAAATAAAGCAACATTTAGCTTCCTGAATGTGTCTGTTATGTGAATGTGGCTGGGTTTTGGTGAACCTGTTGTAGCGTGTGTAGGTTATAAAAAATTTCAGAATTCCAATTTCTTCATAAAATAAAGATAATGTAACTTTACTTACAGGCTTTTTTCTCTGCCAAGCACTAAGTCAATACATACAAATCAGTGATCACAGTACCTGGCACATAGCAGGTCTTCAGTATCTGCTTTACTTCTTTCCCTTCCCCTGAGGTAGGATATGAACATTTGAAATAGACCTAGCCTTGTCAGGCATAATAAGAAAGATATAACATCAGAGTTTAAAAAAAAATAGCTGAACTTTTGGTTGGCACACTTTTGCTTATATTGATGACTAAACAGATAAACTGGTAGAGGGTAGAGAAACTTGAAGTTCAAATGAGTATTTGTTGAAGAGAAATCAAAATCATAAGCATAGTATCTAAGATATGATGTCAGTTAGGAAACAATTTAATCTTGTGGCATCTGCAGGAAAAAAAGAAAATAAAGAAACAATTTAAATTACAAACATTCCACCTTAGCATTGCTTTTCAGCAGTTTCTTTGTTTGAATATAACAATTTGTTTATCTTTTGAACACCCTTAACATTTTCGATCATTTAACCTCAATTAGAAACATTCTTCAGGTTCTTGAACTAAGGAGGATCTGTGGGTTTGAAATCAGTGTAACTCTTCCTGAACGTTGATGTAGCTGTAGCTGAAACTATCACATGACACATTTATTTGCTTGCTTGCTTTTTTTTTTTTTTTTTTTTTTTTACCAGATTGCTTTTAACTTTGTAAGTCAATTCAGGCTACTAGACTTTCTTGTTCTCCCAGAGTAAACAATATTCTATCTGCAGAGGCATTTTGCACAGGTTTGTAAGCAATCTTTCCACTCCCCTCCCCGACTTTTTTTTTGAGACAGTGTCTCACTGTGTCACCCAGGCTGGAGTGCAGTGGCGGGATCTCGGCTCACTGCAACCTCTGCCTCCCGGGTTCAAGCAATTCTTCTTGCCTCAGCCCCCCAACTAGCTGGGATTACAGTCGCCTGCCACCACGGCCGGCTAATTTTTGTATTTTTTAGTAGAGATGGGGTTTCGCCATGTTGGCCAGGCTGGTCTTGAACGCCTGACCTAGGGTGATCCGCCCGCCTCGGCCTCCCAAAGAGCCGGGATTACAGGCGTGAGCCCAGTCCCAATCTTTCTCTTTAAAAAAAACCTTAGGAAATGCTATAAAAACGAATGTTCCTAAATAGTCTTTGTTTTTTTTCCTGTACCTGTTGATGGCAGAATAATGTTGCTTTTTAAAAATTCTTTCCTTGATGGCCAGTTGAGGTGGCTCATGCCTGTAATCCCAGCACTTTGGGAGGCTGAGGCAGGTGGATCACCTGAAGTCAGAAGTTCGAGACCAGCTTGGCCAACATGGCAAAGCCCCATCTCTACTAAAAATACAAAAATTAGCCGGGCATGGTGGTGGATGCCTATAATCCCAGCTACTCAGGAGGCTGAGACAGGAGAATTGCTTGAACCTGGGAGGTGGAGGTTGTAGTGAGCCGAGATCGCACCACTGCACTCCAGCCTGGGCAACACAGTGAGACTGCATCTCAAAACAAACAAATAAACAAACAAAAACAAAACCCAATTCTTTCCTTGAGCATAACTGAAACTCTGTACCCCTTGTTCAACATCTGCTCACCCACCCTCTGCTTACCACTATTTTACTCTCTGCTTCTATGAGTTCGACTATTTTAACTCTCATGTATAAGTGAGATCATACAGTATTTGTCTTTCAGTGTCTGGCTTATTTCACTTAGCATAATGTCCTCCAGGGCTATCCATGTTGTCAGCAATGTCAGGACTTCCTTCTTCTTCTTTAAGGCTGAATAATATACCATTTTATGTTTATACTACATTTCTTTATTCATCCATCTGTTTAGGTTGTTTCCATATCTTGGCTGTTGTGAATACATTCTGCATAGGATATCTAACACTGTAGTTCCCACCTAAATGTTAAAATCAAATAAAATGGCCATTTCTGATGGTGGAAGAAGGAACTCATGGTTGAGTCATAAGCTACCTGTTTTGCTTAAAGAGCCATCAGCGTTATGTCAAATGTGAAGGTAGAAATGTCTCTGCACCATGGCTTTCTAGGGCTTGCATTTGATGATCTGTCCTTCTGAGGTGTTGTCTGTATGGATTTATTTCCTAATTTTTATTTTTGTAAATGATCATGCCTCATCCATTCATAGTCCATTCTCTATTGTGTATGGACTGTATGCAATGTAGGCGAGTTGTAAATCTTGGGTTGTAAAACTAAGCACATGTCAAACTTGTGTATTAATTGAAGTAAGCTAATTGGTATAATAACCAATCCTCAAAGCTCAGTGGCTTATCATAATGCACGTTTATTTGTTGCTCACATTACAGTTCAGTGTGGATAGGTGGGGAACCTATTTCCTGCAATTACCCAGGAACCTATGTCTCTTTATTCTAGTGGGTCTGCCATGCTATAGGGGTCTCACCCTACTGGATCATTTCTACTCCACTGTATGGGAGTGTTCTCTGGAAGAAAAGAAAAAGTTTTGTTAAGCATTTAGCCATTACATATGTGTCTTGAATTTAGTTTCTAATCTGGTGGACAAATGAGCTATATTTCTTTTGATGAGAATTTTATTGTTAGGGTTATGCCAAAGACTGTATCATTCATTTGCCTCTCTTATTTAGAACCCTTTGCATGGATTCCTGGAAGAACTGTTTTTCTCTTAGAAATATAACTAAATTTGTGGGAATGTGTCTGATATCTAAAGCTTGATGAGGATTCTGAATAATCTGTATTTTAGATAAGGCCAGTTGAAACTATTCTTAACTACTCTATATGGTTAACTGTTTTTTCAGAGACATGTTTCATCAAAGCACTAAAATTATGCAGACAGAGCTGGAAATGTTCTCTGAAGAGCATCCTATCATCTTCCTTATAATTTTGGTTTTTATTTAACACTTAGCCCCCAAAGTGGGGCCATGGCAATATCTTTGAGTTATAACTCACATCAGGCCTTCGAGGAGTTTGTGATGCTATTTTGTTGCTGGCATACAAAATCAGTGAGGTTAACTGTACTTCTATAGGTCACTCAGTGAGTCAACGACTGAGCTATGATTAACGTTGACAGCTGGTGAGCTGCTAGGCTGTTGCTAACTGAGCAACATTGACATTCATTTTGATTTGACTTTGCATTTCATTTTCAACTATCTATTCATTTTAAGGCCTCTTTAAAAACTTTTTAGGGATGTTGTAGACGGAGGAAACTTTCTATAAATGCTTTGGGGAGAGTCCTTTAGCTTCCCTCTCCCCATTCCCCATCCTTCAGCTTAATAGTTAAATTATGTTTATGCTAGGAAAGCATCTTCTAGGTAGTTTTAGAAATAGATGATTTAAATAGAAGTTAGGCGATTCCAATTTTGCTTTATTTGTTTTGTAATTTGTGATTTCAACAAAGAATTTCTGTAAACTAATTGTACAATAGTGAGTACCAACTAGAAAAATCATATTTATATTTGATGAAATAATTCACAGAGAAATGATGAGTATGCATTATAAATTTGGCCAAAATGTATTTTTGAACATAGGTTAAAGTGTAGCTGAAGGCCATCTAGATTATAAAGCTTGGAACCGGCTGGTTGGCTCAGTTGGGCATCATTTTATTCACCTGAGAGGGATGGGGAAAGAGTGAGCCCTCTTTAACTTCTGGATCTACTTCCAGATGCTTTAGGGAGTTTATTAAGAAAAAGTGCTGGCTGGGTGCATTGGCTCATGCCTGTAATCCCAGCACTTTAGGATGCCAAGGCGGGCAGATCACCTGCGGTCAGGAGCTTGAGGCCAGCTTGACCAATGTGGCAAAACCCCACCTCTACTAAAAATACAAAAATTAGCCAGGTGTGGTGGCGGGGGGCGCCTGTAATCCCAGCTACTGGGGAGGCTAAGGCAGGAGAATCGCACAAACCCAGGAGGTGGAAGTTGTGCTTTGGAGCTAAGGTCATGCCACTGCACTCCAGCCTGGGCAACATGGTGAGACTCTGTCTCAAATTTAAAAAAAAAAAGTGCTATTTCATAGAATTCTGTGTGACAACTTAACTGCCCAATGTGGTTGGCTTTAGGTGAGGCAGATGCCCTAGGACTTCTGATCTCACTAACTGCCATCAACAGTTCTGCACTGCTGATGCCAGAAAGGCAGGCAGATCTAGAGGCCCAAGTGACCTATACATATAGGCAAAGATGACCTAGCAGAGCTGAGGACATGAGATTTGGAGTCAAACCTGGGATCAAATTTTGATTCTTCGAATTACTTGCTCAAGGGATAACTAAAGATTTCCTCACTGGTCAAAAGATTCCTCCTTTCTATGGAAAGTGTGAGTGACACCTAAGGAGCTAATGTTAGGGGTGTGAGCTGGCAGCTTCTAGGCAACTAATGGTTCTATTTCTTCTTCCTTCTCTATCTACCCCAACCTCAGACTTACTCTCCAGGTTCTCTGACTTTCAGTGAGCCATCAGAGTTGAAAAGCAAGCATATATTCTGTTTTAAAAATATTTGAAAACCTATCTCCCAAATCTCAGCTCATATAGTCAATTACGTTGTTAACTTATTTGAAGTACATATATTCAGACAGAGCCAAGGGGTTTTCCTCAATTTTTAGCTATAAAAAGTTTGATAATTTAAGTGTTTGGATATTTTCTAATTGCTATTAAAAGAACTTCTGTGTGATTTCTCAAAGGAATCACAGTCACTTAAAATCTGGACAGTACCTTCAAGGGGAACTAGACCTTCATTCTCAGCTACCCCAGAAGGATGGGCTCCTTTTTTTTTCTTTTGTGTGGACCCCAGTGGAGATGACAGTGTAACCATTGGCAACTCTATCTACAGAGTGATCATGAATCCCTCACCGAATATGTTTACACTGAGAAATGTTGCTTACTCTCATGTAAGTGCAGGAAAAAAAATGTCAGTTTTTAGAATCACAAAGTGATTCAGGAAGTGAATAAAGGCCTTTAAAACATCTTAAGATTCACTGTGAGGAGATGCTTGTTGGATTTTCCTTTTAGGAATATATAAATATGGTTAGTCTTTTTTAGTGACAAAAAGCAGGAAGCAGTTTCCCTTAAATCTTACGATTCCATCGATCGACTCATATATTATGGGAGAGAGTGACGGTTGCAGTCTGAGGTGATTTGCATGAGACCCTACTTTATACTCCAATTATTACTGTACATGATTACAGGACAACCTGGTTGTTAATTGCCTGTGGTCTTTAAATATGCACTTCTTTCAGAAATAGACACTAATTATTAGATCTTGTTTTTGGTCTCACCCGAAGTTGTAAATGTCTAGGATTTTTTTTTTTTTAATTTGCAAGTCTAATGATATACAGACATAGTAAAACTGATCTCATTCTGAATCCTGTTCAGGGTGAACGTTCTCTGGGATGTAAACTATCAAAGATTGTGAACTTGGCTTTCAGTTCTTTGTAGGTGTTCATGTGAGTCTCTTGACAAAACCTGTATGTTTGCTATCAGAATGCTGAAGGAATTTTATCTTTCTAAAATATAGATGAAAATTGGTAAACAAGTTGAAAAAAATCTACTTCTCCCATAATTAAATATAATAGAAATAACATCAAAGTATTATTACATATTAGATATTCTCCCAATTCCACCAAGATAAAAATTTTGTGTTTGGGAGCTGTGGTTGGAATTATGCTAGGAAAAAGGCAGTTTGTTTTGTGTGTTGGGCTCTCCTCTTTTCTGGCTTCAATGGCTGAATTAGGGAATTGATCCTGAATTTGATAGAGCTGCAGTTGTTCCTGTCTTTAAGCCAAGGTTGGTGAACTCATGTGTCTACAGGGGATAGAGTGATGAGGTACAAGTGTGAAGCCAGTGAGCAGGAATCCTGGACTAACAAGAGTGCACAAGCCTTGCCTAAGGATGGCAGCTGCTACTCAGTTTTAGCAGATTTATCTCAGATAGAAATTCTGATTTAGATGTGAAATATAGCAATTTAAAAATATTGGATGTATGATTTGGTTTTTAAGAAAGTAGTGTGCTAAGCAGAGAAAACATTCTAGTGCGACTTCTAGTTTTAACACATGCTCTTCCCACTTCCTTTCCTGGTTTTTGTCACCCAGCTAATGCCTATTACTTTTTCTCTACTTGATTTAGCTGCATGTTCCAAGAAGCCTTCTTGGGTCTGTATAAGAGGTGCCTCCTGTGGCTCTTGTAGCCTCTTTTCTATGCCTATATCCACTTTTAAACAATGTTATAATTGCTTCTTTATCTTTTTGTTTTGTTCCCTGGGCTATAGAATCCTTGAAGGCCTCCACAAAATACTGATTGGATGAATAAGTTTGATGAATAAATGATGGTGGGCCCAGGGTTTCCTCAGGACATAGAGTTTTTTCCTTCCTTCTTCCTTCCTTCCTTCCTTCCTTCCTTCCTTCCTTCCTCCCTCCCTCCCTCCCTCCCTCCCTCGCTCCCTTCTCTTCGTCCCTTCCCTCCTCTCCCCTCCGCTCCCCTTCCTTCCTCCCCTCCCTCTTCCCTCTTTCCTGTTTCCTCCCCTCCCCTCCCTTCCTTCTTCCCTCCCTTCCTTCCTTCCTTCCCCTCCCCTCCCCTCCTTCCTTCACTACCCTCCTTCCTTCTCTCCCCTCCCCTCCTTTCTTCCCTCCCACTACCCCCTCTCCCTGACGCAGGGTTTCGGTCTCCCAGTTAATATAGGGCCTATGGCCATTCCAAGGCTTCTCCTAGAACCTCCAGATCAATCCTTCAATAAAATCTGTATCCCAAATTCCTGTGTAATCAAACTGCCTTAGAAAGGAGGGTGAACAAAGGGAGGGCAGGTCTAGGAAGATTTGGAACCCAAAGCCCTCTTGTCTTAAAGTGTGTTGTTACCTGTTTTATTCTTGCTGCTTTTCTCCTTTTTATTTCCCCTCAATCAACATATTCTAGGAAAGGTAGAGTGCAGATGTGTTTTTGTGACTCAAAACCATATGAAGCCAAAATGAGTCTTTTTCCTGTCATAATTATAAGTAGGGCCTTAGGCTGTGTTTACTGCCTCTAAAATAAACGTGGTACTTAGCTTCTCAGTTGCAACACTTCCCAGCTTTTATGGAAAAAAAAAAAAAACAAAAATAAAATGTTATTTTAAAAAGTAGTGTCAGAAAGTAAATAAATTACCCTTAATAGTGCTGTATGTTTTAAAAAAATATTTTGGAGGGACTGTTCAGTAAAACCTTCAAAACAAAACTATACCAAACAAACTACTTTCTAGATTTGGCAGCTGGTCATATCTCACTCTATTATAACTAGTCAGTCTACTTTTTAAATTTTTTTCTCAAATTATGTGTGGTGTCAGAGTGGTATAGTAGTGTAACACCTAGTCTCTGTTGCCAGGCTAAGTTCAGTTTTCAGCTCTACCATGAACCCGCTGTGTACTTAGGGACCAATTGCTTAACTTCTGTATGTCTCAGATAGTTCTGTAAAATGAAGATCTTAGTAGTACCTAACTCATAAAGTTATTGTGAGGATTAAATGAGTAGAAAAAAAGCAAAACCCTTAAAATAATGTCTGGCACATAAATGCTCTTTACATAATTCACTTATTTTTTGTTAAGTCAAGTGTATTGAGGTATAATTTGTAGTATAAAGTGCAGTAAAATTTACCCTTTATAATTTACAATTCTATGAGTTTTGATAAGTTTATAAAATTTACCCTTTATAATTTACAATTCTATGAGTTTTGATACAGTTATGTAATGAGCACTGTGATCAAGCTGTAGAACATTCCTATCAGCCTCACCATTCTTTCATGCCCTTTGTAGTCAGTCCTTGTACCCCCATTCCCAGACCCTGGCAACCACTGATCTGTTTTCAGATTCTGTGCTTTGCTTGTACAGAACATGATATAAACAGAAGCACTGGAATCATGTAGTATGTAGACTTCTGAATCTGGCTTCTTTTGCTTAGTACAGGGATTAGTAGACTTTTCTGTAAAGAGGCAGAGAGTAAATGTTTAAGGCTTGCAGTCCATATAGTCTCTGATGCAACTATTCAGCTCTGCTATTATAGTCATGGACAACACATAAATGATTGGATGTGGCTATCTTCCAGTGAAACTTTGTTTACAACAACAGGGAGCAGCCAGATTTGGGCTGAAGACCATAATTTGCTGACCCCTGATTTAGCATATTGCATTTGAAGTTCATTCGTGTTGCTGTGTGTAGCAGTAGCTTGTTCTCTTTTATTTCCGTTTATTATTCCATTGCTTACACAGTTTGTTTAGTCATTCACCAGGTAAAGGATGTTTTAGTTTTTTTTTCCAGTTGAGGACGATTATGAATAAAGCCATTGTAAATTTTTGCCTACAGGCTTCTGTATGAACACAGATTTTCATTTCTTTTGGGTAACTATCCAGGAGAGGGATTGCTTGGTTGTGTAGTGTGTGTTTACCTTTATAAGACACTCCTGGCCAGGCACGGTGGCTCACACCTGTAATCCCAGCACTTTGGGAGCCCGAGGCTGGTGGATCACGAGGGCAGGAGTTCAAGACCAGCCTGGCCAAGATAGTGAAACCTGTCACTACTAAAACTATAAAAATTAGCCAGGCGTGGTGGCAGGCACCTGTAATCCCAGCTACTCAGGAGGCTGAGGCAGGAGAATCGCTTGAACCCGGGTGACAGAGGTTGGAGTGAGCCGAGATTGTGCCACTGCACTCCAGCCTGAGTGACAGAGTGAGACTCCATCTAAAAAAAAAAAAAAAGACACTCCCAAACTGTTTTCCAAAATAGCTGTATAATTTTGCATTTCTGTAAGCAGTGTAAGAGAGTTTCAATTGTGTTGCATTCTCACCACCACTTGGTATTCCCTCCCTACCTTTTTTTTTTTTTTTTTTTTTTTTTGAGACAGAATATCCTCTGTCACCTAGGCTGGAGTGCAGTGGTGTGATCTCGGCTCACTGCAGCCTCCTTCTCCTGGATTCAAGAGATTCTCCTATCTCAGCCTCCTGAGTAGCTGGAACTATAGGCGTGTGCCACCATGCCCGGCTAATTTTTGTATTTTTAGTAGAGATGGGTTTTGACACATTGGCCAGGCTGATCTTGAACTCCTGACCTCAGGTGATCCTCCTGCTTTGGTCTCCCAAAGTGCTGGGAGTGAGCCACTGCACCTGGCCTTTTTTTTTTTTTTTCTTTTTTTTAAATTTTAACCATTGTAAAAGACCATGAAGATTCTTGGAAACCTGAATAAAGCTATATTCAGTTGGAAGCTCTTGAAGGGTTTTATACATGGAAATGACATTATTTGGGTTTTTAAATGATCACTCCGGTTGTAATATAGAAAATGATATGGAAGGAGGCTGGGTAAATGTGTGAAGGCCTTTGGGAGAATATCATGTTAGTATAGGGGAGAGGGAAGATACCTTGATTTGAGAGGTAGCAGTGGAGATGAAGTGACTAGATATGGAAATGTTTTAGAAGATGGAACTGATAAACTCAGTGATTGAGCAGATATAGGACTTAAGAGACGGGGAGCTCTCAAGGTTGTTTCCACATTTCTGGCACCAGCAACTACATTTATAATGACACCCTTACTGAGATGAGGAACATTGACAGAGAAAAAGGTTTGAGAAGATAAAGTAATTGGGTCAATTTTGAGATATATGTAAGACATCCAAATGGAGGTCTCAAGTAGGCAGTGTGAGATCTGGGTTCCTGAATGGTGGAACAAAATTAGAAATTATTGTGGTATAAAGGATATTTGATGATATGGGGTACATAAGATTTTCTCTCTCTCTCTTACTGTCTGTTGAGTTTAGTGATTTGAGGAGAGTGAATTGGATAGACCTAAGAGGAAATTTGGTGTTTAATTTTGGGCAGTAGAGTGACTCACAAAGGAAGCTAAGAGAGAGTGGTTCAAAGAGGCTGGAGAGAGAGAGAGTTGTCCCCCAGATGCCCAGGTGAGTGAACAATCATTTGTGCATTTATTGGATTTGGTGGCATAGTTGGCATTTAGTCAGTTTTGTGGTTGTTGGTAGTGGTTGGATGTATGTGAAAATTCAAATTAGGGTGAGTGTGAGGAGTAAGGAGTGAGGCAGTAGAAAAAAAACAAGATTTACAGGTCTATCGGGAATTTTTAGGATAGTTGTTAGAGATACATGTAAGAGGTGTTTATTATTGTTGAGACTGAGATAGGTTAGAGCTTGGTGATGAGAAGGACAAGGGAGGGAGTGAATATAGGAGAAACTGTTGTTAATGGAATGAGATCCTCACACACTAGTGATGCCTTTCAGATCCAGCAAACTTGATGAAGGGAAAACTCAGTCAAGATTAATGTTCACAGTTAGAGTAGAATAGAGGACTTTTAGTATTACCAAGTTCTAATGAACTATATCATAATATGGTCTTTAAACTTATTTCTCAAGTATTTCTCGAAAACTTACCAAGCAGAAAATGTCAGCAATCTTTCTGATGTGTGAAAATGCTCTGGCGGTTTAGTCACTTGTCAGTCTCATGTCCAAGTCCTACCCATCTGTCCTGGCGCAATTGAAACCCTCAAATGAAAGACTCTCCCTCCCTCATCTGAATGGCCATAGCCTGGTGTTTTTTTCCCTCTAGGGTGGCATTTATTCTTTCTATGTACTTGTTATATATATGTATGTGTGTGTGTGTGTGTGTGTGTGTGTG
Source organism: Homo sapiens (assembly GCF_000001405.40). Lineage (NCBI taxonomy): Eukaryota > Metazoa > Chordata > Mammalia > Primates > Hominidae > Homo > Homo sapiens. The sequence goes on from NC_000002.12 coordinate 156,493,955, forward strand.
TGTGTATAATTTTTTTCCTCATTAGATGGAAGGCAAAGACCATAATTGAAATATGTTAATGTTCTCTGTAGTACCTACTGGTTACATTTATTTAGTTAACAAACTAAATGTATATAAAGGTAAAAAATAGGGACATGGTTATTAGCAGATAATTAAAAGAAGCTATATGAAAAATAAGATTTTTGTGGTTTGGTGTCAGAATTTGTAGCCTGATAATAAGTTTTTGTTTTTATGAAATTTAGTAAAACATGTTTTGAAAGTTCCTAATCATATGTGACTAAAAGATCAAATTATTTAACAGAGTGATAACAGCAACAACTCTGGTGGTTACTTTGTCATTTACCAGTGACTTTCAGATTATTATTCCATTCAGACTGAGGATAATCCAAAGATACAAGGAGAAATCACAGGGATTTTTGTCACCATTTTACAAGTGAAGAAACCAGAGATAATGAGTCAACAGTTACATTGCTGGTAACCAGGTGCTAAATCCCAGGCTGGGATCTTCTGATCCTAATGTGGGTTTCTTTCAGTTTACCCAATGGCTTCTAGATTTACTTTCATAGAAATCCAATTGGCCTGATAATAATTAAATGCAACTGCAGGGGGTAAGTGGGTTTCCTTTATTTGAATGAATTTAAAAAATCACTTATTTTGGGTGATTAGGATAATCTCTTGGTAACGCCTGAGATTACCTCCTCTTGCACATGCTTTGGCCTGTTGGCCTAGAGCTTCAAATGGGGCTCCTGCAGCAGAATGGGAAAAACACCACCATCATGGATTGCAATGATGCTGTGATTTGAAGAAAAGAAAATGGAAGTCACATATCTGTGGAATACTAATAGAGCAATGCTGGCCAGTACTGTTTGCTATAGTGAACAAACCTAGTATTAGCATTTTGGAAAAAAACCAAACACCATTTTCCTGGGTTTCTGACTCTGCCTTCTGGCAACTACTTATTTTTAAAGTCCAGGATCATTTTTTATTTAGGATGAAAAGCTACATTCTTTAAGAAACTAGAAATATGGAAGGTCATTATTTTTTAGGAGGACTATGTCAGGGCCTTTAATTATATTATTGTTGAAGTTTCATAAAAACTGTAATAATGGGCTGGGTGCAGTGGCTCATGCCTGTAATCTCAGCAGTTTGGAAGGCCGAGGCAGATGGATTGCTTGATTGATTCTAGGAGTTCGAGACCACGCTGGGCAACATGGTGAAACCCCATCTCTTCAAAAAATACGAAAATCAGCCAGGCTTGGTGGCGCACACCTGTAGTCCCAGCTACTCTGTAGGCTGAGGTGGCAGATTCACCTGAACGTGGGGAGGATGAGGTTGCAGTAAGCTGTGATAGTGCCACCGCACCCCAGGCTGGGCAACAGAATGAAGCCCCATATCAAAAAAATCCAACAAACTGTAATGGTATATTTATATTACTTTCAATGTATAGAATCTATGGTTTTATATTAAAATATTTAGTATGGAAGTCTTTGACTAAATTTTTCTGAAAAATATAATTCTCATTAAACATAGCTCATTATTTAGTACCTTCTGTTAAATAAATTCTTTTTAATTGTACTGACTTTAACTTATGTACCCCCAAACTCTAGAATATAGTTTTGTCAGGAGAACTGAGGAATGAAGAATGTATACTTCTGAGAAAGTGTGGAAAGACATGAAGTCCTTTTTCCTCCTCCTTCACCACTTTAATATGTCATCTGAATGAATTGCTAGTACTGGGTAAAAAAATCTCCTTATGTTCCCTTATAAATTGCCTTAGATAAGGTATTTGGGAATTGCTATACAGTGTTGTGAATAATTGAACTTGGCTGTATATGAAGCAGTTGAGACATTGAATCTGAAACCAGGTGTCCTATGGCTAAATAGTTGTGATTCATGAAAAGAAATACACCGAGAAATGTAAGGATTGTTTTCCCCCAAGGCAGTTGGTCCTATAACTCTATGTGGACTGTGGACTCTCTTTAGCTCTTATATTCCTTATTTCTATTAGAAATTTCCTTTTAGTATATTGTAAAATTTGTTAAATTGACATTCCAAATGGACAACTGAAAGTGATCTGCTTTTACATCAGATGAACCTGGCCTATGTTAAAGCAGCAGACTGCATTTCAGAACCAGTTAACAGGGAGCCTCCTTCCAGAGAAGCTCAGCTACTGACTTTGCAAAACACATCTGAATTTGATATCCTTGTTATTGGAGGAGGAGCAACAGGAAGTGGCTGTGCGCTAGATGCTGTCACCAGAGGTAAGTCTTTTTTTTTTTTATTTTAATTTTAAGTTCTGGGGTACATGTGCAGGATGTGCAGGTTTGTTACATAGGTAAGTGTGTGCCATGGTGGTTTGCTGCACCTATCAACCCATCACCTAGGTACAAGCTCAGCATGCATTAGCTATTTATCCTGATGCTCTCCCTCCCCCTGCCCCACCCCAAAGGCCCCAGTGTGTGTTGTTCCCCTCCATGTGTCCATGTGTTCCCATTGTTCAGCTCAGAGGTAAGTCTTGATGTGGATAACACTTCATCCTTTCTCCCAGTAAATACACAATATGCAGTCTATAGTAGTGAGGACACATTTCTCTCTTGTTTCCAGATTTTCCATCCTTAATGAAGCACCTTCACAGTTTTTGAAATATAGGCACTGCACAACTTTAAAATGAAATATAACTCATTTCACTTCAATGAATTTGTTTAAAAAGAAAACTATATTTTATGAGTTTATATTTTATGAGTTTATTAATTTGTTCTGGTTTTTTTTAAAGCACATATTTATATTTATATAAAATAAAAACATTTTTATATCACTTGAAATCACATATCAGTCAATGGTAGAAAAATTTATTAAGCTGAAGTAATTTATTAAAATAATTATCTTTGTTCATGTATCTCTTAAAATCATCTCTTCAGTGAAATATGGACTGCAGTTTGCGAAACTTTAGTTCATGCGAATAAATAATGGAAAATATCACTAATCTATAGTTCTGTCTCAGTCATTCTGTCTATTAGTGGAAAGGCATGATGAAAATGGAAACGAGACATGTAATGAAAGAAATTTTAGTATAGAACACCAATGCTCTTGGATATGTTGTGTTTAATAAAATACTATGTTTGTTTTGGCTGTGGGTATTAGCGTGGAATTTGGAGTCAGGGAAATCTGGGTACTTATCCTGGCTTAACTTCTTTAACAGATGTGTATGTGTTGGTGGACGGGGGGCAAAGCACTTAATTTGTCTAAGGTTCCTTGTCTTTCAAATGAGGAAAAAATACCTTCTCTGAATGATTGTTGTGAGAGTTACATGTTAATCATGAAGAGACTTAGAACGGTGCTTGTCACACAAAGTAGCAGCTCAGTAAATTATAGATAGTATTATAGCTACTATTACTAACATGAATGTAAAAGACTTTCAGAACCAATTGTCTTGGAGAAGGACTCCACTGTGGTATCCTCAGATGTCTCGAATTGGGTAGGATACTGCTGCAAGGAATTTTGACTGTGGAATATTTTGGTTGCTATATAAAGTTCAATATTTATTATATTTTAACACTGAATGGGAATGATTTATTAGATGGAATAATTCTTCTCAGATCAATTAAATTACTACTGCAGCCACTCTTGATTTAGTTACTTTATGTACCTGGCAGAATCTACTCTTATGGAAATGAAATGAATTTAATGAGGTCTACACACACACACACAAAAGTACCCTAGATGACTGATTTCACAGGATCCACACTCAGGTTTTGGTCCATGCAGACCTCACAGCCTAAGTTGTTTTTGTCAATGCTAAATAATGGCAAGTTCAAAATACAGGCACAGGAAGTCTACTCTGTTACAAAGTTGACCCCAATTTTCATAAAATTTTCTGTCTCCAACCATGAAATATAATTTGAGCCAGATTAACCTTGATACACTAAGGCCTAAAGGAAGAACAGTTTGAGAATAGTTTTTGAGAATAGATAATTTGAATTCAGCTTTTTTCCCCTTGAAGGCCTGGGAAAGAAGGTGGAAAGAGGGGACACATTCCCAACATAATGGGAGGTCTTGTTTGGAACTACCCCTCCAAGAAATTAGAATTTACTAGGTGATAATTTTGTATATCAAAGAGGATCATTTCCCCAGTAGGATTCAGGAAAGTGTATTTCTTGGTATCTGCAGGCATTTTCATGCTATGCACTAAAATATGTAGCCATTCTTTTTATTTTAGTTTTACAAATATATGCTGAGTGCCTGCTGTCTGCATGGCGATATGCAAGGTGCTACAATGAGCATACAAAGATGATAGAGTTGGTACCGTTAGTGTGCCCACAGTTCTATAGTGCTTGTTTGCACAGACCACATTACATGATAGAGAATATGTGAGCCTTTTAAAAGGCTCAGGGCCATTACGGACACTGAAACATGAGGGTAGTCATATCTACATAGAATGGTCAGGAGTGGGAAACTTTACTTATGCTGTTTGGCATAGGTAACATTTTAATAGGCAAACATTGCTTGCTCAAAGTGTTCCAGTCTGAGAAAATGTGCAGGAGGAACAGCGTGGAATCAGTGTATGTGGGAGACAGCATGTGTTGTAATTTGGAGCATTGAGGCTATATATGAGAGAACACATGAGAGAAGAGTGGAAAGGCAGGGCTGGGTCTGGTATGCTAGGGGAAAGCCTTTGGGCTTTATTGAATAGATCACTTGGAGATACTGCCTTAGGTTTGGTGATGGGGAATGGATACACGATACTGAAGGAACAGTCATAAGCATAGGCTTTCAAGAGATGTGGAGAAAAAGAAAATAGAAAGGAGGTAACTTGATGGTGTGGTAGGATATAAAGAAGGGAGACAGTATGTTTCACGGATTTTTTTCCTTTTTTCTTTTTATAAAGATAAGAGTAATCTGAATATTTCTGTAGACTCAGGGGAGAAAAGTCAGTGCTAGGGGAGAAGAACCTTAATATGCAAGTATTAGGTTGTCATTACTTTTAAATGTCATGTACCAACCTAATAGTAGAAGGCAAACATAAGGAACAAGGTCTTGTGAAAATACAAGGAAAGAGATATCAGAGATGTATCTTGGTTTTAGCAGGAAGGTAAGAGACTTGTTTCTCAGGGATAGAAACAAAGGGTAAATTCTAAGACATAAAGAGTTTGTGTGAGTATGAAGAGCTACTCTTAAACAAATACGAGGTGAGATGTTCTACTTATGGGTGGGAGTAAGGGATGTCATTGCAGAGAATGTGACAGGAAAATAGGGGTTTCTTTGCTGTTAGAAAATTTTAATTTATTATCCACATGAGACATTTATGTGTGTATATATGTGTGTGTTTGTGTGTCCAGTATTACTGAGAGTAGAGGTACAGAAAATAGAAAGTCACATAGAATCTGGAGTTGAGAACTGAGTGGATATCAATGATGAAAAGAAAAAATGAGACAAGATTCTATGAAAACAGAGGAAATTGTTGAAATGTAGGCCTGGAGCTGATAAGGGGTCATGAAGTTACAAAGCCAGGCTTCCCTGGAAGAGTTAAAGGTCAGATTGCAAGACTTCAAGTGCAGTAATAATAAGGCAATCACTAAGTGACTTTTATTCTTTTTCACCTTCTGAAAAGTCTTACTATATTTGCCTTTGTGCACTTTGTATATTTATAGTTTTTAAAAAAATAGACAAGATTGTATTTCTTTTTTGCAGTGTGTTTCTTTCAAATAGTAGTGTGTTTATATCAATCTTTACATTTATATAGTATTCATGATTTTTAATGGGAAAATTCCATTTTATTTATTTTCATTTAATAACTTTATGGAAAAACTCATTGCAATGATGTTCTTATTAATTATTCTTTAGGTTGTTTTTGGGTGGTTTTTTTTTTTTCTATTTAAAACAATGCTATTTGTCAATCAAGTTCTGAACCAGCTCTGAGAATAGTAAGACTAGTAAGATGTGGCCTTGATTTCAAGGAACAACTTAGCAGTTTATTACTATTTATTGAACAAATAAACTTTTTCTTCTGGCAGTGAAGGGCATTCTGTAGTGATCAAGGTATTAGCTAGTATATTAGCAGATGATTGTGGGTGATGATAGTTGTGGTGGTGATGATAAGGATGACAATTTTGAATAGTTAAGAGTTTCCAGAGCCTGAAAGTTGATCAGGTTTTTAATTTTTACAGTTAACAGTAGCTAAGAAAACGATGTATTTTTAATATATCTTGGCATATTAATTGTGGTCTTAAAATAATTGCCTGTCTTATTTTATATATGTGGAATTATGATTTATAAAAAGGATGGGCAAACTTTAGCTTGTATTTCTCTTATTATGCTGGTAGCCCTCTGGGAGTAGCATTTATAATTAAAATTTATAAAGAGATGGCTGAAGGTAATCTATATTTATCCTTTTACTACAATTCCTGATCATATCAGTGGCCCTCTGAAGTGTGAAATAATCATGGGCATTTGGTTAATGAATTGTGCATTGTTGCTGTTCATTCATGGAATTTGCTCTTTTATCATATTTGATGCTTCACTTAACAACAAATTTTGCTTTCTCTGCATTTGATATGTTTTTACCAAATTATTCCTGATTGTATCCATTAATCTTTAGTCACATTTGACAAAAATAAATTACTGTGATCTTTTAAAGTTACCAGTAATAATTAGATTTTTCAGGACATCAAAGTTTTGGGGGGAACCACTAGATGTTAAAGGACTTGTACAAAAATGTTTGCATGAGCTTTTTGATAAAATACTGTGCCCAAATGCAATTTTAGTAATGGATAAACAAAGACTATAGAGGACAGACAAAAAGTCATGGAGTCTTCATAATGAACATTTATTTGCATTCTTATCATCTGCATTTTCTTGGGAATCAATTTTCATTTGTTTCATTTGGGAATATTATTTTATAAACACAATATGCAGACTTCTCCTCACGTTCTCCTGCAGGTCTCTAGGATCAATAGAAATTGCTTCACTCTTTAACACCTCTGTGTCCCGTTCTAGGACAGAAGCATGTCCCAAAAGCCCAGTTGTGGGCACTTTGCTCCCAAAGGAAGCTGGAAAAGGAGAATCTGTTAAATATATTCACTCCCACAGGTTCTTCAAGGTGTTCTCTTTAGCTTTTTATGTTCTTTTATGTAACTTTACCTGTATGTATCTGGGATTATCTAGTACATTTTTGGTTTAAAATCTGATGTATTTGCATTCTTGGTGGGCCTGTAGAAAATAAAATAAGATCTGATGTATAAAATTTAACCTTTATGTCTTCAGTTCAAATTCCAGAGAAGACTGCCTCTTTCTGGAGGAAAATATTAATTGTAGTTCTCTTGTTTACAAATGGAGACTTTTATAAATGGTATTTGGCTAGCAATTCTTGAATTCCCACTATAATTCCTAAGGCAGTATAGCGCAGTGATTAAGGACACATATTATGGAATTAGAATGAACTTGGGTCATGTCTTGGCTTCATTGCTTACTACCTCTGTGACCTTCGACAAGTGGCTTAACCTTACAGAGAGCCTTAAGTTTCTCAGGCATAAATGGAGGATAATAATAACATTCTTCTCTATAAATAAACATTTGGGAAAGGAAGGAGATGTGTGCATTGTAGGATAAATGCAGAAAAGGGAGAGCCTTGGAGATAGTGCATTCTGAGAATTATGGTCTCCACCCATCCACCATGAAGGTAGGAGAAAATTCTACTTCAGAAGGTAGAATTGCAGGAAGTAAAAGTTTGCTCTTTGCTGGACACAGCTAATTAGACTAGATTGCAAATTTCTCTTAAAATTAATCTGGAGATTTAACATAATTTTAATTAATGTAGTGCTTTCCTTTGGCCAGGGTCAGCGGAATCGACTTAAGAAACTGTAAAACTTTAAGAAGAGAACTACGCCTGTGAGATTTACTAGACTGATTTTGAAAAAGACTACTGATAAGGGAAGTAGAGACCTATCAGATACTAAAGTGTATTCTAAAACTACTGTAATTAAAATAATCTGGTAAAGGAACAGAGAATCAGTCATGGAGTCTATAAATTAGTCTATCAGTCTTTAAATACATGAAGTTTAGAATATGGTAAAGGCAGCATTTCAAAACTGTCATCATTAGTTACTTAATAAATGATGTTGGGGTATCCACTCCCCCCGATTTATATATATGCATGTGTGTGTGTGTGTGTGTGTCTGTGTATGTATGCATGCATATATATTCTGTTTTATCATATTCCATGTGAATCAAGGATGTAACTTTAAAACATCATAAAACTATTAGAAGCAGGTATATGTAAATTTTTTTTAAAAATTGGGTAGGAAAGGTGTTTTTAAGTATGACAGCAAAAAGCCATAAAGGAAAAGCCTGCTTTTGATTTTATAAAAATTAAAATGTATCCATGGCAAAAGATGTAAAAGCAAAAAGGTGAAATTTGGGAAATATTTACAAAATAGCAAACAGACAGGGTTTATCTCAGGTTTTTATTTCAAGTTTTGTTTTGTTTTGTTTTTGGAGACAGAGTCTCACTCTATTACCCAGGCTGGAGTGCAGTGGCTCCATCATAGCTCACTGCAGACTCAACCTCCTGGGTTCAAGAGACCCTACCACCTCAGCCTCCTGAGTAGCTGGATCTAAAAGTGTGTGCCACCAGGCCTGATGAGTTTTTAAATTTTTTGTAGAGATGAGGTCTTGCTGCATTGCCAGGCTGGTCTAGAACTCCTGAGATCAAGTGGTTCTCCCACCTTGGCCTCCCAAAGTGTTGGGATTACAGGCAGGAGCCTCTGTGCCTGGCCATTCTGCACTTTTCTAAATCCTTTTGTTATGTTATATCTGTGATAAATAGTATATAGCTAGATTATATTTATTTGTTTTATTTCTTTTTACACTTAATAGACTATGTCTTTTAATCAGTAAATGGAATCCATTTACATTTTTTTTATTCCATGTGCATTTGCTTTGTATTTTTTTTAATCTTTCATGCTTTTTATTTTGCTTCTTTTCCCCCTTTTCTGCCCTTATTAGATCAGTTTTGTTTCATGCTCTTTTTCCATACCCTCAACTCTGTAAGTATAGTAATGACCATGAGAGACTTTTCTTGGAACCAAAAGACTCCTGCCCTTGTTGATTTTGGGGACCTTGCAGACTAGCTGCTGAGACAAGTGGTGCCTTGGCTGTGGTGCTGGTGCCAAGGCTGTGTCTGTCTTTCTGCTTCCTGGGCCCAGAGAGTGGTCAAGAGAAGCTTGTCAACCTCCTTGCACAAGAGGCAGAGACTTTCTTCAGTCCCAGCAATCAAATGCTCCTCTGGCTTTTTTACCTTTCCTTGTAATGGATATTTATATTCCTCTTACCCTTTTGGAACTGAGATCTTGATTGCCTTTGCCCATTTTTAGACCTTGAACCTAGCAAGAGAGAAGCTTTTGGTCTAAACATTCTGCTCTGAGTTTCTGTTACATTTCAAGTCCATTGAGTTTTAATCTTATTTTTGAGTCAATTATGTCCTTTAAAATATATGCATATATAATTTTCTGTGTTTTTAAGAAGAAGAAGAGTTCAAAGCTGAGCTTACAATGTCATACGGGTCAGAATTTTATTTATAACAATATTTATAATGGCAAAAAATTGGAGTCTGGCTTAATAAATTGGATATTCAGTTATTGAAAAGAGATAGATGTATAAGTATTTACAGGGAAAATGGCTAAGATGTGTTACAAATTTTAAAAAAGCAAGTTGTGAAGAATGAGTGCTAATTTTTATTTGTTTTTAAAGCGAGATGGTATCAGATAGTGTTCTTTAGTAAGCATAAAAAAGTTTCTGATAAAATATATAAGACAGTTTTAATAGTTAACATTGTTTACCTGTGGATTTTGTAACTAGGAAACCAGGAGGCCATTAGTATAGTTTTTTACATCATTATCTTTTTTTGCCTTTCTATATTATTTGGATATTCTTCCTCTCTTTGAACATTGGGTATGTTTGATAATACCAAAGTAAAAATAAAACGCAACAGCAGCAACTCCCTTATTCCTCAAAATTGTGTTATTGCAATTGTTACAGCCTAGTACAGTTTTGTGACTCCATAATCATGTGTGTACTTAACAAACATTAAAGTATGTTAATGATGTGTTCTAACAACATCATATCTCTATTAATCTGTTTTCTAATATATCTGTTTTCTAATATAAACATAGAAATAAATAACCAACTCAATATCATATATTTATATAAAATGCTAATATTCACTTTTGGAAAATACCAGGCCAAAGCATTGTATCGTGATCGTGAGGATTAACAAGTCAGGATTACTTTGCAGCTTTACAAGAGGATAATATTTTAGAGGAATTGATCCTTCCCATAAAATGTTCAGCCTTCGGGTTAGTCCCTTTTCTTATTAATGGCAATGGCTGTCTGAAATCCAAAGTTAAGTGCCCAAAGCTTTTCTAAAGAAAGATAAACTCACCTTTAAAAAAAAAAACTATATTATTTTTCCTACATGCAGCATGTGGCTTTAATACCTGTTCTTATGGTGCTAACATACAAAGCATCTTAAATTTTTTGATTTTTTGTGCTATTATCTTGGTGTCTCTGATACTTATTTCAGAGTGATTATTCTCACCTTTCTATTTAGAAATATCTTAATAGTGACATTTCTTAAAATTTGTTCTAATGATATAATTAAAGATACAAGGAGTTTAAATGAAAATATAATCTTGCAGCACTATCTGTAATAGTGAAACAATGGGATAATCCAAATATTCAAAAATAAGAAATTGAATAAATTATTAAAATTAATAGAATATTATCCACATGTTAAAAATGAAATTATAGAAAAATATTTATTGACATGGGTAAGTGTTTACAATAAACAGTGTTAAATGAAAAAAATTAAATCAAATATACCATATGATCCTATTTTTACAAAAATGTACATATGTGATTATATACATGCATAGAAAATGTGAACGTTTAAATACCCAAATGTCAACTGTGGTTATCTCTGAGTGGTGTGATTACAGGAGAGTTTTATTTTATTCTCTTTGCTTATCTGCATTTATTATATTGAGCATGTTTTCATGCATAATAAGATAATCAGTAAAAGGTATTAAAATATACTTCTGTTCTATTTCATGTTGTGAAAGTTAAATGTCGTACCATTTTTCCTCTTAGATTGTAATTATCCTTCTATATTCATCCAACTGTTTTGATCCATGAATTGGTTTAGTTGGAAGTAATTAGAAATTCTCACTCAGGTCAGAAAAGACAAAGCTGTAAAGAGCTGTGTTAGTTCATAACTCTTGCCCCACCTAGAAGATACAATTTCAGTTTGCTAACAGATGAGATGATAAATGGAATATAGATTTCAAGTTGACTTTATTCTTCTACTCTAACTAATCTTGTTATTCTGCCTAAGATTTCAGGTAATGTTACTCCAAATATTAGTATTTTATTACTGTCGCAAAATTCCCCAGACTACCTACTAAAAGTAATCAATAATAAAAACAAAGCCTTAAATAATGATACTACCACTCCCACTAAATGTTCTGTTTCATCTTAATAGAGATACAGCTTATTGCTTTCCATAAAAAGTAGCTGCTAACAAGAAAAAAGAAAAAGAAAAACAAACTTACTATAAAATCTTGAACTAATTTAGTGAATTACCTTCACTACATAGAGAGGCCAGCCCTTCCCTGCCTGTAATGTAAGGAGGTCACTCTTTCTACTTTGAGGGAAGATCTCTCCCCAGCCTCCTCAAATCCATAGTAAGGAGTAGTTTCTTGAATCCTGGGTGCATTATTTTTTATGCCCTTCAGGCTTAATTATTTTACCTAAGAACACAAAATGCTAGCATTGAATATCACTTAATACTATTCACTATCTGAGAAGATAAAACACCTCCCTCTTTTCACTTCCTTGCTTTATACTTAACATACCAGAAAACTGAACTCTTAATTTGATTTCAGTAATTTTTGAGGTGAGGAAACAATTTGGATTTTTGAGAATTGAAACAGAAAGGGACAGATTAGATAACAGAACCACAGAAGAACCTCAAAAGGCTTTTAAAAATGTTATTGTCTTCATTGCAGTTGGTTGGTTGGTTAATTAGTTAAGAAATAGTTGAGTTGCAGCTATGACTTCTAATAATGTCTTGATTTTATTTTCCTCCTTTCTACTTCTCATTCAACAAAAATGAGAGATTTAAAACATTTAGCATATAATAGCAGTTGAAAATTAAAGAAAATTTTTAGAGTTTTTTGTGGTTTGGAAAACTTTCAGTAATACTTTTATGTTACATGGCATTTTAATATATCAATTTAGCTATAACTTTGGAAACTAAAATTTTAAGTTTTTGCTCTGGAAGGAGCAGTATCGTTTCTTTCCAGAAATTCTGGTGGGTAACTTGATAATTTGACACTAGAAATAATGGGACAAGAAAAACAGCCTGGTTTGACAGAGAGGCCCATTTTAACTTTTGTTGGTATTCACTAGGGTTTCTCACATAAGTACATGTGATAACTTTTAAAATGTCCAATACTGGAAAAAGCAGTTTTGAGAGCTTTAAAGTGTTAGCTCTCACTTAAATATCCTGAAATATCCTCCTGAGATGGCTTGCTAATTCCTAGAGTAGTTCCCTGCCTCACACTCTGTCAATTTGGGAAATTAAAAAAAAAAAAAATCCATCCTGACAACACAGCCCATAAAATTTTCTCTTTATATCACCCTTCAATACCATCTCTGCCTTCTGAGGCCGGATTCTTCATTGCCCCAACTCCTGTTATATGACACTGGTCCTCCAAAAGGTCTCCTGCCTCCAGTCCTACCTCTACCCCTCATTCCTGCAGTCAGATTAATCTTTTCTGAACCTTAATCTGATTTCTCAGCTGAAAACATTTTGATAGTTCTCCTGACAGTCAGCATAATAGTATTTCTCAAAACAATATCTGAGGACTTCTAGAAAAAATTTAAATGTTATTCCTTTTTTATAATAATAAATTAACAAGCACACCCTGGTTCCCCAGAATGGATAGCTTGTAACTGTGTAAAATACTAAAAATACTAATATTAGTGCTTGCCTGTGCATGCTACATCTTTTTTTTTTTTCTTGAGACGGAGTCTCACTGTATCACCTAGGCTGGAGTGCAATGGCACGATCTCGGCTCACTGCAACCTCCGCCTCCTGGGTTCAAGCGATTCTCCTGCCTCAGCCTCCTGAGTAGCTGGGATTACAGGCATGCACCACCGTGCCTGACAAATTTTTTTTTTAAGTAGAGATGGGGTTTTGCCAGGTTGACCAGGCTGGTCTTGAACTCCTGACCTCAAGTGATCCTCCCACCCCTCCCAAAGTGCTGGGATTACAGTCATGAGCCACTGTGCCCAGCCACTTTTTCTTTTTCTTTTCTTTTTTTTTTTTTGAGATAGGGTCTCATTCTGTCATTCAGGCTGAAGTGCAGCAGTGCAATCTTGGCTCACTGCAACTTCTGTCTTTTGGGCTCAAGCCGATTCTCCCACCTCAGCCTCCCAAGTAGCTGAGAAAACAGGCACATGCCACTATGCCCGGCTAATTTTTGTATTTTTTGGTTGATACAGGATTTTGTCATGATGTCTAGGCTGGTCTTGAACTCCTGGGCTCAAGTGATCATCCTCCCGCCTTGGCTTCCAAAGTGCTAGGATTATGTGAGCCACTCACACCTGGCCACATCTTGTTTTTTTCTGATGAAACATTTGTTTCTTAAACTGATCCAGGACACATAGCTGTGTTCTCAGAGGCATCTTCCTTTTGAGGAGATCCAGATATTACTTACTTGTGAGAAACAGTGGTTAACAGGACAAGATCCAAATACCTGAATGTGTAAGAAGAGCCCTCTGAGATCTGCCTTGCCCATTCTTTGTACCTGCACTCCAACCCCTGAGTGACAAGCAGCCCCTGGATAAGCTAGGCCACATGAAGCGTTTGCCTTCTCTTTCTTAAGCTGGGCTTTGTCGATGATCTTTCCCTTTCTTCACTCCACCTGCCCTGAACACGTACTTCTCTGTAGACTTTTCTTTCCTGATGACTCCATCCCCAGGTACAAGGAAAACTCCCATCTCTCCCATCTTGGCTATAGTTAATCTTCACACAGGGAATTGTGTCACTACAAAACTATCCCCAAAACTTGGTGGCGTAAAACAACAATTATCATCAGCCAGTTTCAGTAAGTCAGGAATCTGGGTGAGCCTTAGCTGGGTACTGTGGCTCTGCATCCCTCATAGTGGACAGTGCTTTCTAATAACTCGCATGGTTGTTGGACTGAGGTCTCTGTTCCTCACCACCTGTTGACCAGGAGCCTCCCTTTGTTCCTTAACTCACAACATGACAGCTTGCTTTACCAGAGCAAGCAAGCAGGAGGGCAATAGAGAATACTGGAAAGAGAGAGAGCACTTCCCAGTCTTTAATGACCTAATCACAGTAGTGGCACATCACCTGCTCATTAGAAGAAAGGTGCTAGTCTAGCCCACACTCCAGGGCAGGGGGTGACATACTATGCAGTTGGGATTACTGGAGACTGTCTAAGTAGTCTGTCTACCATAGCCTGTAGGATACCTTAGGGTAGGTATCCCTAAGGATAGGCCCAGGTGAGGAAGCTGTGGGCTGTGGGGGAGGCTGCTTGTCCTCTCTCAACCTTGTTTCCCTGCCTCTCATGGTGTGGGCATCTTGATGCCATGACAGTGATTCCAGGGTTTAAAGAGAGGTATATTTTAAATAATCTGGCTCTTAAATATCATTTGAAAGTCAACTCCCTCGTCTGATCTTCAGCTGAAGAAAAAATGGTCTATTTTAGTGCTAGAAGAAGAACTCTGTGTTGGACTTACTAAGAAAAGGTGATATAGCTCACTGAGATAGTGCATTCTTAAGAGATTTGCAGATTTAATTTTTCTGGGTTTATATCCTGAATTTACCTTCTAACGTGGAGTATGATGAGAGTCTTCTGGATTTTCAAACTTGGCCTCTATTAAACTGCTGCACTTTGTATACTTGCTTTTCTTTGAGCGGGGAGATACCTGACAGCCTAGTTCATGCCTAATTCACTTCTAATATCAGGATTTTGGCTCTCAATATTCTTAAAAATATGTACTAATATTTTTCTGTGTTCTTAGAATATTCACTACTAAATTCGCTAGGCATTGCTAGGGTTTTAATAGCTGAGAATTTTACAGGTCTTTCTCTGGCATATATACTTAAAAGGAGTGACCTGGGGCTGTGATACCTGTAACTTTTGTGTTATTTTTCTAGGTAGTTAAGGCATTAACAGTTTTTGCCCTTGAATCAAAGTTCTCTACTTTTCTCTCCACAGCTTCTAAATATTTTGTCCTTTTGAGTCAAGGGAATTGCCCTGATTTTATGATGACATTTGGGTACGATATTTAAACTGTTAAAAGTTATAAAAACGACCCTTTGGTATTAAATGTAATAAGTGGCTTTGAATTGAATACATGCACAGGTTCTCCTAAATGAACTTTGTGAGTCCAAACTGCTCTAGTTACGTATTCTCATTGTAACTGGATTCTATGACATTCTTTCATCCTCCAAGAGTGTTCCAGGCCATGAAAACTCCTCATGGCTTGGTGTCGATGTATTCTTTGGGTCTTTTGGCGTATTGGCTTTCATCTCTCAACTCCTGTGTGGCACTTGTAGTACTGATGGTCATCTCCAGTCCTGAAGAGGCAGGGTGTCTCTGCAGCAAAACAAAACTAGTTATCCCTAGGAGATCTATAACAGCCCTCAAGTAAAGGGGGCATGGGCAACTTCTAGAACTGACCTATCTTTGCTCAGCCTTTCCTTATCAAGAATATGTTCTTCTTTTTTTTTTTTTTTTTTTATTTCCTGAGATGGAGTCTCACCCTGTCACCCAGGCTGGAGTGCAGTGGCATGATCTTGGCTCACTGTAACCTCTGCCTCCTGGGTTCAAGCGATTCTCCGGCCTCAGCCTCCCGAGTAGCTGGGATTACAGGCGCATGCCACCATGCCACCATGCCCAGCTAATTTTTTGTATTTTTAGTAGAGACAGAGTTTCACCATGTTGGCCAGGTTGGTCTTGAACTCCTGACCTCAAGTGATCCACCCGCCTCCGCCTCTCAAAGTGCTGGGATTACAGGCATAAGCCACTACGCCTGGCAAGAATATATTCTTTACTCATGGTTACTCTGCACAGTGTTCATTTTTACTGGCTTGGATTTCTTTGTAATTCTAAAATATTGTCATGTTCAAAGGTTTTAAATTAGACTATAAACACCTCAATATCAGAACTTATTCTCTTTCTTTCTTTCTTCCTTTCTTTTTCTTTCTTTCCTTTCTTTGCTATCTCTCCCCATTGTATATCTACCATAATACCACTCCAGATGCATTTCTCAACAGAAGTCAACACACAGAAGGAAGTCTAGTCTAGATTTATTCATGATGCATGCATTAGAGTAGATCAGAGATGAGGGGCTGCGACAGGTCTGGACTGTTGTGAGAGATGAACGAGAGTTCTAGAAGGCTTTGCAACAACATTCAGTTAACTCTTCATGGGTAGAGTTGGGTGCTAGTCTCTCCTTTGACCTTCTAAGTGCACCAGAGTATGTTACTGCCATGAAATTGCACTGTAATATTTTCTAGTTGTGATTCATTCACAGCTTAATATGCTTCTAGTTCTGGCTTGACTTTTCCCCCAGGAAGAGCCTAAAATCTCTTCATTATAATATAGACAGTGTACTGCACTTTGAATACAAATTTATCCATGTTCAGAGTAATTTTTCTTGTGATTGTCTCTACCCTGGAGAAGTGCCTTTAATGAATTACATACAAATTGTGTAATTTAAGAAGTTAATTTGGTTTTCTGGTTACACAGGACTAAAAACAGCCCTTGTAGAAAGAGATGATTTCTCATCAGGGACCAGCAGCAGAAGCACTAAATTGATCCATGGTGGTGTGAGATATCTGCAGAAGGCCATCATGAAGTTGGATATTGAGCAGGTAATTGTGTATGCTGGTTGTTAAACAAAAATTGCAACTGTGCTTTTTTCTACCCAATTAAATCAGGTTTTTTTTTCTTTAATGGCTTAAAAGCATTTCTTCCTGTTGGAAATACCTATTTAGTGTATTCTGCTGGAATATCTTTCAGGAGAGGTGTGTCAGTTCTTTCCTGTAGTATTATGTTTATGGGTAATCAGGGGCTTTTTCTTCACAAGCATGTTGAAGTAGCAGATTTACAAAATCACTTTTGAATGTGTTGCCTTTTAACAATTGTGTTTGGGTTTTTGCCAATGGCTACCAAATTGCTACTTTGCAAGCACTTTCAGGGGAGCTATGTTGTAATGCAGGGGGAGTGCGAAATTGATCCTCTTAACTACAACTGCAGTCATAGGCTCATATTGTCACTGACATATTCTGAAGGAAAAGATGATCTGAGTCATGCTTTTCTTATGTCACACTTTATTGTGTCCAGCCTGCCACCATTTGAAAACTGCCAAGGCAGTGTGGAAGATGACATTTCCCAGAGGGGTAAAAAAAATCAGCTGAACTTCCTATCTCTTTTTGTACATGAAAAACACAGTGGCACTGGCTTGACATTGTCAAGTTTTGAATCTGTCTCTTTTTTTTTCTTGACAAGTCAGTTTTGAATCTGTCCCCTTATATTTCTCTTCAGCATCATGATGGAGGCAAAGAAAACAGCATAGGATTTAGAATCAGCTAACTTGTGATGTGTTCAGGCTTATTTACTCAAAATCTATGAGTCTGTTATCTTATTTGTAAAATTAGTGTTATAATAGCAATGCTGGCTTTTTAGAGAGGCGTAATGAGGACTACAGCAGTTAAGACAAAAGCCTTTTTATAATCTGTAAAATACTGTGCAACTGTTAAGAAGCATCATTGCTTGGTTTCATGAAGGCAAGATGGAAACTTTTAGCATGAATTTGAACAATCTGTTATCTCCTACACAGAAAAAATATTATGGGGAACTGAGAAAGGGAGACAATCCAGAGGATGCAAGATAAATGGCTACAATAATCTTGTAACTCAAGTCAGGAAAATATCTTACACCTGGGAACTCTGACAGCATGTTTTTCTCCTATGCAAATACAGTTAAGGTTTCTAAAAAATCTTTGAGGTTGACAGCATGATGTATTATTAGAAATTTGATTAGGAGGGAGCTATCCTCACTCAGAGATAGAAGGTTTCTGTGTATCAATCAGTTGGCAGGGTGTCTATTTGCCATTTGAAAATATTATGATCTGTTACTGCCAAACTAATTTTCTCTGTTTTGCCTTTCAGTATAGGATGGTAAAAGAAGCCCTTCATGAGCGTGCCAACCTGCTAGAAATTGCTCCCCATTTATCAGCTCCATTGCCTATAATGCTTCCAGTTTACAAGTAAGCCTTTTGATATCACCTGTATGCATTTGCTTCTCTGCGGTCAATAGAACAACAGTTTTAATGGAAATAATCCCTCAATGCATATTTCATAATGTGGTTTTAATTGGTCCTAATCTTTAATCCTTTTGAAGTATTTTCCTTTGTTGTATTTAAAAGTATGGCTTTTCTTAAATTACTCTCTACTGGCCTATCTCTAGATTTTAAAGGCAAAGGAGGTCGTATTCTGTATTTGTAATTAGTAGTTTCTTACTCCAGTTTCTGAGAGTATATAGATGAGCAACTGCATTTGCATTAAGGAACATAAGAGGATCATGTGCAGACTGTAAATGGTTGAGCTAAAGTATCCTGTTATAAAATGTAAACATACCACATACCACTTGAAACCCAAGGCATTTTGAGTCATGTTACGTGTCTGAGTTAACCAAGGCTGAAATTTGGTTAGGAAGTGTCAGATTATAAATTATAAAACTTAATTTTCCTAATGTTTTTAGAGCTATCCATGAAGTTGCCTTACATTGGAATTCAGGTAGTATGAACAAGTAGATTATGTAACTCTTTTAGCCACATTAGTGTTGTAGGGGGCTGGAAACAGATTTTTTATAATTTTGTTCATCCTTCATCATAGATCGCTTAGGACTTCCTGAACCAGTGATTCTTAATCCTGGGTGTACATTGTCATCATCCAGGCCCCCACCCTAGTCTAGTTAAATCAGTTTCTGGATGTATGAGGCTTAGGCATCAGTATTTTTAATGTTCCCCAGAGAATTCTAATATTCAGCCAGTTTGAGAACAGCTGCCTCAGAGAAGATTCATTTAAAATCTCATTGATTTATTTTACTTATAGACTTCAGCTAGGTTGGTGTCAAAAACAGTTGCATAAGTCTGTTTCTTTTGCAGTCCACTTCTAGGTATGCTTTGTTTTTCTTAAATGAAAGTGTCTTGTAGTGTAAGGTAATATTCTATAATGCTATACTCTGTTTCTGAAGAACTTTCCCCCCTATTTATGCTGTAGGTGGTGGCAGTTACCTTACTACTGGGTAGGAATCAAGCTGTATGATTTGGTTGCAGGAAGCAATTGCCTAAAAAGCAGTTATGTCCTCAGCAAATCAAGAGCCCTTGAACATTTCCCAATGCTCCAGAAGGACAAACTGGTAGGAGCAATTGTCTACTATGACGGTATGTGATGTTTTTTTTTTTTTTCCTCACAAGATACTTTTCTCTCACTCATGACCCGTATAGTGTATTCTTAAGGAGATAGTTTTGCATCTTTAAATACTAATCTTACACAACACACAAACACACGTGCACGCACATATTCACCATTTTCTCTAACGGTGGCTGAAAAACTAACCATACCATTTTACCTTTAATACTGTTTATTTTACATATTTGTTTTCTTCTTTGATTTCTACTTTGTGTCTCATGGTTGGTTTGGTCCATTTCTCATTATTATGAATTTGGTCCCCACCCTCATGCCATGTAATTTGTTATGTGTTTGCTAGTGAATATTTGCCTTATGAATATATTATAATGTTGAAAGCAGCTGAGGATATGTTAGGTTTTCTAGATGAAACCTCCATTTTCAAGGGGTTATAAACCTAGGGGGAAAAATGCCCTGTGGGCTGAAATTGACATGTTTGTATTTTGCACAGGACACAATTCTTGAATGTATAATTTATATGACGAAGGTAGATGAACATTGCATCTGTTAAACTGCTCTGAGTTTTTATTGCTTATTTTATTGTTGTTAGATGTTTTCTAATAGTGACATTACATAGTGGCCATTTGCCATGTGTTCAATGTTCATTCTTTTTTTTTTTTTTTGCATGTATGCAATATAGTTTTGTACACTTTTATTTGAAGGAACACTTAATGTATCTCCAGATGGTCCACAAAACAACATAAAACAAAACAGGCAAAGCCATTTGTAAAATTTTACTAGTAGTTTTAAAGAGTGTGTGAGATTGGAATATAGTCCAAGGGTGTCCATTTATAAGGAAATAGCTGAACACAGATAATTATACATGTTCAAAAAGTCCTAAAAATTTTGTGATGCAGAGGACAGCTTAGATTTTATACCTCAGTGAGCCCCCCACCCCCGTTGTATTATCTTTTCTATCTAGTATTAGATATCTAAACTCTTAGCAAGAAGAATTTGTTGTTGTTTTATTTTTTTCAGGATACTTTGATATTTATACTGAATACTATGGGATGTCCCAAAGGCTATCCCTGTGTTTTTTTCTTCTTTCCAGTGTTACATTTCTGAACCAATTCAGCTGTCAGGCTTTCATATATAAATGCAAAAAGTATATGTACAGAGAGGGAAAAGGGGACCAAACTCAAGAAAATGTCCTAGGATCAACAATATTAGAAAAATGTTAAGGGTCTTAGGTAAACATTAAAAGCTAGAAAATTCACAGTTTACAGTGCTTCCGAGCATCTGAACACCACAGGGGGGCCACTTAACTATTTTTTTGGTGCCCTTGATTGAGTCTACATGTTAAAGGACAACCTTAACTGTGAATTTGCTTTCTCTGCATTGGACCCTTAATGTTAATCCATTGTAGTTTATTGGGTGATTATAGTAAAGAGGTTTTTGGTCCAGGAGGAGTATGAAGGCATTCTGTAAATAGCGTCCTGCCCATCCTGACATGGAAATGTTTGTGGCCTTTCCCTCTTATTACTAATCCCTCCTGCACAAACCCTCTCACATACTTACTCATTTTCTATACTTTGTGATCTATTAGGCACTAACCAATTTTATTTGTAAGCTTGTCAATATCTGAATCTTTTAAAAATAAGTATTAGTGGGCTGGGTATGTTGGTTCACACCTGTAATCCTAGCACTTTAAGAGGCCAAGGCAGCCAGATCACTTGACCCCAGTTCAAGACCAACATGGCGAATCCTCATCTCTACTAAAAATACAAGAAATTAGCCAGGTGCGGTGGCATGCACTTGTAGTCCCAGCTACTTGGGGGGCTGAGGTGGCTGCAGTGAGCTGAGATCCCGCCATTACACTCCAGCCTGGGCAACAGCATGAGACCCTATTTCAAAAAAAAAAAAAGAAGAAGAAGAAAAGAAATATTAGCAAATGTCATATCTGAATTTGTGACATCCTGTTTTACATTGGTTTGGTATTGTTGTGAATTATAGATTCTTATTTGGAATTGTTGTGAATTATAGATTCTTATTGATTCTACATGGAGAAGCCAAGGGAAACCTTTGTTACACAAGGCAGAAGAAAGATTATTCTCTTAGAATCATGAGGAAAAAGAATTCTTTAATCTAGAATTGATCTTTATAGCCTGTTATAGGTTGCAAAATTATGAGCTTAGCAAAAATTCCTGAAAAATTTAAAAAGTATTTAAAATATTTTCAAATTGCTCTTTGGAAATTACTTGTAAAATCTTAAGTCTTGAGGCAAAGGAGTAAAAATAAGTATATTCTACTCATTTGATATAAATAATTTGTCTTTTGACCTTGTTCTGAAATGGTACAGGCCCAACTATATCATACTTGAGGTGAGGCAAAACAAGCATGTGCAACAGTGTAGTTTTGTGGTTTTACAACTATATTTACATGTGGGGCAACTCTTGTTTTACATAATATGGTGTGATGATCAAATTGAATATCGACATGGAAACAAGGTGACGAGGAGCATGTAGGTAAAAGAATTAAATGAGTAAATCCATGCTCAACAAAAGGAATGAACGCCTTTTTTCCCTTTGACTGGAAAAATGTTATTACAGTATCATCCTGCTACTAAAGTATTTCAGAGAGGAAAATATTTCAATGTGAACTTTTATCATTGCAAACCCAAGTCTAAACATGGTAGTTTATAAGATAAGCTTTTCTTAACAAGGAAAATACATACTCTTCATAAATCACCATGATGAGAATATAACAATAGTCACTGAAGTGATTTCAAGTTGCATTCAGGCTTCTTGAAATAATGTTGAATTTACTTTAAAAATAACATATTGAGGTGAAATTCAATAAAATTCAATTAAAATTAGCCATTTTAAAGTGAACAGAAATAATTTTTATAACTCCCACCAAGGGAGAATTTTGAATCTGATGAGAAAGTGGCGTAAGTAATCAAATGAACTTTTAATTTTAATTAATTAAGTTTTTTGAGACAGAGTCTTGCCCTGTCACCCAGGCTGGAATGCAGTAGCATGATCATAGCTTCCCACAGCCTCTAATCTCCGGGGCTCAAGCAATCCTCCTGCCTCAGTCTCCCAAGTAGCTGGGATTACACTTAGCATGTGCCACTATACCTGGCTAGTTGTTTTTTACTTTTGCTAGAGACAAGGTCTCCCTGTATTGCCTAGGCTAGTCTTGAACTCCTGAGCTCAAGGGATTCTCCCTCCCTGGACTTCCAAAGTGTTGGAATTATAGGCGTGAGCCACTGTGACCAGATAATCAAATGAACATTTAATGCTGCAAGAAGTTTTGCTAACTAAAAATTCTTATTAGTAATATCTTATACACTTACTTCAGCAACCATGAAAAGTGAAATATAATGATGTGAAAATATAGTGGGACAAACTAATAAATGTTGCCATTAATATGGACCAGGCACTGAGAAGATCTGTAAGGTATCTTCAACGCAGAGATGTTAGGGCTGTAAGAGGTTTCCTCTGAAGTACAAAATGTACAAAGATAAAAATTTTAATTTCTCATAAACACAGTTCATCCTAATTAAATTCTGGATGGCTATTGCATATGATGAAGGCAAAGTTTGTTCTCCCACAGAAGTTCATAGAGGTAATAAAGAAGTTCCATGCACTCTTCCCTCCAACATTTTATATATTTTTTTTAATTTTTATTTTTTGTAGAGACAGGCTGGTCTTGAACTCCTGGCCTCAAGTGATCCTCCCGCCTTGGCCTCCCAAAGTGTTGGGATTACAGGCATGAGCCACTTCATCTGGCCCTTCATACTTTTTGATGTAGTAATTATAGTTACTGTTCTGTGCATGACATAAGTATGATCTGTACCATATTTTATTGTTAACCACTGAAAAACAAATTCACATAAATGGAGGAATAACTGTCATATTTTTAAATGCAGACAGAGAGAATCTCAAATTTCTCAGTGAAATCCATATGAAATGAAAATTGGGATAGTAAATGACATACCAGTTTTTCCTCCAGTTGTATTTCCTTCTTATATTCTGTTAGAGTAATCATATAGTCAACTCACTGGTTTTCTGACTGAGACATGTCCTAGCATTTTCTAACTTGCCTAGAAGAGACCCACAGCTGGCCATTACTGCTGATAAGGGAGTTATCAAGTAGAGAGTATGGTGACCAGGCCAACTTTCTCAAGTCAGAAGAAAGTGTTTAGGGCATGGCATGCCTGGGTGACTTGACAGGCTGTGAGATTATGTGAACCAGCTGTTAGGGGTAGCCAGTTTTCTCAGGAACTTATTTTTTTTTTCCTCTATTTGTTCCCAGAGTGGATCTTTGTGGCTATTCTAGTTAGACTCCAGTCATCCAATCTAGTACACAGAAAATGAGCTATAATTAAAAATCATTAAATATTAAAAACCATTCAATACCTCCATTAAGCCATTATAAAATGAAACTGAAGAACAAAATTACAGCTTTAAATTCTTCCTTTCTGAGAGTCAAGACATTGACAGAGATGTCTGTTGTTTCATACCCGACGATGCTTCTAAGTATTCCTTATGCACATATGAAAATAGCAACTATAAGAAATTACATTGCCTTTTCCTAATGTAAATAAAAGTTGGTTACATCCATATTTCAAAGGGGGAATTAAAGCCCAGGTTTCACTAGAATATTCATTTTTATTCCAACCTAAAATTCACAGCATACAAATAGATGAATTCAGCTCGTGAGAGAGCAAAGCCAATTTAATCTCTGGCTCCCCTGAGGTAAATGTAGTTCACGGTCCTGCCCCCACCCCAACCTCAGCTATAATCCCTGGCTCCTGGAGGTAAAAATGCACTGAAGTGAGGAAAATTCTGCAGCAGGATATAATGATCCAAAATGACAGGGACAATAATGACAATGAATTTCATGTCTCCCAGTCACGAGCTGGAGGTGCTTGACTAGGCTGACTTATACAATTAAATTGTTACAGGTACAGCAGGAGATGCAGTTAGCTGTATGCTTTGGGGAACGATGCCTCTGGCAAAAGGCATATTGTGGAATCCAGGCTCTTTTGTTAGGAGCAAGCTATTACTCCTCTAGGCATGCACCTGCAATTGTACACTTTAATAAAAGAAAGCCCGGGTTAAAGACAAGTATTTTAAGGTGTTGATTTTATCTACTTGGAAAGCTAAAAAAATCAATTACCAGTATCACAAAAGTGATTTTTTTGGTCTTTTTGTTGTTTGTTTTTTCATTGAGTTCCTGGAACATAAGTAAAATCTTAAGATGGTGCCTTTAATCCTCATTTACACTATTTGTAAACAGAGTTGTTGAATGAATTGGGTGTTACCTACTTTAAATCAGACAGATATTAATTTCTTCAAAATAATAGAAATAGATTGAACAGATAACTGAACAATGTGGATTTACAAACAGAATATTAATAGCAAGTCCTTTAAGCAAGTTTGGGCTACTTGCTTCTTAATGCAATTCTTGTGAATTGGAGTGGTAATCTCCATAATCTCCAAAGTGAAAGATGTGAGCCTCATGAGGTGCACACACCCATCCACTAGGGTATAGGAGGAACACATTAGAACTTCTACTTCGATATGTTTTTAAAGTTTAATTCCTTATAAATTTGAAATGGTTCAAATGTCTATAATATATAAAAACAGTAATATGTACATTATGTAATTTATAAATAAATATACACATATTGGAGATACATACTGATATTTACTTTTGGAATAGTCAGTTTAATTTTTTTGGGGGGGGGCCACTAGTAATTTGTCATTATTTTATTTCTTTGATAATTGGCTATTTAAATATTTTCAAGATAGATGTGTTTAGTGAGAGGACAGATTGCTTTGGAAGAGTAAACATAACCAAATCCCTTTCTTCATCTCCCAATGTTTAATTTCTATGAAATTTAATTGAGGTGGCTGAAAACATAAAAACAAAGAACTATTGAATAAGAGGAGGTATTGGCATGATACATTAAAATTGTGTATTTAAAGAAAATTTTCATCTTAACATAATGCATTTATTTTAAAATGTAAAGTCCTATTTGCCAACAATTTCCAGGGCTCCTACCCTTTTTGTATCCTTATTATTGTGCAACCAAGGTTTAAAATTATGTAAATATTGATACACATAAAAGAATACGTGTAACACGTATGTAAGTTGTAAAGTTAGTCATTAAGATTGTGGGATCTGCAACTGTCCTTAAAACCTAGTGAGATAGGAGAGTTGCCTGGACCCTTCGTGGGACTTGCGACAGGGGTGTGGCTCGATTACCTGGCCGGGTGCTCAAACCCCTTGTGGGTGGGGGAGCACCCAGGCAAACAGGTGCCTGGGCCAGGGTGAGTGCCTTTGGGCTCCAGCCCCATGGCAGCATCTAGGGGTGTGTTATGATTAATGCTCTTTTGGCAGTTGCCATCCAAGATGGCTAAGTATTAAGCAGCTCAGTGGAGAGTCAGGGTGACAGCCTTTTACACCTTGCCTTCTTGGTACCCAGGTTCTTGCCCAGCATCTGGGAAGAATCAGGTCATACAGACTTGGAGGATGGTGAATGCAGAGGTTTTATTGAGTGGTGGAGGTGGCCCTCAGTGGGATGGGGAGCTGGAAAGGGGATGGAGTGGGAAGATAACCTCCCTGTCTCCAACCGTCCAGCTGCCTCTTCTTTTCTCTCATTCTCTGCTATGCCACTCCACTCCTCTGCCGGTGGAATTTGGGGTTTTTATAGGTACAGGATGGGGGTGTTGTGGGTCAGGGTGGTTTTTGAAAAAACAACATTCGGGTGGGAAAACAGGGATATGAAGTTCTCATTTAGGGCCATGGGCCCAGGCTTGTGGATGGGGCCATTGCCGGGGAACTACCCTCTGCTACCCAGTATTTCCCTGCCTCCTGTCCAATATCACTAGGATATTACCAAGACATTGAAGCCAACTGTGACTATTCACCATTTCATTTCCTTGTCTTCCCTAGAAATAACTGCTATGCTGAATTGTATTATTAGGGTTCCTGGTCTTTCTAATAATCTTATTATATGTACATGTATTTCTAAAGTAATGTATTGTTCAGTTTTATTTATTTATTTTTAAAATTATTTTTATTGTTATTTATTTATTTATTTATTTATTTATTTATTTATTTATTTTGAGATGGAGTCTCACTCTGTCGCTCAAGCAGGGTCCAGTGGCACGATCTTGGCTTATTGCAACCTCCACCTCCCGGGCTCAAGCCATTATCCCACCTCGGTCTCCTGAGCAGCTGGGATTACAGGCACGTGCCACCATGCCCAGCTAATTTTTTTGTATTTCAGTAGAGATGGGGTTTCACCATGTTGCCCAGGGTGGTTTCGAACACCTGAGCTCTGGCAGTCCGCCTGCCTCAGCCTCTCAAAGTGCTGGGATTGCAGGCGTGAGCCACCATGCCCGGCTGTTCAGTTTTATTTTTAAACTTTGTAAAAGTATTATGTGATGGTTACATAAGGTGATATAAATTTTGTAGAGCAGTTGGACATGCCTAGAAAAGTTGGGGGTACATTGTGATCTAGTAATTTTATTAGTAGGTATATGCCTTAGGGGAACTGTTGCATGTGTCTACCAGGGTATATGTACAAAAAGTTCATAGAAGCACTGGGTATAATTTCAAAAAGGGAAGTAATGCAAATATCCATCAAGAGGAAAATGAATATTTAATATATGGTCTGTTCACATAATGGAGTAAAACACAGCATTGAAAGTGCATGAACTGTAAACTGAACAACACAGATGAATCTTAGAAAAATAATGTTGAAAATGGCATGATAAATTGTTTTGGAATTGTAAGCATTGCAATCATACTAGAAAGCTACTTTCCAAAGTATTGTAGGGTCTTTAAATCAATCAGCAATATGGAAGGAGATGACTTAGGTTTACAAACTTAACTGCACTTTGAGCTCTGCATTACACATCTATAAATTTAGGCTTATGACACCTAATTCACAGGCTGTTTTGATATTTAAATGAACTACTATAATAAATGCAAAATAATTTATAAGTACAAAACATTACTCCCGTATTATTTTTGGGGGGTCAATTTCATGGATACTCTATAGTCCACCAAATTTCTACTTTTTGTGAAAATATTCCAAAGTGAAGCATCAGTTCCACAAGCATCCCCTTGTATGTTTAAAATTTGAAGATTCTTCTAGAAAAACTTGCCAAACATTCTTAGGATAAAAGGAAAAAATATTGCACATATGAACATGCCTCAGGTAAGTATAATCTTTGAAGTTTAAGAATTAAAAACCATAACATTTTAATAGAACTTCCTCTAAACATTCCTTCCTCTTAGACATTGATTTAAAACATATTTGCTTTTAATATTTCTCCTTGTTCATATGCAATTTTACACTTCTAAACTAAATGAATAGTTTTAATCTTGATTTCCTACTGTCAGCTTTCCTGTTGTATTTCTCCTCTTGTTTTCTATGAGTTACATAAATGAAACTGACATCATTGCTCATACAGCAGGCATATTTTTTTTTGCCCCCAAATGCTGCCTTTTTGCTATTCAGTGTATCTGGATACCAGCTAATGCTAAATGAAGTTTGACATGTACCCCTAAGAAACAAAACTTATAAATTGTGGCTTCAAAGGAAACCTTGAATAAATAGGACACACTGTGTCCACCCAGGCTAACATCCAGCATATGTTTTAGCTTCCTGATGATGAGATAGAGCAAAATAGCCCCCAGGAAACTTTGCAATTGTTTATTGCTCACTTGCCCAGCATGTATTAAATACCAGGCTTTCATTCTCTTATAATTTGCTTTTTTTAAAATTAAAATCCACCAAAGTAGATTTGATCAGGTATAGCAAGCCGAGATAGTAGTCATCCATATTTGTACTCTGTATATAAAAGCTTAAAGACAGTGCTAAAAATTCTCCAGTAGTAGGATGTATGTAAGTTGTTTGAACAGATAGTTCTAGTGGGTTCATAGTAAGCTATTTACCTCTCCCATTCTGTGGTTCAGTTGACCCATTTAAAAAAGATTCAGGATCAAAGGCAGAAGCTATTGTATCAAAAATCTTTGTCCACTCTTCTCTTGATTTACTCATTCATCCAAAAAATATTTATGGAACCTCTACTATTTGCCAGGCATTGTACATATATGCCATATATTTTGCCAAATACATGGTCCCTACCACCACCAATGTTTTACATTTGTGTAGCAGAGTGTGGTTTTTTAAGCTTTTTTTTTTTTTTTGCAGAAATTATCTTTGAACTAACTTTGTATGTATGCTGGGATAGGATATTATGATCTCTATTTTACAGGAAGGAAGAGGAATCATAGCTAAAAATCTACATTGATAGTTTAGATACATGGGGATGTGAAGATAATTTTATTTTTTAGCTAAAAAGAGGACTTTACAAAATGAAGATTATAGCATCATGGCTTCTTTCAGCTATGATTGATTTTTTTTTTTCTTTTTAAAGACTTTACTTTTTTAGAGAAATTTTAGGTTCACAACAAAATTGAGAGAAAGGTACAGAGACTTCCTCTTTCCCCCCTGCTCCCATACATGTTTAGACTCTCCCACTATCAACATCCCTCACTGCAGTGAAGCATTCGTTTCAGTCAATGAACCTACATGGACACATCATTATCACCCAGAGTCCATAGTCTACATGAAGTTTCACTCTTGGTGTACATTCTGTCGGCTCTGATAAATATATAATGATATGTATCCACCACTGCCATATCATACTGAATAGTTTCGCTGGCCTAAAAATCCTCTGTGCTCTGCCTAGTCATCCTTCCCCCTCCCCTAACCCCTGGCAACCAATGATCTTTTCACTGTCTCCAGAGTTGTGCCTTTCCCAGAATGACATGTAGTTGGAATCCTACAGTATGTCAGCTACCATTGATTTTTAAGTTCGTTATACACTTTTAAAAAGTAGCCAAATAGTTCAACAAAGGCTATCCAATTTTATTATGGAAAACTCAAATATATGCAAAATTAATGAGAATAATAAAATTAACTTTCAATTTTAGCACTTATAAACTCATGACCAAACACTTATAAACTCATGGCCAGTCTATACTCTCATTTCCCCTTTCCCCCACTCCCCACTATAACAAATGTTTTATCCATGGATATTTAGTCTGTATCTTTAAAGTTAAGAACTCTCTTTCAAACACAGCCACACCTAAATTGTTCAACAATAATTTCTTTTCTAGATAGATAGATAGATAGATAGATAGATAGATAGATAGATAGATAGATATTTTATGGAGATGGGGTCTTGCTCTGTTGCCCAGGCTGGTCTTGAACTCCTGGGCTCAAGTGATCCTCCCACCTTGGCCTCCCGAAGTGCTGGGATTCCAGGCATAAGCCACTATACCCAGCCAACAATAATTTCTTAATATCAAATATCTGGTTATGTTCACATGTCCCTTATAATCTCATAACTTTATTAGGCTCCTGATTTTAAAAACCAACTCATAAAAAATAGACAAAATCTTACATATAAGTTGATTCATTCTTTTTATTGTTGTTATTATATTTTAGATTCAGGGGCACATGTACAGGTTTGTTACATGGATATATTATTGCTTAATGGTGACGTTGGGGCTTCTAGTGAACCCATCACCCAAATAGTGAACATTATACTCAATAGGTAGCTTTTTAACTCTCACCCTCTTCCCACCCACCCCCACCTTTTGGAGCCCCCAGTGTGGATTCATTCTTTTTTAACTGATAGGTTTCCAGTCCCTTTTTTTGTTTCCTGATGGTTTTATGTAACAGTTTCCCTTTGATGTAAATTGGTAGACTTGTCTCATTAATCTGTTGCTGCATAAGAAGCAACACCTAAGCTCAGTGGCTTAAAACAATGATTGGTTATTTCTCATAGTTCTGAGGATGGATGGGCTCAGCTGGGTGGTTGTCACTTGGGGTCCTTCTATATAGTTATAGTGAGATGGCAGCTGGGGCTGAAGTCTTCTAAAGGCTTCTTTACTTTCCTGTTTGGTGCCTGGACTTGGAAGGCTGGGGTGGCCACAACTTGGTCTGGCACCTCTTTCACCATGGCTTCTCTGTATGGCTAGCTTGGACTTTTTCACAGGGTACAGACTTCTTATGTGGTGGCTGGCTTACCCCATGAGCCCACCAGGAGACCAAAGCAGAAACAGAGGGCTTCTTTTGACCTAGTCTTAGAAGTCACACAGTGTCACTTTCACCACATTCTGTTAATTAAAGTAAATCACAAAAGCAGCCAAACTTAAAAGAGAGGGGATTACAAAAGTAAGAAAAGCAGAAGGCGTAGTTTACTGAGGAGAGGTGGGACATATTTGGTGACTAGCAACAAAAAGGCTAGATCAAATTGTTTTGTCAAAAATACTTTATGGGTGATGTAAATTTCCATCACAAGTCTGTTTACCTCTTTTTAATTTTTTTAAATTAGTAATTATAATTATTGCCTAGATAATTACAGCATTTCATTAGAGGTTAAGGGGTTATAAAATGTTACTTTTATAATTCTATTTTTCCTTCTTTATGGGTTAGTTGGATTACTTATAATTTCCCTGTATCAACTATCTGCCTACCTTAAGGTATATTGTATATAGGAAAGTCTGGATAAATGCTTGATTCTTTTCATTTATTTGTACTCAAAAATAATGAGTTAGCTTTTTTAGTATCCTCCAAATGTAATGAGATCTTTTTCTGAGGGGAAGCTTGTCAACATAAACTCATGAATTTGAAGTATTTGATAGATACATGTCAATCCATCAGAATTATTGATGTTCATATTGCCCATCTCTGGCCCTGGGGCACTTCCTGCAGTTGGCCCCTGAGCCCTTTTGATACCCTGTCAGTGGTCTATGATGATTTCTGTGCTGTTTGCTATGACAAGATACTCCGGTTTCATCTTGAAACTTTCCTTCCCTAGTTTTGGAAGCAGCCATTTCTTCAGTAACACTTGACTCCCTCATGTGGAAAATGGTAACTAGGGACCATAATCTATTTGCTATGAAGGTTCATTGCTACTGGTTGGTCATTATTTCTAGGCCTTTCAATAGAAAAAATTAGGAAAAAAATTATGTGAAGAAGAAAAACATGTTGAGTTTTTAGATACAGTTCCACTTCAAATTTAGTATTACATGGTTTTTATTTAACGTTATCAATCAGACTTCCAAAACAGTTTAATTTTATTTTTCAGTTTCGTTGTTGAATGGGGACATACGGACAAATTACTGTCTTTTAAAGTGACTTAACATATTTATTTCCTATAAGTGTGGTTATGTCACCACTTAATACAACAGATAATTTCATTTTGCTTTAGATGATTAGGAATTTATTTTTTTAAACTGTGCTTCTGTTTTATAAATTATGTAAATAAAGTGTTTTAAAGTAAAAAATGTAAACAAAGACAATTCAAACAAGGCTAGCTTCTTTCCTTGTTCTGCCCTATTCCCTCCTTCTTTAAAATTAACTTAAAAAATTTTTTTAGGATTTTGGTATGTTCTTTTAACGTATGTATGCATATGTGTTTATTATATGTACACTTGTTTTTGCTCTGCCTACCATTTTGTAGGTGGTAGTAGTGCCATGCTTTTTTCACCTAATAGAGTAGATACTGCTTTCCATAAGTATAAGAGGCCACAAAATTTTAAAAGGTGAATTTAAAAGCAGGGACCAACTTTTATGGAATTACATTTCATAGCCATGTTAACTGCTTAGATCAAAATATACCTGCTCATACAGCCTTAGCCATCAATAAACCACACTTTCAAATTATTTTTCTTTTTATAAGTGAAAATAAAATCTTATTTCCTTTCTTTGGATACCACAAAACAATGACACATCCACTAGTCTGATCTGTGTAGAGAGCTTAAAATTAATCAGAGAGTCTCAAATGCTGTTATTATCATTATGTAAAATATGCTGTGATTTGTTCAAATTTGCTAAAATCTGGTTCATAACATTTGCTTGCATTGAATGCTAATATGCTTAGTCAGACTAAGTGCTTCTGTCAATTATAGTCTTTTAAATAGATGAGTCTGTCTTATACTAATATGTGAAATTATACTTCTTGGTAAAATTTGTGTTGATATGCTTTATATTAATGGTGCATTTTTTAAAATTTAGAGATAAAGCTAATTAATTGTAGTTTAAGATATAAAAATTTGAGGGACTTTCTGCTTTTGTTTCAAAGACATTCGGAGAACACATGCCCAAGAAATGTAAGCCATGCTTAAAAATACTGCATTTTGAAGCTTGCAGTAACTATCTAATGAATTCGTCTCAGAGTGATTCTCCTTCAGAAAAACAAAATTTTATAGGTCACATTTGGAAACAAGGAGAGGAGGAAATAACTGACATTGCAATATGGGGAAATAAATGGGAAATAAAAGGCCATAATGATTGGTCTTCAGGAAGCTGTAAGGATTGTTCTTCAGGAACTAATTTTTCTTGCTACTTTATTGTGTGGACAATATAATGCCTCACGTATCTGTTGGCATAGTCCCTAGTTTCTCTCTGCTGTACCCATTCTTCACATATTTTCTAGCATTCTTTCAAGAGGATCAGGAGTCTTTGCCCAGATACCTGTTTGGGAAAAGGAAGAAAGAGAGTAAAAAATTAATAATTAAATCAATTTTGGAGTTATTCTGCAGATGACACACAGCAGCTTTCTTAGTGTAATGGAAAGCCAGCCTGGTATTAAGCATCTAACCTCACAAAGAATGGCAGTAATAAAAATATCTCTTCAATTAAAAAGCCCCACACTTTAGTTTCAACTACCAAGCCTTGGAAATGTAATAAAAAAAAAACTGTGAAAAAAAGTCTTCGGTACATAGTTTTTATAAATATAACTAACACCTTGGTGTAGATTATATTCTCTGGAGCCAAATAGATTACTATTTTAGAATGTGAAGTTTCAAACTAGTTTCATTATTACTATTAATACTTACTCATATCACACTTACATTAGTAAAACCCTCTGTAGATCATTATATCCACTCAAGCATGAACCACACAACACCTATTTTTTTTAACTCATCTTTGCACATTAAAAAACATACAGGCACACGCAACTAACCTCCCACACAAGTTAAATAACTATTGCTCCTTTTCTGTTCAAAACCAAATATATACTCTTGCATTCACTGGAAAGTGTTACTAGTATATGATTTGCTATCTATTCAGAAGAATAGATATTTGAGAATAAAATAAAAAAGTATATAATAATGAAAGCAACTACCAAATTAAAAGCAATATCAAATAATTTGTACTTGATATTTTTATGTCAAAGATGATTAACATGTAACTGATTTACCTGGGATAGACCAGGTAAATCAGTACACCAGAAACTTCATATTTCCCAGGAATTTTAAATTTTCTTAGTTTTTAACCCGAGAAATCCTACAAAGAATGGATTTGGTGATTTGTGTTTTATTTTCCTTAAGAAGGTTGAAGTCTGAAAAAGGTAACTGAGAAGCAGCTCACAGGCAGTTCTCTCTTTTAATAATTCCCCGTGTGCAAAGCATTGTACTTCAATAGTTACCTCAGAACCATTTTAGTGAAAAAGAAGGTAAAAATACATTATCATTAAAAAACTAATCTGAATATAGTCAGGATTTACAAATTGGATAAACTGACTACTCTCATTCTAATAAAAGAATAAAATAAACCCAATTTATTATTTTCAATAGTTGCCTCTTCCAACAGCATTTAAATTAATAGATAATAGTCCACGCTAATTGTAAGAAACATGTCTATTGTATAAAACCGGATTGAAACATGTCTATTATATAAAGCCAGATTGATATGTGTATTTTTGCCTTTTTCCTCTGTCTTCTACTTGTATATTTCTTTTTCTCATCACAGATTTTGGTAAAATTGGTATTTTCATTATCCTTAAGTATGAGCAAAGAGAGATAAACATATTTCTCCACTCAATTATGTCAATTTTTTTCTTTTTTTCTTTTATTTATTTATTTATTTATTTTTATTATTATTATACTTTAAGTTTTAGGGTACATGTGCACAATGTGCAGGTTAGTTACATATGTATACATGTGCCATGCTAGTGCGCTGCACCCACTAACTTGTCATCTAGCATTAGGTATATCTCCCAATGCTATCCCTCCCCCCTCCCCCCACCCCACAACAGGCCCCAGAGTGTGATGTTCCCCTTCCTGTGTCCATGTGTTCTCATTGTTCAATTCCCACCTATGAGTGAGAATATGTGGTGTTCGGTTTTTTGTTCTTGCGATAGTTTACTGAGAATGATGATTTCCAATTTCATCCATGTCCCTACAAAGGACGTGATCTCATCATTTTTTATGGCTGCATAGTACTCCATGGTGTATATGTGCCACATTTTCTTAATCCAGTCTATCATTGTTGGACATTTGGGTTGGTTCCAAGTCTTTGCTATCGTGAATAATGCCGCAGTAAACATAGTGTGCATGTGTCTTTATAGCAGCATGATTTATAGTCCTTTGGGTATATACCCAGTAATGGGATGGCTGGGACAAATGGTATTTCTAGTTCTAGATCCCTGAGGAATCGCCACACTGACTTCCACAATGGTTGAACTAGTTTACAGTCCCACCAACAGTGTAAAAGTGTTCCTATTTCTCCACATGCTCTCCAGCACCTGTTGTTTCCTGACTTTTTAATGATTGCCATTCTAACTGGTGTGAGATGGTATCTCATTGTGGTTTTGATTTGCATTTCTCTGATGGCCAGTGATGGTGAGCATTTTTTCATATGTTTTTTGGCTGCATAAATGTCTTCTTTTGAGAAGTGTCTGTTCATTTCCTTCGCCCACTTTTTGATGGGGTTGTTTGTTTTTTTCTTGTAAATTTGTTTGAGTTCATTGTAGATTCTGGATATTAGCCCTTTGTCAGATGAGTAGGTTGCGAAAATTTTCTCCCATTTTGTAGGTTGCCTGTTCACTCTGATGGTAGTTTCTTTTGCTGTGCAGAAGCTCTTTAGTTTAATTAGATCCCATTTGTCAATTTTGTCTTTTGTTGCCATTGCTTTTGGTGTTTTAGACATGAAGTCCTTGCCCATGCCTATGTCCTGAATGGTAATGCCTAGGTTTTCTTCTAGGGTTTTTATGGTTTTAATTCTAACGTTTAAGTCTTTAATCCATCTTGAATTGATTTTTGTATAAGCTGTAAGGAAGGGATCCAGTTTCAGCTTTCTACATATGGCTAGCCAGTTTTCCCAGCACCATTTATTAAATAGGGAATCCTTTCCCCATTGCTTGTTTTTCTCAGGTTTGTCAAAGATCAGATAGTTGTAGATATGTGGCGTTATTTCTGAGGGCTCTGTTCTGTTCCATTGATCTATATCTCTGTTTTCGTACCAGTACCATGCTGTTTTGGTTACTGTAGCCTTGTAGTATAGTTTGAAGTCAGGTAGCGTGATGCCTCCAGCTTTGTTCTTTTGGCTTAGGATTGCCTTGGCGATGTGGGCTCTTTTTTGGTTCCATATGAACTTTAAAGTACTATTTTCCAATTCTGTGAAGAAAGTGATTGGTAGCTTGATGGGGATGGCATTGAATCTGTAAATTACCTTGGGCAGTATGGCCATTTTCACTATATTGATTCTTCCTACCCATGAGCATGGAATGTTCTTCCATTTGTTTGTATCCTCTTTTATTTCCTTGAGCAGTGGTTTGTAGTTCTCCTTGAAGAGGTCCTTCACATCCCTTGTAAGTTGGATTCCTAGGTATTTTATTCTCTTTGAAGCAATTGTGAATGGGAGTTCACTCATGATTTGGCTCTCTGTTTGTCTGTTGTTGGTGTATAAGAATGCTTGTGATTTTTGTACATTGATTTTGTATCCTGAGACTTTGCTTATCAGCTTAAGGAGATTTTGGGCTGAGACAATGGGGTTTTCTGGATATACGATCATGTCATCTGCAAACAGGGACAATTTGACTTCCTCTTTTCCTAACTGAATACCCTTTATTTCTTTCTCCTGTCTAATTGCCCTGGCCAGAACTTCCAACACTATGTTGAATAGGAGTGGTGAGAGAGGGCATCCCTGTCTTGTGCCAGTTTTCAAAGGGAATGCTTCCAGTTTTTGCCCATTCAGTATGATATTGGCTGTGGGTTTGTCATGGATAGCTCTTATTATTTTGAAATACGTTCCATCAATACCTAATTTATTGAGAGTTTTTAGCATGAAGCGTTGTTGAATTTTGTCAAAGGCCTTTTCTGCATCTATTGAGATAATCATGTGGTTTTTGTCTTTAGTTCTGTTTATATGCTGGATTACATTTATTGATTTGTGTATATTGAACCAGCCTTGCATCCCAGGGATGAAGCCCACTTGATCATGGTGGATAAGCTTTTCGATGTGCTGCTGGATTCGGTTTTTTAAAGTAGCAAACAATGCTGTTTGTTTATTTTTTATGTTTTTAGAGACAGTGCCTCACTTTGTTTCCTGGGCTGGACTTGAACTCCTGGGCTCAAGTGATTCTCCCACCTCAGTCTCCCAAGTAGCTGGGAGTGTGGGCATGCACCACGGTGCTTTGTTTAAGACTCTATTTTCAAAAAACCAAGCATAAACATTATTAACACAAACATAATGAAATACATATACAATTTAGAGTAATATTTAAAGTGATGTAAATATCTAGATGCGATTAAACACTTCACTCACTGAAGTTTAATTATTTTAATTTGCTACATTTGCTGTTTAATGTTACTTTGGTCTTCTCTTCTCCCCATCCCATCCCAAATATGCATAGTTTTAATTCACCCCTGCCCCCTTTAAATATATATGTATTTAAAATCCACAGATTGGTGTTAGTGTTGGGAAGGGGGATTTCTGCTGAAACTCCACATGTGCTCCTTACTGCTGGTTGATGCTTTTGATGTTCTCATCCCCTGAGGTCAGGAGAACACAGACAGGAGAGTAAGTGGCAACTGTAGCAACCCCAGGCTTTGTGACACTTCTCTCCAGAAGATGCAAGGGTATTTTCTGCACATCAGCACTGGCCCTGACAGTAGAGAGTTTCTTTTCATTTACTTTAAAATGGTTCTGACAAAAACCGGGGTCTCTCATTTGCAAAACCAGCTGTCTGTAGCAAAGCCGGACCTTATCTTAAGAGCCAGGCTGAGGCCACAGATGTCGTGTGGCACCTGCATGTGGAGGCCACGAGTGGCCCATTAACCAGATCTGGGCTGAGGCCACTGAGTCTGCACCATGGAGCTCACTCCTGGAGGCCAGCTGCAATATTCCCACCTGGCCAGGAAGGACACTGCCCTTCTCAGTCCCAGAATGGTAATCTGAGGGCCCTCCACAACACAATGGGGCCTTCAGCCTAGGCATGGACCACTGTGGTGCTTTCCCTCTCTCCATAGGACAAATGGAGGGCCACAGGTTCCAGCAATGCCTGGAGCCCACTTGGTCCTTTAATATCCCATCTTGTCACTTCTCAGGCCCCTGCCTACTCCACCAAAAGGGCTGGGGAGGCAGTCCAAAGATAGGGGTTATAGATTTATGTTAATAAATATATAATATATATTAATATGTAATTTTATTTTTATTTTTACTTTTTTAAGTGACAAAGTCTCGTTCAGTTGTTAGGCTGGAGTACAGTGGAGTGATCACAACTCACTGCAGTCTTGACCTCTGGAGTTTAAGCAAATCTCCTCAGCCTCCGACTAGCTAAGACTATCGTTGTGCACCAACACATCTGGCTAGTTTTTATTTTTAAAAAACTCTTTGCAGAGACAAGGCCTTGCTTTGTTGCCCAGGCTGGTGATGAACACCTGGCTTCAAGTTGTCCTCTCACCTTGGCCTCCCAAAGTGCTGGGATTACAGATGTGAGCCACTGCATCCAGCCCCCAGATTTTAATTTAGTTTTATTTTCTACCTTTTTGTGATTATGTGTCTCAGTTTAACAAGCCTTTAGTTACATCTAGGTATAATCAAGGGCCTTCTGTGTGCCCAGTGGTTATCTATGATTGGACTTTTTCTCTTCTCCCCATGTGCTCCCCCACCATTAAATTTTAAGGAGGTACTTTTTCCTTGTTACCTGCACTTTTTGAACAATAGGTTTCAGACAACTTACCCTTGTAAATTCCCTTTGAATTATGGCATTTTAACCATTTTTCACAAATATTGAACTTGAAATTTTAGAGCCATCAGGAGGGGCTGATCCTAGCAGCTCTTTTATTGAAATTATTCTATTGGTGGCAATAGGAGTTACTGGAGGGCACTGCCACCCAGAAACTGGATGAAACCAAGTCAGAAATTCTGAGTATAACTGACAAATGCTTTATAGGAATTTAGAAGGACATTGGGTAGTAGAGGGCTTGGGAAAAAGTAAATTCCCTAATTTCCTCCTCTGTGACCCACATTTGATATAGAAATCATGATTTGTCTAGTATTGGACAGAATCACAAATAAGGATTAGTTGCCATAAAAGTTTTTCTAATTTATATTGTGAAAGAGCTGTAGTGCTGCATCAGAAAGGAGTCTCTGTTTGCTAGAAGAGCTATGTCAGCAGGTGAGGCCTAAAGCCTAAAGGCCTGAGGGGTGGTCAGGGATGGGAGAGAATGAAGTTACTCCAGACTTTCAAATTGTTCCTCACCCTTCACAAGACGGGAAGTTTCCTAAGGCTGAAGGAAGCAGCAGTCACTGAGTGCAGAATGTTTCTCTTGGTGCAGTGGGTTGTGACCACTCTCATTGTTGTTTTCTTCCTGTCCAGAGTGAAACAGGTATCCTTCAGAAATTTCATAGCATGTAGCCCTGAAGAGCACTTAGCTAGATTGTGGTGGTTTCTATATGTGTAATTGGTTAATCTGTTGAAGAGAAATAATGAAAAGCTGAGCAGTCTTTTTCTCCTCCATCAACTCATGAGCTATGAGCTATGAGTTCTCGAGAAATGTTGGAGCATTTGACAGCAGTATTTGAATTCTCCCTTGTGTTTCTGTTGCTGAAGCTGCAGCTTCCAAAATTGCAGGGCTTCTTGACCAGCCTGCGTCTCACCATTCAGCCTTTTAGTCCATTGAATAATCTGATTCTGTCAGCAAGGCCTCAGGTTTAGATCTTATTAGCTCTAGATAGTTTTTTAAAAATCTGCTCTCCAGAAATTTGCAGGAAGTCCCAAGATAAGAGAAAACTTCCTGTCAACAGTGCTGAATTTCATGGTGTGTGATTATTGGGAAGAAGTTGACTGAATGTTGATATGTGATACTTCTGAATTGAGGTGTGCCCAATGTAGGTCTAGGCATACATTATACTGTTGCTGCATGTATGTAAAATTTTAAAATTGGAATGGGAGAGTTCTCTGACCCCCCTCGCAGGATGTGCAATGGGTGTGGCTCATCTGTTCGGCCACCATGCTCAAACCCCTTATGGGAGGGGGAGCACACAGAAGGGCAGCTGCAGGAGCCAGGGTGAGCGCTTTTGGGCTCCAGCCCACGGTAGCGTCTAGGGGTGGGTGTCTGTGACTCCTGAAGCCCCAGTGGGCATGTCACAATGCTCCTTTAGCTCTGCCATCTGCAGAAAGCTAAAGCGTTAACCAGCTCAGTGCCCTCTTGGTACCCAGGTTCTTGTCTGGTATCCAGGAAGTATCAGGTCACACAGACAAATTGAAGGATGGTAAATGCGGGGTGTCTTATTTCCAGGTGGAGGTGGCTCTCAGCAGATGGATGGGGAGCTAGAAAGGGGATGGAGTGGGAATATGAACTTCGCCTGGAGTTTGGCCGTCCTGTGGCCGATCTCCTCTCTGACCATCCACAGCCAAACTCTTCTTGATGTTTAAATGCCCTTTCTCTTCTCTCCTCTGCTGTGCCACTCTTCTGCTTCTTTGCTCTTCTGCTTATCTGTTATCTGCTCATCTGCTCGAGGAGCCTGGGGTTTGGGGTTTATAATGGTACACGATGCAGGGATGCAGCAGGCCAAAAGGAAATGTTTGGGTGCAAAAACAGGAATGCCTGTTCCCATTTAGGGCCATGGGTTTCCAGGCTTGAGGGTGGGGCCTTTGCCAGGGAACTGCCTTCTTCTACCCAGTATTTCCTTGCCTCCTGTCCATATCAAAATGAGTATCAATACTCTGTAAGATTTTCTTTTGTTTACTTCTGTACTCTATTCTTCAATATTAGATTTAATGTATTAGTCTTGGGATTGGAATGACTATAAAGGAAGCAGCATTTTGTATAGTAAGTTGAAAGAATCTGTAGGTTTATAGCTTTCTAAGTAAGATAGTATTCTCAGTTGTTTTTTCACATGACTAGCATTTACATTTATTTATGTATCCAGTAATTATATGAATACCATCTATAAGTCAGCTAATGTGATAGGTAATGGAGATGAACAGAATAACATGAATTGCTTTTTCTTAAAAAAAAAAAAACTCTAACAGAGGATACAGACAAGGAAACCATTGATTTATGGTTGCCTGTGAGAAGTTCTGTGACAAGCATATACCTAATATGGGTATGTGTGTGAGAGAATCTAGGAAAGCTTCCTTAAGTAAGTAATGCTTTGCTAAATTTTAAGAAAGGGTAGTATGGCCAGGTAAAGTCAGTGGGGGAGGAAGATGACAGGGAACACTGTGGCCAAAGCATGCAGACCCATGGAATTACAGGAAGCAGTTGTGTAGAGCTTGAGTGTAGGGTGGTGTAGGGCCTGAATCATGGAGGACAAGGTATGCCAGGATGAGGAGTTTAGTTTGAATTCTCTAGGCAATGGGCATCCAGTGAATGCAAACAGCATTTGATACAGGTACTCAGGGTGCAGAAAACTGAATGATTAATAGGAGGGCATTAGATGAGATTTTATGCTGATGGGAAGGAATCCCAGGTGAGAGAGAGAGAGAGAAAGAGAGAGAAAGAAAGAGAAAAAGACCTGGGAAAGAGAGAGAGAGAGAAGAGAGAGAAAGAAAGAAAGAGAGAGAGAGCGAGAAAGAGAAAAAGACCTGGGGGGGGGCGGGGAGAGAGAGAGACCTAGGAAAGAGAGGGGGGTGGGGAGAGAGAGAGAGAGAGAGAGAGAAAGAAAGACCTGGGAAAGAGAAGGCATATTACATGGGCCATTATCCATCTGCTTGCTTTAATTTCTTGGACAACTCCAGCATCTACTACCCAGATTTTCTTGTTGTTGTTTTTTTTTGTTTTGTTTTGTTAGTTGTCTTTGTGGCTTACCTCTTTATTTGTGTAGCCGCCCTTTCTTGTCTTTTGTTACATCTTTGATTTGGAAGTGAATTAATAAATGAATGTCAAGTGTTCCCAAATTCTGTTTTAAGAATAATCTAGATCTTTTAAAGCTTCGGTAATGTGGGCTTTAAAAAATCTGTGATTGCCCAACTGGTTTATGTCAGCATTTTGGAAAGAATATCAGTCTTTAAAGCGGTGTTAGAGATATAAACCCTCTGGGGAGTGAAGAATGCCTGGTGCATGCTAATTTTGTACTTATCCAGGTGGAAGAGAGAGAGGAATAGCCAAAGCTATAGATAGAACAAAGGCATGTCAATTGCAACCTGGTCTCAGTTTAGGCTTAGCTCTCCTCACCAATCCCCTATCAGGATATTAGTGGCTTATTTATTTATTTTTAACCTGTATCATATTAAGCTCTTTGACAAATCGCATTTTGATTTATAGTCTGTGCTTCTGGCATGTGCTTTAATGGCATTAGCCAACTCTAGACACATACTGAATTCATTATGTACCTTATGTATGTAAGTAGTAATACTTCCTTTTAATGAACATACGGTCACGTCAAAGTGCTGCGAGGTTGTTTTACAAAAGCATCTTTGTGTAGTGCTCCTCAGAAGTTTTGAGATGAGTATTAAGTTGAAGATTAATATGCTGTATTTTAAGTTGTATTTTAGTGGAGTAATGTATTATAATTTTGCCCTCTCCTTAAGGTGAGTAGACTATTATAGTCTGAGTCTTTGATTCTTAGGCTTTGGTTCTTAATTAGAATTCAACATTGTTGACATGTAAATTGTGACCAGATGAATTCAAAACTCAAAAAGTAAAATTGCCTTTGAATTTGTATCCTCAGCTACGATATTGATTGAAAATCGATGAGTAACTCTTATTCTTGTTTTCTATAGGCAGTAAGAAATTCACAGAATCTATTTACAGCTATACGTGACAGCACTTAACCTTGACTATGCCTGCTAAAAGGTTTCTTGACTTTAAAATGTGGATAC
This sequence comes from Homo sapiens, assembly GCF_000001405.40. NCBI lineage: Eukaryota > Metazoa > Chordata > Mammalia > Primates > Hominidae > Homo > Homo sapiens. The sequence goes on from NC_000002.12 coordinate 156,536,624, forward strand.
TCTTCAAGATTTGAGGGCAGGGCTTCTCCTAAGGTAGAGGCAGAGAAGTAAACCAGCAACAAGTAGGGCTCAAGATCTAGCCTGTCTGATCAGGCTTCCAGACCAAGGAGTGGCAGCAGTCCAAACCACCTGTCTCTGCTGACTAGGCAATCTTAATAGCCATCCCACTCCTCATCAGTACGTGGGATCTGAGCACAGGTCTAAGCAGATTAATAGTTTTCTTAGTGAAGTGATCCATGGAGTCAAATGCATGACAGTATCTTCAGGATTCTGTGGGAAGAGGAGGGGGTCTATGGAGGACACTAGGTCATCCCCTTGAAAAGAGAGATAGAGACCATTACTTGAGGGAAGAGCTAAGCAGAATGTCAGAGCTTTGGCTAAGCAAACAGATATGAGCAGAGTTCTAGTTCAACTAGGAGCACAGAGTGAGAACCAGATATTGGGGCAGGAACTCTTCTGTTTGACGTCTACAGTGGGAGAGACTGCACACCTGTGAGCACAGGGATTCCTTTGTGTAGGGGTTCCTTAAAGACAGATAACAGTTTATGGGCAGATAACAGTTTCCAGAGGGATGGGGCTCCCTGTATAATGCCAGGGGCTGCCAGGATTGACTTAGGATTGACTCAGGGACTGCGTGGGGCTGACCCTGCAGGTTGAATGCTGTCAGTGATTACAACAGGGCAAGGGCACCTTGACTGTCTCAGAAACTAATAGAATCTTTCTTTGACAATAACCACTGGCGAGCATTTCCAGGAAGTCTTTGAAAATTGCTGGGAGTCTGGGCAAGAAACTCCACTCACTGAAAGCATGGTATTTGATTCATTATAAAACAGAAGGAAAAACATTAGTAATAGACGTGGTATGTCCCAGCCTTGTATAGTTGAAAGTAAAACTAAGTCATACGTTTTCAATTTGGTGTGACATTGTCTAATTTCTAAATTTATTATTATTTTGAAATTATAGGAAATGATTAGAAGTATGAGGGTGTGCTTCTTCTGTTGTTTATTTTTCACATTTGAGTCTTACTACATGTCACCATTGTCCAGCATTTCAGAGACAAAGGGAGTATTTTTGACATTCATTAAAACTGTTTTGGTGAAAGAGCTGTATTACGGTACTATTTAATTTTTATAATAGTTTATCAGAAATGAGATTAGAGCCTATTTATTGAATTATCTTATTTTGAAACTCTCACATATTTATTGAGTACAGATTAGAATCAAACTGTTTAGAATATTAGAAAAGTCTTTTTCAAGTACAAAGGGCAGAGATTATATCTGTAGGTAGTTCCCCCAAACCCCCGAGGGGAAGTTTTGTTTTAAATGTTTACATGTTTTATATTGACACATTTGTTGGCTTAAAAAATATGGCAATAGCATCTAGCATAGTGCTAGATGTATGTGGTTGCAATTTGACATTATTTTATTGATAACTATATTGTGTATAAACTTTCTTTTCATGTCTTTTTATGTGAGAGACATCAGATATTCTACTAGCTGTTAGGAGGTAGTGAAATTAAGTTGATTCTCACAGTATTTGCATCTCAGTCTTCTGCCTCAGCATGTGACCTTGCCTGTGAAGGTTCAGAATAGCTGTTTTATTATTTCGCTTAGGGTGATCGGGCTCTGGTAAATTGATTGGCACTAGCCCAACTCACAGCCTATTGAATCATGAATTTATTACTTTAGGCAACAAATAGTTTAACACCTTCCTACATGCCATACATTGTTGTCCTTGCAGGAGGTAAACTCTTGGAGAAGATGGTGGGGGATAGAACCAAGTTCCTGCCCTTAATTTATTCATTCCTATGAGAAGTGAAACATTCATGTAAAACAGATGACTCAGATTGCTGTTAAAAAAAAAAAAAAATCCAGTAGGGCAAACCTATTTGAATAACCAAATTAAGATCAGGATTGGCTGGGTGTGGTGGTTCACGCCTGTAATCCCAGCACTTTGGGAGGCCAAGGTGGGTGGATCACGAGGTCAGGAGATTGAGACCATCCTGGCTAACACGGTGAAACCCCGTCTCTACTAAAAATACAAAAAAATTAGCTGGGCATGGTGGCGGGCTCCTGTAGTCCCAGCTACTCGGGAGGCTGAGGCAGGAGAATGGTGTGAATCCAGGAGGGGGAGCTTGCAGTGAGCCGAGATCACGCCACTGCACTGCAGCCTGTGCAACAGAGCAAGACTGCATCTCAAAAAAAAAAAAAAAAAAGATCAGGATTTTGCCTAGTAACTATAGAGTTCAAGCAGAAGCAATGAAATGGTCTAAACTATAGCTTAAAAAACAATATCTGTTAAAGATATCTTTGTCAAGTAAGTCTGAATATTTTGCTTTTATAGTTAAAAAGATAATTAAATTCTGACTTTTTCATTTCATCTTTTAGAGTCTCAAGCCCCATATAAAGTTTCCAAATAAACATTAATTCTGGGTTGCTGAGAGATGTTATTCTGATAACTGAGGAATGTTTATGATTGAGGTATTAAATAAAAGGTTATCTTAACAAAAGGAGAAGGAAGGTAAATGTAGTAGAAGGCAATCTGTTAACAATATTAGCTTCATTCTTATAATGCTTTGCAGTTTACAAATGCTTTCACATATGCTGGAATCTGATTATTTCAGCGGTTCTAGGGGATTGGTAGAGAGGCTGTTGTTAGACCTACTTAATAGATGAAACAGACTCTGATGAGGAAAGGGACGTCCCCAGAACCTGAGTTAGTGGCTGGTTGGGTCCTGAACTCACACATTCGGAGTCTCCAGCATCAGTGCTCTCTGATGGGGGCCAAGAGTTAGCCTGCTTTTCATGTAAATGCCCTAGTACACATTCCTTTCAGACAATCAGGACATTGGGTTCAGGTCAGACTGATTTGATAACAATTTGATAAGGTGTGGAATCTTCCTGTGATTAAAGAGAGAAATCTGATAAGGTACAAGACTTACCATGAAACAGATAAAGGCTCTCTCAAAAGGCTGCCTCCAGTTAGAATTCCCCAGCTGGTCCTTGGCACATGGTTCCATGTGTTTATTATGTAGCTCACACTCGAAATCACCCCTGGGGCAGGTTGAGCCATTCCAGCATTTTGTAAAAAGTTGTGTGCATGTGCTCACACACAAATGAGGAAAAGAGGACTGAAAAAAATGGTTCTGTGAAAGTGAAAGGATTCACTTGCTTTTCCCAGTCCTATTATGAAAGATGGTTTAGTTATATCAAAGGGCTTCTTTTGACTTGTTGTATAATTCGATTCTTGAGTTTTCAGTTGGCTTATTTGAAATTTTGTAAATTGCAATTTATAAAATTGGAGGGCCCTGAGAGATCAAGTTCCACTTGTGGCTCGAGGAATGAGGATACTGAGATTAGGGGTTAGGGCTTGCTCAGGTTTTTGTTGCAGACAGGAAAAACAAAAAATCTGGTTAACTTAAACAGAAAAGAAATTCTCTGATAGGACATTGAGCAGCAGGCAGAAATACTGGGAAGACAGAGACCTAGCTTGAAAAATAAGGGACTAAATATGATTTGTAGCAACCACAGCCACAGGCAAAATCCTGACCCACAACCAGTGCACCGAAGACTTGATTGCTCATCACGTCACGTCTTGCTGTGCCACCACTGCTGACATCTCTATTGCTGCTGCCCCTAGAAATGGGATGGTACTGCTATCATTGCATCTACCTCTGGATTAGAGGTTCTTTGGGTCACTACCTCTAGATCGAAGACTGTTGAGAGCGTCGGACTGGCAAAGCCAGGTTAAAGTTCTGTATCCCAGGGGACCGTTCTTCCTCTCCTATGGGATGGTAGAATGCCTTTCTGCAAAGCTTACAAGATAGGAGGAGGGGTTTAGACGCTAGTAAGCAAAACCAAACCATACCAAAACATGAGACAGTTATCTGCTATGGAAACATACCCATTTACTGGCTATTTAAGAGGTTAGAACTTGAGTTTTCTGAATTTTCTCAGGATGCCAAATTTATAGCTAATATAGATTTCCTTTATGAAAAGTGACAGAGGCTCTGTGGTTTGTAAGAGAAAATGAAGTCCTCTGTAGTAAGATTTAATAATTCTAATATTTTGAAACAATCCATTTTCCTATCAACACTGTTTTCCTCTGGATTAAAAACCATTCCCCATCTTCCTATCCTTCATGACATACAGAAAAAAGAATCTTATTTTTCAGTGGTAAAAAGTGGAGAGAGAGAAAAGGAGTAAAAGAAGAACAAACAGTATTCATGCAGTGCAGAGATTAGAGGTTAGTTGTTACACATTTCAGGGTAAGTTTGCCAGATTGATGAGCAATAAAACCATTTAGAACTGGAAAATCTTCAGGGCTTTTGTTTTTAAAAGTTATTTTAGGCAATAACCACATCTTGTCGTTATAGTCTTTGCTTTCCAGCAATTCCTTTTTACCTTTTAATAATAAAAGCTAATATTTATTGAGAACTATTTTGTCATAGCATCATTATCTATCTCACTTCTTCCTCACAATAACTCTGTGTTAATCTCATTACTATTCTCCTTCCACAGCTGAGAGATCAAACCTTAGATGAAGCAACTAGCATGAGATTTCATAGTTCATAGATGTGGGACTTGAACTTAAGCATATACACCTGTGAAAGAAGCTTTGTAAATCTTTCTTTAACTTAAGAGAGAAAATAAGGTATGTGTAGAATGCTGTTTGGTAATATTTTAAGAAAACTGCAGAGGAAGAAGAAAGGAAGTGTGCTAGAAAATCAAAAGACTTTTGGGAGCATGTGACTCCTCCACATTAGGTAAATTTGCTCTTGTATCTCTGTTCCAGGACAGCTAGGCCATTCTGATCTCTTTCAATTTCTGTTCCCCACAGTAGTACTTAGCTTAGTGCCTGGTGCATAGTGGGTGTTCAATAAATATTTACAAAAATAATTAATCTCAGGCATCCTCAGGACAGTTTCCTGGGCTTAAGATGCCATGCAATTTAGAGTGCTGCTCTCAGTAAAGAAATAACTTTACCCTCAAAGCCAGGCATTTCAAGAAGGTTTATCAATGAATTTAGTGCATTTCACAAACAAGGAAGCTTACCAGGGGTTTTTAGGCCATATAACTGCATAGCCTGTGAAAGATCTCTATAGCATGTCTTGCTTCCTGACTTTCCAACTTCACTTCAATTAATTTTGTCACATTGCTCCCTTTTCCTTTTTCTTCCTTAAACGTATAAAATGCTGTTTGTTTTTTTTTTTTTTTTTTTTTTGGCTGTGGTCGAGAGAGAATGGATTGTCCTGGGAAAGGCACAAGGAATCTTTATTGTAAACTAATGTGTGGAACATTTTTGTACAGAAATAGCTAATGAATACCCAAAGCATGCTGTTGCTTGCTGTTTAAATGTGGTTTCATTTTTGTTCAGCTCTAGCTTCTAAGTGTCTTAAAAGGAGAAAACTTACTTTTCATTAGATTCATTTAAAACTTTTTCAAGAGAGGAAAGTCCTGAGGGTATAGAAACTTTATGTACTTAAATATATCATGTTAAGGAACTTCACAATGTTTCGTTTATATGGGGCCAAAGACCACAGATCCACCCCGATTGCTAATTATTGAGATTGCAAATAGCTTATTTCAGAACTTAGGGTGAGACAAAGGAAACATGAAGGAACAAAAGGCCCAGGATAATGAAAAGGATATTGTGAAGAGAAAGGCCTGTAGAATTATGATGCAGGTCACATCCTGTGCCTGCATTTAATTGTACCTTTGTATTTAATAATAAAAATGATTACATGCTCACTGCTAACAGGTGTCCCTGCTTCAGAACTGTAGTATGGATAGGTGACAGCAAATTACTCCAATTCATAAACTTGGAATATTATGCTTTTATTTTGAGTTTCACCAGTCTATACTAGAATACATTTTCTGCCAAAATGTACATCAACCCAGGAAGATTTTTAAACTTAGCCCCTGATAAATATACATAAAACATAGGTGAATATTTTAAAGTATAAATGAAAGAAAAAATCAACTTTGCCAGGCACTTAACACATTGAGGTTGTATTAATACCATAGTCACATTTCTAGTTCTTTATATTTTATATAAGCTTTGAATGTAATGTAAATTAGCAGTGATGTAAGTGGTCTTTCTGTTAGAACTTAATTGCCTCCTTTATGAATTTTCTCTAATTCTTGCTTAACTTGAACACTTTCTGTAACTGCCTGTCCAAAATATAGCCCCTGCCCTAGGGATTTGTTCTCCTCTGTTTTTCCCTTTATTGCCATTATTGCAATAACAATGTTCTTATTAATCTGTTTGATTTTATCTGTCTTCCTCATTAGAATGAAGTTCCATAGGACAGAGACCAAGGTAATCTTATTCTCCCTAAATCAGTGGTTGCCTAGTACCTTGACCATGCCTGGCTCATAATGTGTACCCCCAAAAATATTTGTTAAAGACATTCGTTAATCTGCCACTTACCGTCTTAATCATATACCAAAAACCCTGCTTGCTACCTTAACTTTATCACTAGCCTCCTCCCTTTGCTTATGTTTTCACCAAAGATTTTGTGGTTGAAGACATTCTATTTCCATTGTCTGTTGGGTAGCTAGGTAGAGAGATAATAGTCCCCCTTGATCCCATGACCATAGTTGAATGGAAATTGAGGGGTTGGGGACTGTTCTTAGACTCTTTAAGCCTTGAGCACATTTCCTTTATTTGATCAGCCTCTGAACTGTGATTCATTCATATTTGAATATCTGCTAGGTAGCAAAGGCTTTGGCAGGTACTGGGGAAGCAAATTTGAAAAAGATGCACTCTGTTCTTTTAGGAACATATCATTAGAATTGATGTCCCATAAGTCTGTAACTGTGTCTCTTTGGCTGTGCATTATAGACTCAGTTCCTAGCACAATCTCTGGTACATTACAAGTGATCAATAAATGAGTGAATATTCCATGCAAGTATTTAGAAAATAGCTTGTGCTGTAATAAATGTATGTACAAAGTTCTCTGGAAACACAGAAGAGGGAAGGCCATTGTGTCTAAAAGGAGTCAGGGAAAGTTTCACAAAGGAAGGATTAAAAGTTGAGTTTACCAGTTTGGGTAAGATGTACCACATAGTAAGGACAACATGAGCAAGAAATCAGAGGTGTGGAAGAGCAATATTTTATTTGAGTTTGGGCACTGCGGTCAGTCTGGAAATTTAGGACGAATGTGAAGGAGTGGTGGGCATTGAGGCTGTTGGAATCATTATTTATTCCCTTATTCAGGTACCCTATGCACTAAGTAGCTCCTGTGGCACAAACAAATCACCTTTTATTTATAGTATTTCTATAGAAAAAAGAATTGAGTTCCAAACATACAGTTTTGAAGATAGATCCTGTTTATAAATGGGGATTAACTTTAGTAGAAAATTGGCTACATTGCCTATATGTTATCTATTGCTGTAATTCTTCATACAGATAACCACAAACGTGAATGGCATAAAAATAATTAGGGTTTATTGTACATGCATTGGAATGCTCATCAGGTGGCTCTTCTGATATAGTCTGGGTGGGCTGGGTGATTTTCTGTTCTCCATTGAACTTGCATTCCTCTGTGGAGGTGTTGGCTGTCTGTCAGCTGAAGTAGGATGGCTTTAGCTCAGGGGGCTACTCAACATTTGCTGTCATCTTCCTCCTGGTACCATTAGGCTAACCTGGGCATGTCCTTTTAATGACATTGGTGGAGGACAAGGGCACAAGCAGAAACATACAAGTGTTCTTTTGAGCCTCTGTTTCTGTCACATTTACCAACATTCCGTTGGCCAAAACAATTTCACATGGGTGAGTTGAGAGTTAGAGTGGGGCACTGTGAGGACTCAAGGCAAAGGGCATGGCTACAGGGAGGGGTGAAGGATTGGGACAATTTTTGCAATATATTATATAGCCCATACTGCTAATCAAATCAAAGTTTATAGATCTAACGGAAGCGTACGATTTCTGATTTCCTTGATGAAACACTTATCTTTTCAGCTTTACTGATGCCCAGTCTCTTTTTGATAGGCTGGGGGAAAGTCAGAGAAACCAGAAATGGGAAAAGGTTGAAGTGAGATCTTGAAAGGGATAGGTAATTATTAACAATTAGCTATTGCATGCATTGTATAATTTCAGATGTACCCGGCTCATCTCCTTTTATAGGACACTGAAGCCCAAAGCAGCACAGTGTATCACCCACATTCCCCCAGCCATGTTAATGACACAACCAAAAGTTGCAACTCAGTCATTCTAAGCCCAGAGCCATTCTCCACAATATCTTTTAAGATACATTCTCCCTAAACTGCCTCATATGCCTCCCTGACCCCGTCACTCCTCACACAAACAATCACTTTTGTAAATGGTTTATGTTTGAAAATTGCCTTGTTATCACAATTCACCATGAAGAGTGGGTTCTTATTTTGAGTTTTCCTTTTTAAGTTTACACATCATACCTTAAAGCAAAATAATCCCCTTATGTGCATGCATGTGAGTACGTGTGCATGTGCACACACATGAGCATACACACGCATGCCTACACACACTCATTCACACACACACACCACACACACATCCCTGTTTTGCCCTGCCTTTACCTGAATATTTCCAATCAGAAAGGGACATTTTGAATATAGTGGTTATATTAAATCAGCTTGAGTTTGGTAGGTGAGGCTTTGAATTATCTTTGCTAGACCTCTAAGGGGGAGCTGCCAGAGAGGTCACTGTGACACTCTCAGTCTGAGACAATGAAGCCTGGGGAATAAATTTAGTTAGAAATGAGATTAAAGCTTTAGGGAGGTATTGTTTCTTACCAGCATCATTTTTCCCCTTTCTTGAAGTAGTCAAAGTGATTGCTCAAGACTCAGGTCAGGACACAGGGACATGGAAGGAAATATTCTCAACATTTCAACAGTGGCAGTTTTTAATTGATGAAATTATGGACAGATGCTATTCTAATTGAGAAGTACTTTTTCTAACAAATAGAGTTTCTATACTGGCAGGTAGATATCAGATCAATAAGTCTGTGATAAGCATACCATTTAAAAGTATGCTATATTGAAAGGAAGCTTATATGTAGACTGACATAAATAAGAGTTTTAGACCTGAAGAAACAAGAAAATCCCAGGTAGTTTTATACCTGTGTTTTTTTCATATTTACTCATTCTTCATACTCTATACATCAGTGATTATTTTTCTTTTTTTGAGCTATTTTGCATGTTAACATAGTTGCCAAACTTTGACTCTGAGGAGAGCAGTATTGCTGTCTCCAAAATATTTATATTTGAGGCCTATCTTTTAGACAGTTACATTCTAAAATATGTGTGGTCCTGCATTTTTCACTTAAAATATCTCTTATTCTGCTCTGTGCAAGGTCATTGAGGATTAAGACAAAGTTTTCTCTACCACCATCAACCTTCATTCTTTTTGGTGGGTAGATTTTATATTTTGTTTCTCTAAACAAGAGAAAACAGTTATAGTTCCACCTCTTGTGTGCTTCCTCTCCTATGAGTTGTAGGCTCAGTATGTGCACATATGCAAGATTTCAAGTGCAAAAGAGAACAGAGTCGGAAACAGATTTTCACAGTTCCCGTCTGGGTCCTTGTGTAAGTGCCAATGTAAAGCTATTCGGTGATTAGTGAAAAACAGTATAATGTTGCCTGGCTCTAAGGAAACAGCTTTGAAAATCTAAACTTAATAAGCAGATCAATTAGGTGGGGGTTTGGGATTATTGTATCACATTCCAATGGCATGCAGTGTTGTCAAAAACTTTTTTCTCCAGAATAAAAATTACAGGAGGCATAGAGTTACCTTTCAAAATGTCAGGAAAGAGGGTTGGGGAAATTAGTTAGGAATAATGAAAATATATCACGTATATCTCAGGAAGCATATACTGTGAGCATCTGGGTATCTCAGGGTAAGGGGTAAGGGGTAGGGGAGGAGGAGGTTTACCCTGCATCCATGGAGGTAAATGGATTAAGCTGAATGTCTGGGAAGACGAGGATTGCTGGGTGGAGGTGTGAGGCCCAGGGCTCGGGGATACCATCAGATTACTTGCTCCTCAAGTTTTGGGAGCTAATAATACCTGTGCTTGCATTTCCCTGCAAAGCAAGGGATACCTTCTGGGATAAGTCCCGAGGGAATCACTCATAACTATTTCTGCTTCCCTCCCACTTATTTAACATAAATATAGGGCCTAGTTTGGGGTTAAATTCAGATTTTACACATTTATGTCTCTGTCACATTTCTTGCCACCAACTTACTGAAGTCTGAAATTTCTTTAACAAGAGGAAGTATTCCATCCCATAGTTAGAAATGTAAGAATTTCAATACCTGTTTAACACAGCGAATGAGATTAGGCTAAACTTAACAGTAATTGGAAACGTATTCTGTACCTGCTAATAACTAGAAAAAAAACAAAGACAAACAAGTAAGCCTTTCTGTTTTCTCTTGAGACGTGGGAATTGTACAGTAATTACAGTGGGATGTAAGTTTCACGAAGGTAGAGATCACCCTGTGTCTTTCTCAGTTATATTCCGTGCATTTGTCACAGTGCCTGATTCATAACAAAGGATTTTCATTTTTGTAAGTAGATGGACACATGGATGATTCTAGTATCATAAAGACTATTTAAAAAGGTGTATACAAGATAAAATGTTGACCCAGAGGAAGCAGTGAATAATTTTGCCCTGGAAGGATGCAGATAAAGGGAGACTTTCTGCATCCCTCCAGGAGATGCAGAACTAGACATTTGAACTCGATCATGAGAGATGAAGAGAGGTTTCTCAGAACTTCCAGGATGGTATCCAGCCAGAAGAATAAGTGTGTGTAAAGGCAAGGTGGGAAATGACATGAATGTTCAGGGAGCTACAAATAATTTCACAATTCTAGGTAGTATGAACCATGGCAGACGAGGATCATATCATGAATGGCCTTTTTGTGTAAGTGACATCTCAGATTTGAGTCAAGACAGCTGCTGCTGGGAACTGGGGAGTGGACATAGAAAAACAAGGACCATAGGAACTTGTTTCCACCTCACATTTTAAACTGAAGTTAAGCTTGCTTACCTGCAGTCATATTCAGATTTAGATGCTAATTAGGGAACATTTGTTAGTATGGAAGCTACAGAGCTTGAAGAACTATAACCTATACTGCTCCAATGAGATTTTATATTTTAAACACATATTAAAAGAAAATTTTATCTTTTTAAAGTCACCTTAGAGTCAGATGAATGTATAACTGTTTTCTAAAGGAACTATCATTTCATAAATGGAATTTCTGCCTGGTTCCTTTAAATAGTGGCTTCATTTAGGATTTAAAATATTTCATTTACACATGGCTTTCCAGAGGCTTCAAGGCACACCTGGATGGGTGAGCGTTTCTCTAAGCCTATGGTAAGAGCAAGCATGACTTGGATTTCTTGTACTACCAGATATGTGCCTTTGTGGGGCAGGGTGTTTCCTTGTTAGATATATAAATCAACCAGAAAGATTGGGTCGGATGGGTACTGTGTTATTTTCTTAATTTAAGGAGAAGATCTATAATGGAAATTTTATTTAGTTTCTTTGGACTGTTTTCATGCATTTAGTTTTATAAAATGTATTCCAATTTTAAGCAAGGAACCCTACATTAATAAAAATTGATTTCTTCAGCTTAACTTCAAATATGATTTTAAGCAACCTTAGGATCATGCTGAGTTGAAACTATGGAACCGCTACCCTTCCCACTTATAGCTCAACTACTGCTATTGTCATTGTTTTTTTCTTCTACTTTCATTCTATTAATTGTTAGATAAAATAACTCCTTATTTTGCATGTTGAGGTTTAACATAAGTTCTCCACTTGATAGAGCATTTAATTTTGGGGGGACGGTTCTTAGCCGATTATATTAGTTCAGTGGTTTTAGAATAAGACGTTTGTGGGGAGGGGCAGCAGAATCTTCAGTCATTGATTCTCTCTTTATAACTTTGCCCTTTTAGCTGGAACAGATTACTTCTGTAGTGCTGCTAGCCCTGCACAGACTGAATCACAAGGAAGAAACTTTGCATAAACCATTTATACTAAATGTTTGGTATGCTGGCAACATAAATCAACAACAATATCCATTACAAATTCATCCCTTTATCAGTATTATCTTGATAGAACTGATCCCAATGTGTGGGAATTTGAACCCTGCTTCAATACATCTAGCCCTGGATAATTAATTATTCAGGGCACAGAGAACCTGGCCCCTGCAATGTAGAGTAATTCTTCCTGGTCAGCGTTAACTCCACTGGCAATAATAAATAGAAAAAGTCTCTAGTGATGCCAGTATTTTAAAGTGCTTAATCATCTTTCCCCCCTTCTCCTCCCCCTTAGTTTTCTTTAACTAGGATTTTTCAGCAATAAATCTTTAACAATACAGGTAGGAATTGTTCTGTAATTAAATTTTGCCCTGCTTAATTTCTTACCTTTTATGTGTGATTAAAAAAAAGTTACATTTTAAGAAGCCCTGATCAAAATTCAAACCAAGAAAAATCCTTTTACAGAATACTGAGAAATGCTCTATGGAAGATAAAGCTCTTGATTTTGAATATTAGATAGAGCACATACACATAAAAATACTCATAAAAATTGTTCATCAACACCAGTTGGGGTGTCAAATATTCTAAAGTTTTGAATTGCTTCACTTTCATGCTTACGATTTGTCTGTATTAGGAAAAGCCTGACATATACATATGTTCCAACACTGAGAGAATAATTACTTATTTCTTAACTTTCAGATAATTGATGTCAGCTCTGTAGGAAAGGGATATTTTCACTATTTTTATGGTACACGAAATGCACTTGCTGAAGCGGCAGGTAGATGCCTGGCTGAGAATGACCGTGTATTTTAAATTGTGCCCTGTCAAGCTGCCCAGCCATCATGCATATCCTGGGTGACAGGGACAGATGTGACATATCTGTTGTGACACACTTTTGTACCACCAGTCTGTGGCTCGAGGTGACTCCTCTCCCTCCCCTGATGCTTTCCCCGCTGCAGGACAACATAACGATGCACGGATGAACCTTGCCATTGCTCTGACTGCTGCCAGGTATGGGGCTGCCACAGCCAATTACATGGAGGTAGTGAGCTTGCTCAAGAAGACAGACCCCCAGACAGGGAAAGTGCGTGTGAGCGGCGCACGGTGCAAGGATGTCCTCACAGGTATGCCAGGTATCTGGGAGGGAGGTATTTCTTAGTATCTTGCCTAGCTTATATAATGACTGAATTATAATTTTTCTGTCACTTCTCTTTCATTTATGCCACGCTTCAGAGTCATATTAATTATATTCGTTATTGTCAGCAATGACTGGTTTAACGTGAAAATTTCCCTTGTAGGACTTGGCAATTTTTCCCCTTTGTATTATAGTTGTAATAATGATAATGATAATAATAAAATGCCCACCAAATTCCCACAGCTATGAATGGATTCCTTTTTCTTTACAAAAACATGTTATTAATAAAATTAAATAAATGTGCCAAGTTTCAAAGTATCATTTGGGTGACACAGGCATTGTTACACGTTGTTAAAGTGAATCTTTAACTTTATTTAGATTTTCATTATTGCCCTGGCTCTAGCGCCATATAAGTAGGCAGTTTCCAAATTATATCGTTTCTTGAACAAAAGCTCTATGATATACATTTTCTCACAGCAGTGCTGCTCACACATTTGAGTTTTCAGGAGAAAGCGGCTTATTTACTCATTCTACTTTTTCATGTTTGGTGCTTTGACGCTGGGCACTTATAAGATCGACAGAATCCATAATGAGAAAGTGGAATGCTTTTCTTTCTTCAATTCCGACTTGTTTTTGGTAAATTCACTCAGATGAGAGCCTTTTGTTTGGCTCTTCAATAACTTGAGCTGCTCAGGTCACTTAGTGTGGTATGCAGTATACTTCACCATGGGTTAAGTTAATAGATGAATTAGTAATACACAGCATCCGTTAACAGAGAAACAAATGAGGTGTGTGATTGATGCCACTTTCTTTCACAGGGCAGGAATTTGACGTGAGAGCCAAATGTGTTATCAATGCCACGGGACCTTTCACGGACTCTGTGCGCAAAATGGATGATAAAGACGCAGCAGCTATCTGCCAGCCAAGTGCTGGTGTCCATATTGTGATGCCTGGTTATTACAGGTAATTGTCTTCCAATGTGGCAGTTGTCACCCAAAAAAGAGGGTCAGCAGAGATTGTCTGGTTTATTTCTTCTTCTAGCATAGCAATAGATGGTCTAACTTGCTGTTCAAAATCAGGAGAAATAAGTAAAGGAACTCTTCCAAAACACAAAATACAAACCAGACTTGGGAAGTTTTAGCCACTTATGGCAATACTCGTTTCTAAGGGTTAATGCTTTGGGATCTATTTTTCTTTGTTCAGTGTAGTCACCTTCAGAGACTAAGCATTGGTATTTTTGAATTAAACTTTTACTTAAGTCATTAGCAAAATTAATTTTGCAAAATTTTTTATAAAGGACGTATTTTAGTTAAAACAATAAGACATGAATTTTGCAGAATACCCAAATTTGCTTATGAAGAATCTGAAGATGTGGGCTACCCAAGTATTCTTAGGTTTATAACTTTTGAAATAGATTAAAAAAAATATTGTAGCAAGCAAAAACCAGATATATCTAATCTATCAAATTAACAAAGATAATTGAGGATGAAGAAATGGGCAGGAGTAGAGATAAAATAAGAATAGCTATTAAATGAAAATCATTTAAGCTGGGTGATGGGTACATGGAGCGTCATTAAACTCTTTTTATATATGTTTGAAATTTTTAATAAATTACAAAAGAAACATTTGTGTGGTTCTGGCTAAAAAATAATTACCCATAACGTACATTTTAAGGTATTTATAGAAGAAATTCGTATGGCCATGCTAAGGGTGTAGAGCATGTGTACTGTTTTTATTTCCATATGTGGTAAACCTAGTAGGCAAAGTAGTAATTCTATATGAAATAATGACTTATGTGCAACAGTATTCATTATGGCATTGTTTGTAGTTGAGAAATATTAGAAGCTACTTCAGTTCCTCACCTTAGGGTAATAGATAAATAAATTATGGCATAACCACACAAGGGCATATTATATAGTCATTAAGAATTATAATTATAAATACTTTTAATGCCCTAGGAAAACACTAATGATATAATGTCAATTTAGAGTATAGGACTTGATATTTTATGTGCTGTAGGTTCTAACAATGTATATAGAAAAAGACTGGAAGGAAATATGTTAAATGTGAATGGTGATTATTTCTAGGTAATATGATTATGGGTGAGAGTTATTTCTTTCCATGTTTTAATAATTTTCCATAAAGGGAATATACAGCTTTTAATATTTGATAAAGTGGATGTGTAGAACCTATGATATTTTGTTTAATACTTCCATTCTCCTAGAATGCTATCCTGCTATGCTATAGATCATGCTGCCTTTTTAGTTGTTGGTTGTCCGGTAACTAAATCTTCCTGAAGAGTCTAAGATGCACCTAATTGGTACCAGATACACTTCTGAGAAAATCATTAAAGAGAATTTCTTATCCACCAACTTCCAAGGTTTCCTTTGCGTTTTCAAAATGCGTATGTGAGAGAAATAATAGTCTTTAGGATTTTTACTTTGGACTGGAGACATCAAGGTGCCTCTTAAGGCACCACTGCATAAGATAATAGAAATGTATGCAGTGGTACCTAATTGAGTTTTTAAAACTGTTGACCAGAAGCTTAGTTCAAATGAAAAGGAGAGAAATAAATATATGAAAATGTCCCATATGTTTCTCGTATATAGAGAAGTTTTCAACATTAGTTCCAGATGCAATTGTATACGCTTTTGTGTTCGATTAAAAATATCTAAGGCCAGCTAGTTTATGAGTTTTTGTTTGTTTGTTTTTAAGTATCTCTAAGAATGGAGTGTAGATGTAATCATCATACATCTTATATTTGTTTAGCTTTTACTAGATTCAACATATTCTCATGTGTTGTGTGCCTTATGTTTTCTTCACTATCATCCCATGATGTCAGAAGACAGAGATTATTCCCCACAGACCTTATGTTAATTCTGTCATTAAATAATTAAATAATTTGGGACAAGCCATTTTATTTTGTGAACCTTAGTTTTCCGTTCATTAAAATGGGCAAACATTCTGCTCCTTCAGAGTTTAGAGACAAAGAGATTGTTCGCAGAATTAAAGTGATACCTTGCTATAGGACTTCTGGGGTTTGTTCATCACTTTTCCTTGGGCTGTGTGGCCTGGGCAAGCTACTTCTTTCAGCTTCTGGTTCCTTATATCTTTTTTTTTTTTTTTTTTTTTTTGAGATGAGGTTTTGCTGTGTCACCTAGGCTGGAGTGCAGTGGTGCCATCTTGGCCCACTGCAACCTCCACCTCCTGAGTTCAAGTGATTCTCCTGCCTCAGCCTCCCGAGTAGCTCGCCCGCCACCACACCCAGCTAATTTTCATATTTTTAGTAGAGACAGGGTTTCACCATGTTGGCCAGGCTGGTATCAAACTCCTGGCCTCAAGTGATCTGCCCGCCTCGCCTCCCAAAGTGCTGGGATTACAGACGTGAGCCACTGTGCCCGGCCCCTTATGTACTGATAATACCTAACTGGTATAAGGTTTGACAATGATCCTTGGATTATTTTTTCTCTGTTTTATAGAGTGCTGTATCCCCAGCTATTGGTACGGTGTCTGGCACGTATTAGTGCCCAGTAAATATTTTTTGAATGAATCCTCCTAAATTTTTTATGTTAACTTGCTTATATTGAGATTGTTCCTTTATTTATATTAAAACTTTAATGTAACATTTATGAGATTTTTTAATATAGAGAATTCAAACTATGAAAATAAAACATGATTCTTCAACTTACTGCCCAGCTAACCCCTGTAGACAAAAATAAATAAATAATGTAAGTACATAACTAGAAATTTCAATCATCATAGAAAAAAATAGAAATATGAAAATGAAAATTGAAAGCCTGACTCTTATTCCCCCTACCTTTTGTTCCCTCCCCCAGTTCTTCTCTGGTAATTAATAACCTCTTCTTCCAATTCCTTCCTTAAAATCATGTTTTTACAAGCACAAATGTGTATTCTGTTAAAAATTTTGTGTGAAAGTGGTCATGTTGCATATATTGTTCTATATTATGCTTTATACACTTAGTAACAGAGTAGATTTGGTGTCTTTTAAGAATAAAGGTATATATTACCCAGAAGTAATATTTTAAAAATTCTGAATCCTAAAAATTCAGCATTAGCTTTAGGTCTCCTGAAGCATGAAGGTGTTAGTTACAGCTAGGTCTGTCTCAGGCTAAGATGCAGTAAGTGACCTCATTCTATGTTGGGAGAAATTAATATCCCCATTTTTGGCACTGTGAGCTATAACCACTACACATCCTGTTGGAAGCTTTGAAGGAATGGTCTGCAGCCTAGTTCCCATTCAGGCTCTCTTGCAGATGAGCCCCTTCTCTTTGGATTGTGACCTAGATTAAGGGTTCATTCCCTCATTCAGGACTGACCTTGAGGCAACTGTACTTCTGGCATCCCATAGGGGTGGTTTTCCTCTTCCTATCAAGTCATTCTCTTGGGTGATATTAGGAGATCCCAAACTGAAATGACTCTGTGGTATCATCAGTCAATCATACTTAGCAGCTGTCACTCAACAGTTTTGACTAGGTCTTCAGGGATGAACCAAAGCTTCTGGGGCTGCCCCACAACTGGCTAATGATAATTTAAAACCAGGCATGTTTCAGTTAGAACCTGATCCATTTGGAAATGCAGTGAGTTCAGCAAGCATTGATTTATTGTGTGTAGGCTGGTAAAGGAAGAGTAAGGAACCATATGTGCAGTGTATCTTCTTGGGCTGTTTTCAGAAGTATCTTTACAGCATTTGTTAATTTTGTTGTAACTTTAACTAATGTTCCAGTTGTGGAATTATCTTACACCATGATAGCAGCTTTTTAGGGGAAGAGGGGAAGAAGGAAAAATTGTTTTAATTTCGGAAAACACAACACAGAAATTATTTTTAAAGCTGCTCTTTATATTAAGAACAAATCTGGAATTTCCATGAGAGTTATGGGTAGATGCTCTTCCAAAAGCAATGATAATACACCAAACGACTGAAATACATGAAAATAATCATCTCTGTTTAGCCTACTGGTGCTTTTTACTACTGACAAGAGGTCAATTTTTTTCCTATAATGTGTGTACATACTGTTAGCTCTAACACTGATTGCTAAGTAGTTAACAATAAATTGATTTCAGTTTAACTAAGGGCACTTCAGGAAAGTGATGGTCTGCATGAGAAAAATATTCATTACATTTAATCCTAGACACACACATAAATTAGCAGCAAGCTTTTCCTCCTGATGTCAAATGAATCATATATATTGAAAAAAGACCTATGCCTTGTTGCATTGCGTATACTATCGCTATAGTTGATATCCATTCTCAAACTTTAGTGTGAACTTGCAAAATTGATCCTTCATGAGAAAACAGACTTTTCCCGAAGGGAAAATATGAATTAGGTAATTTAGAACTGATGAAAGATATTTCCAAGTGGATTCTTAAATTTTTATACCATTCGTTAATAGCTTTGTCTTCCCTCTGTGCTTGTTAATTTTATGTTTGTCACATATGTCTTCACTTAAGCAGTTGATTCTCTACAGGTTCCAGTTACATGTGTGTTGGTAACCATCATGTTCACCTTTTAAACTACTTTATTGCATTGCAAGTTTTTAAAAGATTCAGTAGTTGTGCATTTCTAATGGTATTTCCTTTTTAGGTTGATGAATATTATAATTTTATGATTAAATTTATCATGTTTATTATTTTAGACACATCATATGATGTCTAGTCCTTGATATAGTCATATAAAACATGTCAGCATATAATTCGTTTATCAATTGTTAGAATATAGAATTTTTTTGTTTCAATATACTTCTGTTTATCAAATAGAATGAACTCTGAGTGTTCTAATCTCATTTCTAATCTCAAAGTGACTGATGTAATCTAAGGACATATCAATCCAGGATCAAAAAATATACTTAGAAAACATGTGACTAGTTTCTTCTGAGATTTTTAGATAGTTTTATGATAAATACAAAGAAAAAATAATCATATTTAGAGAACAAAAATACTTGTTATTTGTAGTTTTCAATACATTAGAGTAAAAGTAAAATTATTTTCTCTAAGTAACCCTGAGTGAAGGTGGGACTCTGAGCTGAGGTTTAAATGATTGCAGACTTCCAGGGTGCTTTTTGGATTAGCTAAGTAGAAGAACTTCTACCTACTCTCTCCGATGTGTCTCAGATAGGCTGTGAACAGTGACTTCTTTCTGCTAAGGCTGAGTAGACATGGCAAGCGTTTCATGCGGCTGAGGGTTTTTTGAAGAGAAAGACTCACTCCTTGTGGTTTAAATAAAGAAGATACATTAGTTAAGCTGCCTATATGTTTCTTTTTTTATATAAAATATTATCATTATTTTTTACACAGTTGTTACCCTCTCATTTTTACACATTGGGATAAATCATTTTTTAAAACATGTTAAGGGAATGATGATAAAGATAAAAATCTGACTGTGTGTCTTTTTAAATTTTTGTGTAAGAGGAGTTTCTTGAAATTTGTTCAAACCAAATAGAATTACGTTTCCATATTAAAAAATAACATTAATAGAAGCTAAAAACATATTTATAGAAAATACTAGTAACACTGGCTTGATACAAGAATCCAGTCAAATAGAAGCAGCTATCTGAAGATTTGTAGTGTTCTACTTGAATAGGACACTTTAAGATTCCTCTCACTCTTTTAACAACATCTCCAAATTTCTTTGAATGGCTAAGGAATGAAATAAAACATCAGCTTTTAGTGATTTAAAAACAAAATGATGGGTTTTGTTAATGTTTGTTTACAGTTGTCTCTTCTTTCAAATATGTTTTATTATTTGATTTTAGAATAGTAAATATCAGTAAATATTTTTGACTATCGTTTTGGGAGATTTTATGTAGTCTTTCAGTAGAGGCAGCATTGTACCTTGATTTAACATAGTACACTACTAGTGTCTTTTATGTAAAAGATTTTCATTGCTAAAGTGTTCCTCTCCTGTTTGACCTTATCCTAGGACATTACTATTTAGGGAGTAGTAAAACATGGAGCTCTTTTCTTCTAGATGTACATTTTGAGATTTTTGTAACCTCGAAATAAAGTAGGAAATCTCATATTTGGTGAAGTGGCACAAGTTCATCTAGGCATAAAGTAGTAAAGAACTTTGTGATTACATTTTAGTTTCTAGAAAGGTAGACCCTTCACTTTCTTATGTACTCCTGAGAATTTCTACTGAGCGATGAAATGTCAAATGTCTCAGGAAAATACTTTGGCTATTCTTGAAAAAAGGCTGAAGACATATCCTTAATTTACCATTATAAAGGAAAGTATAGACATTTATCCTGCTGACATTATCTGATGTGAATGGTCCAAGGAGTATGAAACTCAAACAGTAGGAAGTTGAAGCCCACTTTCTTAATTAGCCTTGCATTGTTGAAGTGGGGAGGGAAGGGGTAGCTCTGCTGTGGAATATTGTTATCATCACATTTGTTTCATTCTGTTTTGTTATCTAAGTTATTTTTTTCTTTTAGGAGTTTCTAGATTAGGGTAGGGGAAGTGCAAGTAATAGTTCATATCTTTCTTGTTTGCATATTTGAGAATTAATGAATAAATAGTTTTTCGAATGCAGATTAATGTTAAACTTCTGGGATTTTCAGAAATAAATAATCCTTCTTTGTATCTCAGCCCAGAGAGCATGGGACTTCTTGACCCAGCGACCAGTGATGGGCGAGTTATTTTCTTCTTACCCTGGCAAAAGATGACGATCGCTGGCACTACTGATACTCCAACTGATGTTACACACCATCCAATTCCTTCAGAAGAAGATATCAACTTCATTTTGAATGAAGTGCGTAATTACCTGAGTTGTGATGTTGAAGGTAACTAAGCATTCCTTTAAGTTTGTCTCTCTGTGTCCATATCTCCCAAGCCATTCCAGCTCTCACTGGATAAATGCTATGTCTCCAGTCTGACTCATCTTCACACTTGTCCTCTTGTGCCTCTTAGAACATTTATGAGGGCCAAATTTTAACATAATGGGGAGAAATTGCCTTTTCTCCTCTACTTTCTATACCCACATGAAACTTATGCAGTCCTCTTCTGATAATTCCTAATGGCAAGATCAGAGTAGCCCCTCTAGCTCTGAACACTCATGTGCTTCCAGAAAACGATGAAATGTGTACATCACAGTTTAATTTCTGCAGCTTAGGAATGTCTAATTTACAGATGCAGGATATCAATAGGAAATAATTAAGCAAATAAACGAGAGGCTGGAACTGTATTTGTAAGATGCTTAATAGTCTGTTACTACATGGAAAGTATAATGTTGACCAGTGGGCTTAGCAAAGAAGGATAAGTTACTTATTTTAATGGAAAAAGCCAAAGTTTACTTCCTTCCTATTCTTACTGGGGCATTTCAACTTGACTGTCAGAGCATTTTCCTTGGTGATTTATATAGTTTTTTGTTTTTTTCATTCAGGCCAGTCTCAGAAGTTCCCCAACATTGTGCTTCTATATTTCCTCTCTCAGTTGAGTCTCACCATGCATCTAGTCACTCAAATTAGAAATGGTGTGCTTATTTTTGGTATCCTTTCTCTTTCCATATCCAGTCTAATGCCTATCTATGCTTATTCTGAATACCAGGCAGGTCCATCAGCCACTTCATTGCCCTGGTTCACATCTGTGCCATTTCTCACTTGAACAGTTGCATTGGCCCCACAATGGCCTCTTTAGGTCAGGTCTCTATCCCTCTCCAGTCTAATCCTTCTACCAGAATTTTCTTTCTAAAACACAATTCTGATCATCACTTTTCTGCACAAATATACACTTTAGATATCTTCTCATTGACTTTAGGAAAAATGCTAAATTCTCTTGCATGAAACATAAAGCTTTTTGTTTTGTTTTGTTTTGTTTGAGATGGAGTCTCACTCTGTCACCCAAGCTGGAGTGCAATGGTGTGATCTCAGCTCACTGCAATCTCTGCCTCCCAGGTTCAAGTGATTCTCCTGCCTCAGCCTCCCAAGTAGCTGGGATTACAGGTGCCCACCACCACGCCCAGCTAACTTTTTTTTTTTTTTTTTTTTTTTTTTTTTTTAAGTAGAGACAGTGTTTCACTATGTTGGCCAGGTTGGTCTCAAACTCCTGACCTCATGATCCACCGGCCTCGGCCTCCCAAAGTGCTGGGATTACAGGAGTGAGCCACCGTGCCTGGCCGAAACATAAGGCTTTTTACAACTTGTCTTTGCATGTTTATATTCAACTACTCCCCATCCCTGCATTCTGTGGTCTAATCATGTCTTATTAGGGTGAATATTGTTTTATTAGGTTTCATGTCTTATTATGTTGAATCTTCGTGTCTAATTTAGGTTGAAGCCTTGCTCTGGGACACCCTTTTCCCCAACTCTTCATCTTGGCAAAATTTTTATACTGGAGAAACCACCTATTCTTTGTATTCCTGTGGGATGTTGGTCATATCGTTTGTATATCACAACATTATATTATAGGTAATAGTCCAAGATGTATTCTCACTTGAAGCTCCTTGAGGGTAAAGATTCTTTATTTGTGTTTAGCTACAAATCTTGATTATCTTATTTGTATGCTACTCATGATTGTTTTGAATTAAAATAAGTTAGTTATGGATTCATGGTTTTTGATATGGTAGCCATTTGAAAATCTATATTAAAGTATACAAGTTTACGATTAAAAATAATCTTCATATATTTATATCAGAAATCTTATAATGTTGATGTCAGTGAAGGACATGGAAAAGCACTATGTTAGTCTGAATGCAACTCACTAGCATCTGTGTATCCTTTTTCCCCAAAGGATTTTTTTTTGGTTATGTGATCACATTTGTAAACAAAATGCTTCAAAACTGCTTCAAAAATGGTTCAGGTGACTCCTAGTTTAATTGACTAATCCATATTGTATAGTATTAATTGCTTTTAATCTAAAGTAATGGATGTAATTTCATTCTTAAGAGTCTCTTTGGATATCTACAATAATAGTATAAAAGATACTAAATACATATCATTGAAATCCATGTGTGGTTAAGGTTTATACTCACACACATACACACTCATACATGGTATTTGAAAAATAGTTTGACTTGTTTAACATCCATGTTTAAATACTGAAACTGCATTACAATTTTAGCTTGGTACTTTTTTTTCATTTTGTGTTCTAGGAGGAGCTTCAACATTGGATTATGATTATATTTTAACATATTCATTATTGTTAATGAATCTTCCTTCATTTGTAATTTATCTGTATATAATATTTGTTGAAAGTGGGTTTATATCTGGGCCTGAAGATCAGGAAGTTTAGATTGTTGGAGCAAGATATAAAATTAATTCAAGAGCAGAGAACTCAATGTTGACAGTTTCCAAAATCTTAAAGTTCAAATGCAGCGAGGATGAGAAATGTAACTCCTTATCCTGCTAAGAAGCTGGATGTGCTGGAAGCAGGTGTGGGTTCCAGAAGGCTGCCGTGCCCATATTGTGGGTGGGGATCTCTACCCGTGAAGTGAGCGTGGGGCTTTAACGGAGACTGGATCACTTATGTTCTACCTATAAATACATGGAAGACTTGGCATACCTGGTTGGTCCATAAAAGTCTTTTCAATTAACATACCATTTTGTAGTCAGCGAATTGGTGAAACTAACAAATAGTTATTGTTAATTCTGATGTTTGATAAGAGTGTTTGAAATTAATATCTAAACATTGCAAACCAGGTCTTCCTCCTGGTGATCTGGGGACATCTTGAGATTAAGAGTCCTCCAGGGTAAAAAGCAGAAATGACAGCCCTTTCCTAGACTTTATTGATTTCCCTGTGTGCGGCACCTGTCACAACTTTTCTACTTATAAACTTACTCTTCAAAAAATAGTTAACAGTGATTCTTTATAGCTTCTTTTCATTCTTATTTCTAATTGACTGAAATATTCATATTTGAGGAATTATGCTTGATCTTAGTAAAGAGTATCAGTTAGCTGAAGTTTGTCTATATCTTAAAATGAGGCCAGTCAAATCCATATTTTTTCTCAAGGAATTTTGGTGAAAGCCACTATTCTCTTCTAGGCTGATGAAATGTGAAAGAGAAGCTCAGCTTTAGCCACCATTCAGTTATTCAATTACATGCTACTGTTAAACATATTTTAATATTTATAGTTATATGCCTCATTTTTAAAAACTTCCTATTATTGAGCACTTCTTATGTGAGACACTGCTAAGCAAGCATATTACCTGTTAGATCTTTGATTCCTCCTTAACAACCTTATGAGATTTATTTAATAAGTCCCACTTTCTAGTTGAAGAAACTGAGGCCCAGTGACATTAAGCTTTTTTTTTTTTTTTTTTTTTTTTTGAGATGGATTCTCACTTTGTAGCTCAGGCTGGTATGCAGTGGTGTGATCTCGGCTCACTGCAACTTCCGCCTCCTGGGTTGAAGCAATTCTCCTGCCTCAGCCTCCTGAGTAGCTGGGATTACAGGCACACGCCACCACACCCGGCTAATTTTTGTATTTTTAGTACAGACTGTGTTTCACCATGTTGGTCAGGCTGGTCTCGAACTCCTGACCTCGTGATCCACCCGCCTTGGCCTCCCAAAGTGCTGGGATTACAGGTGTGAGCCACCGCGCCCAGCCTAAGCTTTTTGCCTATAGCTAGTTAGTATTGGAGCCATAATTTGAGTATAAGTAAGTCTGGTTCTAATACTTGTGCTTCTAAATATTGTGCAGTACTCTGATTGTTCGTTCTGGGTTTCCTGATGGGATACTATGTGCACTAGGGAGTGGTAAGCTTATCAATTCATTTCATGGAAGCTGCTAGATACCTTTAGCATGACAATGACCTTTGCTCTGCACTGACCTTATTTGAATTTGAATGTTAAACTAGAGGAGGTTTCCTGTCTCATAACTAATCCCTTGGGCCAGTCTTCTTTACAGATTTAAAAAATAAAATTTCATTTAGATCCTAGAGCAATAGTTTTGAAGTGTTTTACATTCACCAGGGTTGAAATAATCATTCTAAAAGGATTTATTAAATGGGTAAGTAAAATTCCAACAACAGTTTCTGAGCCTCCCCAAATGGCTATATCCTTAAGAAAAAAAAGTGTCAAATCTTAACACTCCATGCTATTCACAGCAGCTGCCACACTTCTGCAAAATGCGTCGGAACAATTCTGAAAAGCATTTTGCCTGTTGGGAATAAGACCATGTCTTCTTTTACAATTTAGAAAGCTTTCCATTCACAGGCTGAATTTTCTAGATTACTTGTTTGTTCTTTTCTGAAATGGGTAATTGATAGTTCTGCGTTTCATATTGAGTTAGGAAGAAAAATGATCTTTTGAAAAATGTATCATTAAGTCTGCTGTGTAGAGGTTAATCAGAAGGATGCAGTGACAAAACTAAGCTATGACTTAACAGGATTGAGAGAGACAGAAGATTTGCTGAGTGCTTTATCCATGTAGTTTTTCCTGGAGTACTTCTTTAGGCAGCTTCTCTACTTGTACACAGGTTTTCACATAGGCAATTAGTAGTGTTTATAGATTGCCTGTTATTCAATTAACAACTGAGCTGGCCATATCAACTCACTGCAGACCTGCCTTTTCATTGCCAGAGATTGTACCAGGGTTATCAACTTACACAGGCTTGGATGTCTTCCAGCTGTTTAATTATAGTGTCACACGCTTTGCTTTTTCTAGTTTCATTAGTTTATAAATGTAATATGGTATCTTATTTCTGTGATTAACACTTCATTTCAGCAGGTTAAACATGCTGGTAGAGAAGTATTGATTTCTGACACTATTTCCCCTGTGTTCATTTAGATATTTTCACATGCCTTTTATTGATTGTTTTTTGAAAGTGGCAAACATGAAAAAAAAACCCCCAAAACATATGCCTAAATAACTAATGTGAAGCTAAACCGCACATTTACCTCTTAATTGTCACTTCCTGTGGGCTTTATTTTCTACTAATTTTTAAAACAAACACTTATCTTGCCAAGTATGAGTAAAAATATGAATTATAGTTTGAAATAATCACATCATACTTAATTTTTTCAATTAGCCGTGAAAATTGTCTGTTCAACTTTTCTATTTATATTTTACCCTTTACATATTACATTACTAAAATCTGAATGAGTTATTTTTTGGGAATGTAATACAAATGATTCTTAAACATGATGGTAAGAGTATTTTACTTTAATATTGCCAAGTACTTTTATAGTTGTCACTTAAAAAATTAACTGGGTGCCCTCTAGGTGAGCCAGTCTAGTAAGTGGTCTTTAATGATGGATTTTTCTCAACTTTATTTAATAGTAGTTTTTTTCTTTCATCTTGTTTTATTTAAAGCATTCATGTAATTTGGAAGGGAATATCCAGTTGTTCAATATATAGTCACTAGAAACCTACATGAAGCCTAGCATATTATCTCAGAGGCCCAAGCGTTCTTGCTTTGGTTTTGGTAATACCAGCTCTTATAGTTTGATATAAAAAGTTTAGAGAATGCTTTAATATTCCACTTAATATTTACTGATAACTGTATATGACCCTTTACTAGATACAGTATTTGGGGTATTGAAAAATATTATAATTGACACTGCTGGAGACTTTCAGCATGGTGAGAAAGAGATGAAGCAATAATGAAATTTTGTTAAGCTATCCTGGCAGTATGAGAACTAGAAAAAATTTGAGCTGTAAAGCATAGAGGCCATGAGTTATGTTATTTTCTTCACATGTTATACCATGGACAGTTAAAGTGGGTGATGGTCATTTATTAATCTTGACTGTAACCTGTATGGTAAAACTGGTTTCTGGGTGAGAACTTGAGGGTGGAAGTACTTAATTGAATGAAAATATGTTTCATTTGTTTGAATTTATGAAATTAGCAAGAGAGGAGGAAAGCTTGAAATGGTACATATTGACATGAGTGACAATAAAGTGTTTAGGAGCTATTACAGCAGATTTTATTTTATTCTCATGAGCAAAGGAAGTGCAGTCCAATTTCAGTGAAAGGATGCTCCGTTGGAGATGTAGGCAAGGTGGCCAGTAGAAATAACTAGCTTAATCTACCAGACAAGTCTGAGATCTACTGCTTGGAGGCTTTTTACTGTAGAGCTGCTCTGTGCTATATGATAGCCATCAGCCACTTGTAGTTATTTAAATTTAAATTAGTTACAATTAACTGAAATTTGAAATTCAGTTGCTCAGTCAGGTGAACCACATTTCAAGCGCTTAATAACCACATGCTACTAATGGCTAGCGAATTGGATCGTGGAGCTATGTACAGAATGTCTCCATCTCTGCAGTAAAGTCCATGGGACAGTGCTGATCTTGAGAATCTAGAGGTGTTTAAATATACACTTAGAGAAAGACATACTAAATTTAATAGAATCGTTGAATTTGGGTTTTTTTGTTTGTTAAGTAAAATAGAGAAATTCATTATCTTGTAAAACAAGAACTCCAGACACAACAAGCCTCAAGAGGTGATTAATGATTTGTCAGGGTCTAAGATATATTACTCTTATTTATCTTCACTCTGCCATCCTCCAAGGTGGTTTCATCCTAAGGTTGTTTCCCCTGTGGTTACCTCATGGCTGCAACAGCAGCATGCAGAATTTATAGATATCCCAATGATACTTTATTCAGACTAGCATCTACTACCTTGAATCTTTCTTGAAAAAACTTTCGTTAGGGTTTAACAATGTACAAAATTTCCACTGTGGGTAAATACGTGATATGGAGAGGAACCTGTTAGCTTCGTCAGTTGCTGTCTTTTATTCAAGAAGTTGGAATTAATGTCTCACATGTTTAGCTGTGCTGTGCCCCTTAGACATGGATTATACCCAAGGTCCTGAGGAGTCATTACTGAATGAGTGGTGAGGAGGTATAAGCTCTTAATACTTCAGTGGCAAATAGAGTTTTGAATCATCCATAAAAACCATTACATCTCAAGGTTGGGAGGGGAACTGTTGTAGATAACCTGATCCAACCACCTTCTGGTCTAATACTGTACAAATCCTGTAGGCCATAAAGACTAATTCATATTTTAAATAAGGAAATTTGATCATCCTTAAATGTATTATTTTTAATAAATTTATTCCCAACATTCAACTGATATAATTCTCAGGCTAAAAAGCTGAATCCTAAGATGTCAAGCAAAGTAAATTAAAGTTCTTAACACATTATGAACCCTTTGTGACTCGGAATCTTTTCTTAACTCTTTTTTATTTTTGACTATCAACTCCAGGAGTATTAAAAATGGTATCAATATAGATAATGTTTTACATAGTGTTCCTGGATGAATGAAAAACTTGAATGTTTCAGTTTCAGACAATACAATTTCATAGATGTGCTTTTCTGCCTGTTATAACAGAAAAGGTAAGGCATTTGCCACAGATTATTTGCATATGCCTCAAATTTACTCGCAAAGCCTAATTTTCCATCAAATAACTTTAAAATTAGTCAGAGAGCTTCAAGAGTTGGAACCAAATTCCTGATCAGTGTGGCTACCTAAGGAATTTCACAGACACTAGAGGGACTGTGGGGTGACCACAATGACGTTGTAAGCGGGTTTGCTAACTTTTATTTTTATCTCAGAGGGTGATGTGAACTCTAATGGAAAATAGTGGTAATTTCCTAGTTAGGTTTTTGGTAACGATTAAAACACTTTTTACAACTTGTTTTGAGGTTTTATATGACTGGTAAAATTGTGTAAAGCAGGAATTAATCCCCATTCCACAGAAGCCATCCAGATTAAATCTATTTAAGAGAATGCACACATCAGAGGGGGCAGAGCTAGAGATGGAATCCCAGCATTGAGATCCTGTATTGTCTCCAGTTAGTAAGACTGAGAAGGCTTAGGCTTTCCTCGCCAGTTAATTATGTTGGTATTTCAGTTACAGTGTTTGGATTATGGGTTTGATTAAACATCCTGTAGAGGTGATGGGTATCTACTCTTTCAGATTATAGTTATGTCAAGAGTGTAGCCTTTAAGAATCTATAGTAAAATATGCCAGATTAACTTGAGTTGAATTTATTTTTAGCAGAAACCTATTATTCATTTTAGATCAAGATGGAGAAATTATCTGTCATCCAACATAGCTTGTTTTGCTTATACTTGGTAAGGCATGGTTTTGTTTTATTTTGTTTTGCTTCAGTAAGAACTGTTCCAATCATTTCAAGGAGTCTTTGTGACTTTTTACACAAAGAGTCTGCTAGATATATACCTAACTACTTTTCAAGTGGTGTTGTATATAAATATACAGGATGTTTACTGTACAAAGGCACATGACCAAGGGTTGAGTGGAAACTGAAATCCAGCCCTGCCCTCTGCTCACAAAACTGTGATCCCTGAATGGGATTTATGGATTTGAACTAAAACATGGACATGGTATGGGCTAATAAAGGTCCTGATACTTCCATATTCTATGTAAAATATTTCCTTAACCCTTTCGTAATTTGAGACTTGAATTATATCAGTTTATCCTTTTATCTTGATTTTTAGATTATGGTTAAATATGCAGAACATAAAATTTACCATTTTAACCATTTTTAAGTGTACAGTTCTGTGGCATTACGTACATTCACATTGTCATGCAACCATCACCACCTTCCATCTCCAGAACATTTTTGTCTTCCTCAACTGAAATTCTGTAACCATTCAATAGTAACTCTTATTCCCCCTCTCCCAACCCCTTGGCAACTACCATTCTACTTTCTGCTCCTATGAGTTTGAGTACGCCAAGTACCTCATAGAAGTGCAATTGTACAATATTTGTCCTCTTGTGACTGGATTATTTATTTAGCACAATGTCTTCAAGGTTCATCCATGTTGCATGTGTCAGAATTTTCTTCCTTTTTAAGGCTAGATAATAGTTCGTTGTAAGTGTATGTTACATTTTGTTTATTCATCTGTTGATGGACACTTGGTTTGCTTCTACCTTTTGGCTATTGTTAGTAATGCTATGAACAAGGTTGTAAAACTTTTCTCTGCTCCATTTCTTTGGAGTATATACCCAGAAGTGTAATTGCTAGATCTTATGGTAATTCTAAATGTTTAATTTTTGAGGAATCGCCATACATTTTTGATAGTAGCTGCACCATTTTACCTTCTAACCAGCAGTGTACAGGGGGTTCAGTTTCTCCACATCTTCACCAGTATTTGTTATTTTCTGTTTCGTTTTGTTTTTGTTTGATAATATCCATTTTAATGGGTGTGAAGTGGTATCTCATTGTGGTTTTCATTTGCATTTCCCGAATCATTAGTGATGTTTACTATCTTTTAATGTGCTTATTGAGCATTTGTATATCTTTTTTGGAGAAATATTTATTGAAGTCTTTCATTTTTTAATTCAAGTTGTTTGCTTTTTGTTGTTGCATTTTAGGAATTTCTCATATGTTCTGCATATATGATATATTCTTATCAGTATATGATTTACCGGTATTTTCTCTATTCTATGAGGTACCTTTTCATTCTGTTAATAGTGTCTTTTTAATGTTGATGAAGTGTGTTTTATCTATTTTTTTCTTTTGTTGCCTGTGCTTTTGATGTCACATCCAAGAAACTATTGACAAATCTAGTGTCATAAAGCTCTTCTTATATGTTTTCTTCTGAGTTTTATAGTTTTAGCTCTTATGTTTAGGCCTTTGATGCATTATGAGTAAATTTTTGTATACGATATAAGATAAGGGTCCACCTTCATTCTTTCACATGTGGAGATCCAGTTTTCCCATTATCTTGAAGTTTTCAAGACTATATACAGTCAATTTTTTATCAGTATGGGTAATTGCTGGGAGTATGATGAAGAAGGAGGGCACACATGACCCCAAGTCACAGTTGAAGCAAAATTATACTCATGTTTCTGTTATCCAGCGATGGATTAGCTGATTTACCACAATAAATGCAGCAGGACCAGGTAGGCATTATTTTCCCAGTAGTCTATATCATCAGGCAACTTTCAGTCTGGTGCCCATAGTCAGCTCCCATAGCTAAGCCATTCCTGAAGCTGGTCTACATGAAGAAGGGCAGATTCCGAAAATTCTGCCCTAGGGTCTTGCCCTTGTACCTGATAGATGAGAACCATAGCTCACCTTCTCTCTTAAGTCATTTTTAGATTAGTAATGAGTGCTGTTCAACAGCTGTCTAATTCTAATGAAAACTTAATCAGCCTGGATATAGTTGGGCATTGTATTTTGACAGAGATAGTAAAGATATTTTCATGGCATCTTGAGTATTGAAAGAACTTCCATATAATATAATTCAAGTATAATGTACCTACTGGGAGAAGCCAGTATACCTGTTTCTGTGTCAGTGCTAAAAATAATGGAATGAGAAAAGAAAAAAGGCAGAGTATGGAAGTTGTCAGAAGTTGAGAGACAGTACAATTTAAGAGGTAAGAATATGGACCTTAAACTCAGAAGGAAGAAGGTTCTGATGCTGTTTTACCATATATAAGATATTTGCCTTGGCCAGGTTTGTTGCCCAGCTTGGTTTGTTAAATGTTTGCATTCATCTGTTTTCTGATCTGTATGGTGAGAATAATAATAACCAATGCTATAGGGCTTTGTGAGATTAAATGAGATGTCTATGTCAAGTGTTTGCACAGTGGTAGGCCTGCTGTAAACACTCAGGAAGAGGGTGGTATTGATGAGGGGAGAAAATATAATATCCTGTTACAGGTTTGTTTAATTTAATAAGGATCTTTGTCTTCCCTGAGAAGAGATAGGAAGATGTATTCTAGAAGGAAATTTAACAATTCATGCATCGTTAGCATTGGTTTTGATTGTTTCTGCTTTTTTTTCTTTCTTGTTTTTCTAACTGCTCCAGGTTGCTTCAGCTGGAAGGTTGCTAACATTTGCCTCTTTTGCTTCCTCTGTGGTATCAATGTCAGTGATTTCCAAAGTTCTTTACTTTTTCATGGAAATTATCTTTGTAACAGAATAATTCTTTATGAGTTTTTCTTGTACCTATCCACAAACTTAGTTCTCATCTTTAGGCTTTCTCTCCTTTTTAAAGTGCACACATGTGTATTCCTGTCACCGAACTCTTTTTATTAACTGTTTAATATTTTTATCAAAATATTTTTGAGCAATGTTCATAACCCTTGGCATTGATTCCTACCAGTGAGAAGAGGGGATGTCCTGGCAGCATGGAGTGGAATCCGTCCTCTTGTTACAGACCCCAAATCTGCAGATACTCAGTCTATCTCCCGAAATCATGTTGTTGATATCAGTGAGAGTGGCCTTATTACTATAGCAGGTATGAGATACTACCTTGTTATTTTCTTTTCTTTTTTTTTTTTTTTTGTTATAGGGACAGGGTCTCACCATGTTGCCCAGGAGGGTCTTGAACTCCTGGACTAAGGTGATTCTCCCACCTCAGCCTCCCAAAGTGTTGGGATTACAGGCATGAGCCACTACACCTGGCCTTCTGTCTTGTAATTTGGATGTGCTTTAGATATAAGTTTGACTTAAATTGTCCTGCCAGAATCTCTTTTAACTTTATTGAACAAGCATTTTTTTTATTCTGAATTAAGTTTTACACAATCCCATGTTTGTTACAAACAACAGGAAAATTTTGTTATTGGTAAGTTGATAAATGGTTAATTATAAGAAAAATAAGGGGTGGCAACCTGATGAATTGTCTATCAATTTCTTTATAGGTGGAAAGTGGACAACTTATCGGTCTATGGCAGAAGATACCATAAATGCTGCTGTCAAAACTCATAATTTAAAAGCAGGACCAAGTAGAACAGTTGGGCTTTTCCTTCAAGGGGGTAAAGATTGGAGCCCCACACTCTACATTAGGCTTGTGCAGGATTATGGACTTGAAAGCGAGGTGAGTGTGCATTGCCACATCATCTTACTCTTTACCTAATCTCTCACTGCTGCCAGTGACAGAACTGGCAGCAATCAGGTCTCCCTGATTGAGATTTCCTTTTGCTGAATACATTTCTGCCAGTCTGTTATGGAAGGAAAAAAAGATGATCTTGCTTTGCTTTACTTGCCCAACAAGCAATGTACACTTTATGAAATGTATTTTATTAAAAAGTGGAGTTTATTTGGTTTGTTTCTAGTGTATAGGGCATCCCAAATTCTGTCTCAGGCATGAAGAAGGCTGTTCTTCAGAAGTGGTATCAGGAGCAAAATGAAGCTGAAGCTTCATCAGTCATTGATGCAGTGATACATGTGTAAGAGAGTTAGTGCTGGCCTAAGCATTCGAAGCCCAAGTGGTTTCCTTCCACAAAATCAAAATATAATACTCTCCGAGAGCTATTAGTTACAGGCTGTAAGAAAACTGACAAGATAAGCATGTGTGCTTTTTGCTTTGTGCCTAGAAGCTATTGATATTCAAAGTGCCTGCCTAACGCAGCTTTATTTCTCTAGGTGGCACAGCATCTTGCCGCCACCTATGGTGATAAGGCCTTTGAGGTGGCCAAAATGGCAAGTGTGACTGGCAAAAGGTGGCCTATTGTTGGAGTACGTCTTGTGTCAGAATTTCCATATATTGAAGCAGAGGTATGTGAATGGTCACATAGGAATTTCATGTCTGCCATGGGATACCATTTATCTGTTCATTTGTCATCTTTAAAAATTATATGTAGCTAAGTTTTAATGCACATATGTCAGCTAAAACCAGGACTACTATGTCTTTCCAATATAGATCCTTTTATTTATAAAATTTTAATCTTAATTCTGAAGTGATATTGATAGTGGTAATAATAACAACATAAAATATAGGTTTCTTTTTTCTCCATCAAACTGTCCCTAAACGTGTTAATTCACAGTTGTCCCTTTTGTGCATTTGCAGCTCTTTAAGTTTGTACCACTCATGTCCTACCTACATATCTTGTGACAGTTTCTCAAAGGTTTAGGTCTTGTTTCCCATCAAGCTCTCCAGTTTTGTGAAATCAGAGACCAGGCTTTGTATTTATTTGTAATTCACTGTGCCTTAAAATATCGATGTCCAGTGAACATTTACTTGTTGATTGAATTCAGGATTCCTATATTCTGGTTACTCTAAGACAAAAAACTATACAGACTAAAGAGGTGAGATCATAACTTTTTGACACTCGTCCTTTTCCTAGTCAGCTATGTAAATTAAAATCCACATTATGTATAAGCATAGAGAGGTAAGTGATGACTGTGGATGGTTAATGAGAAGTGATGCAATTTGCATGTTTATGCCAGGTTCTATTCAGGAAAAAGGCATTAACTCTTGTCCAATTTTTGCCATTTTCCAAACCTCCTTTGGCAGGCAGATGGAAAACTTGTGTGATGCCACTATTTGTCTCATGCCTGCTGGAGGACCAGAGAGTATAAAGAAAAATATTACCTTTGTGAAGCACACATTTATTTTTTTTAAGTGAAGCTTTATTTCTCATTTTCTAAAGAAGAGTCTCAACTAATAATTTTTCTTTAATTCAAACTCAGGTGAAATATGGGATTAAGGAGTATGCCTGCACTGCTGTGGATATGATTTCACGTCGTACTCGCCTGGCCTTTCTAAATGTCCAGGCAGCAGAGGAAGCCCTACCCAGGATTGTTGAACTGATGGGCAGGGAACTGAATTGGGATGATTATAAGAAGCAGGTATTATATAGAAGTCTTTAAAACCACAATTCCTATTGTAAACGCGGAATGGCTTAATTTGTTAGTAGAAGCTAGCGTAGTTTTTGATGATAACCTTAGATTTCTTACCAGTTTTTCTTTGTGTGTGTTTAATATTGTTAGGCCTTAGGAAAATGGAAAGATATTCCATTTAAATTTAGTTGTTTATGGAAAATCTCTTGTAGAAAATGCTCATAAATTTGTGGTCATAATTCCTGAAAAAGAAAGATAATAATGATTGTAGTATGGAACCTTTTCTGGTTTTCATTGAAAACACTCTTGGAACATAATCAGTGAAATGCAAACTCCTGCTAGTGTGCCTTTGGTAAGAAATGTGGTTTTTCTGCCTGAGCACTAAATGCTTATCATTTGTGTCATTTGAGATTTTATATTTATATTCCAAATTTTAAAAGCTGGTGATGCTCAGATGCATACACACACACACGCACAACACATACATACATACATATACACGCACACAAACACACATACAGGGTTAGGCTAAGTAGATCTTTATGTTTTTTAATTAACCCAAACTCTTGTGATATGCAGAGGGTAATGAAGCATTTTTATATATTCATAAAATACTTTCTGTATTCATTGGGTTCTGTTCCTTTCTCCCAGGATCTCTTGAACCCATTTCATTTAGGCACTTTTGCCACCACTTTGCTGCATTAGCTCTGGTCAATCTCACCAGTAACCTCCATGTTACTCAATAAATTTGTTAACTTGCAGTCCTTGTTTTACTTGGCCAATTAGCAGCATTTGACACAATTGATTCCCCCTTCCTTCTTGAACAATATTTTGCTTTCTGGAACACCACCTCTCTTGGATCTCCTTTTACCTTCCCAAAACTACTACTCCTATAGACTTTTCCATGTCATAAATAGCTATCCTTCAGTTACTCAAGCCTAAACATTAGTATCATACTTTATGCATTCTCTTATACCCTATCTAAATCCATCAGCAAATCATACCATATTTATGTTTAAATAACTGAATTCAACCCTTTCATTTAAAAAATTATTTTATTTTTAATTTTTTTTTAACAAACACTTGTGTTGAAGTGAATTCAACCGTTTCTTAACACATCCAACTTCCATCACCCTGATTCAGGTCACCGGTATCTGTCACATGGATTACCGCAATAGCTTCCCTCCCCTTAACTGGTGTCCCTTCTTTAACAACTTCAGAGTTCAGTTTATTAATACAAATCCAGATCATTGGATATGTCTGTGTGAAATTCAAAGGGAAGGCTTGGGCTAGAGATATAAATTTGAGTTGATATTTAAGCCATCAGACTGGATGAGATTATATAGGGAGTTAATGTAGTCAGATGATGAAAACAGTCCAAAGGCCAAGCACTGGAGCACACCAAAGTTTAGAAGCATAGGATATAAGGAAGAATCCAGGAAAAAGAGAAAATAATAGCTAGTGAGGCTAGAGGAGGTGTAAGAAGATGCAAGAGGGAGTTTTGACCTAGAAGGTAAGACAGTATATCTTAGTTCATTTGGGCTGCTATAACAGAAATACCATAGACTGGGTGGCTTAAACAACAAACATTTATTTCTCATGGTTCTGGAGGCTGGGAAGTCCAAGATCAAGGCATCAGTAGATTTGGGATCTGGTGGGGGCCTGTGTCCTAGTTTATAGACAAACATTGTATTGCTGTGTTCTCACATAGCATGAGTGAATGAACATTATTGGGCATCTATGATACATGCTGACAGTGCAAGGAAAGAATTAGTCACATGGCCTGTTTTTAAAGTATTCTCATTCTGGTATAGATTTCCAAAGATGATTACATATCAGTCACCTGGGAAATGTGGGAGGAAAGGGTTTGATTTTAGGAGTTCCTTAATCCTGATCATGCCTCTGACAGGGATAAAATTTACCCCCATGTTATAGCTGAGAAAACAGGTTCACAGAGTAGGACTCTTTTCAGAGTTTATATCAACAGTCAATTGTAAAGCAGGGATTGAAACCAGGTATTCTGATCCTAGAGCATAAGCTTTCTCCATCCTGTCTTGCTGTGTCTGCATTAGCTGTACTGGTTTATAGCTGTTGAAGAAGTCTTGAGCTTTAGTTTGATTAGCTAAAGCTCCGTACAGAGGCAGCACAGGAATGAAACTTACTCCTGTGCTTCTGTCAGTCCTTTTTACCATATAGAAGGATTGGGGATAATGTGTCCTTCCAAAAATTATGGTCGGAATGATTTGAATATGCAGGAACATATTTTATGCTAGGAATTCAGGCTGTAGGAGGTAGGAAGGAGGAAGAAAATTCTGTAAACTGGTTGTGTTTGGCCCTACTAAGGAAGCTAGATTTAACTTCAGTTCATATTTTATGAACAGATTTATGTGCTCAGAAATGCTCTCCCATCCCCCTTAACAAAGTAACATAAATAAAGACCTAAAGCTATTACTCAGTATCTGAGATGTAGGAGTATTAATGAGAGCTGTGGACAGTCTAGAGAGAACAAAGGAGTGGGGAGAAAGAATTAAAAGGTTAGAAAGTTGGACTTCTGAGAAAAGGTTAAAAGCATTGGGATTATTTAACCTGCAAAAGTGAAAGAGGAACAAGGTGATAAATAACTCTCCGTAGATGAACTGTGCTTGTTTTTACCAGTCAATACTTAATGAGTGACTTGTATACTGAACATTGCACCAAATATTTTAGGAGAATACTAAATAGCTCATAGTTTTAAGATCTTAAAATCTAATTGGGTTGTTATAACACATGTATAGCTCTGGCATTTATGCATAGTTTCCAAAATTTGGAGAAATATTTCGAGAAACTGTCACTCAAGACCAAAATCCAACCAACTTGGAAGAACTGATTAGGGAAGAAGGCAATGTCTTAGGGAGTTGGGGATTGTTAGAGGAGTTGGCAGGAACATTTAGAGAAAAAAAAAAACATTGCCAAATTGTGTTCTGCAGGGTACAAATTAATATACTTGAAAGGATGACTACATGGTCAAAAGAGAAATTCTGAGTTAAACAAGTAAAACCACTTCCTTTAGTGCAATTGCAATTAGAACCTTTAAAATGGTTATGTATGTTTTCAGTTTCCAAAAAGGAACTTATTGGAGACAGACCCAATTCTCACTTTTTGGGAGAACTGGGTAGGAAGGGAGCTAGTACTTAGAACATATTTTGGGAAATGCTGCCCCATAGGATTTGATAAGGTGGATTTTATCATGTTCAGACAAAAGATCCATTTTTCATTCAGAGACTATAAAGAGAAAACATGTAAGTAGACTGAGAGTCTCACAAAAATACATTTTTTTTTTTCAAAATTGATTCCAATGAGGAGGAAAAATGGGAGGCATGTGAAGACTTTGAGTGGCTGATTAAAGCAAGCTGATAAATACCAAATGTAAAACAGATAGAAGCCAAGTGCTCAACAATGAAAGGAGCGATATCAGGAATAATGTGGATGTGTATGAGTAGTGTCAGGTATTGTTTGGGTGTTGGGGAAAAAATACTTAGGGCACCAAATGTAATGTTTAAAAGTTGAAGAAAAAAACAAAAGCAAATAAGACCTAATCTAGATCATTGCTTAAGGTGGCAGGCATCATATTCTTGAATGCTGGAGAGTAAGGAGAACTATTCAATTTATAATTTACTACCAATGTCTTTTTCCTTCTCTCTCCCTGTTTTTATGTGTGAAAAGAGCAAAATATAAATGTTGGTAAGAATGAATAGATATTGAAATAGGAGGCTACTCTGAATGAGTTTTATGCCAGTCCAGAAAAATTATACCTTAGAGTACTCAGAGAATTTGCAGTTAAGATTCTCTTGCTTGGGATCAGCTTACTGTTGAACTTTAAAATACTGTAGCAAATAGGAATGGGACCAGAAGACAGAATGGGCAAATGTAATACCAAATTTCAAAAACGAGAGGAGAGAAAAATATAGTTTGCAACCTAGAAACTAATGGTCTTGGCATTGATCTTGCGTGGTTTTCTAGATTGTGACATTTTAAGTTTATTTTATCAGCATTTATCAAGAAATAGTGATCACGGAAGCTAGTAAGGAATCACTTAGGCAAAATCATTTCAGATATATCATTTTCTTTTCTTTTCTTTTCTTTTTTTTTTTTTTTTTTGAGACAAGGTCTTGCTATGTTGCCCAGGCTGGAGTGCAGTGATGTGATCATGGCTCACTACAGCCTCAAATTCCCAGGCTTAGGTGATTCTCCCACCTCAGCCTCCCAAGTAGCTGGGACTACAGGCATGCACCACCATGCCCAGCTAGTTTTTAAAATTTTTTTTGTGGAGACAGGGTTTTGCCATGCTGTCCGGGCTGGTCTCAAACTCCCGGGCTCATGCGATCCACCTGCCTCAGCCTCCCAAAGTGCTGGGATCACAGGCATGAGCCACCACACCCGGTCCTCATTTCCTTTTTAGATAGAGCAAGCAGATGGCTAGATTAGGGAATTTTGATTCTATAAAGCATTTTAGAAAGTCCCGTATGATATCTGTAAAATTGGTAGATTTATAACCAGTTAAATGACAGTGTTGGCCTCAGAAGAGGTCTCTGGTAGTAAGTCATAAGCACCTTGTCCTAGATCTTGACCTAGTCTACCTTGATTCAAATGGTTAAATTACAATGTTGATGGCATGCATCTTTGATGTACCAATAACAAGATACCAGAGGGAGAGTGAATGTTTGATGATGGATTGAAACAATGGGTGAAATTTCATTAGATATAATTTAATAGAGATAAATGGCAAACCTTACATTAGGTAGAAAAACAATTCCATCCATTCAAGATAGATTTGACAAGGCTTAACAATAGCACATGTGAAAAAGAAATATGGTTTTAGTTAACTGTGAATGCATAGCCGTTAACAGTGGACCATGGCTGCCCCCAAATCCAATTGCAATCTTAAGCCGCATTAATAGAAATCATATATCTAGATTGATGATGCTGATAGTTACTCCCTTCTAGGTACTTGCCAGATCTCTGTTGCAGTGTTGTATTTTGTTCTGATAATTGTATTGTATGACAAACCGGTTGTGGTCTGGAAGAAATTATACAACATGGTATAGGGATTTGAAATAATGTTTTATATAGTAGTTCTAGACTAAAAGAAAACTCTAAGGAGGAAAGCACATGATACTATCTTTAAATACTTATTAAGCTGTGATAAAAAAAAAAAAAACATTAGGTTTGTTCTACCCTAGGAAAGGATTTGTTAATCCCCCCAAAACTGGAAGAATTTCAAGGAGGTAGATTTAATCTCACTGTAAAACCTTCTAATAATTGGAAGTAACTTTCAGCAGTATTAAGTTACCTCCCCAGTGCTAGAGTTGTTTAGACAAAGGCTTTGTTCTTCCATTTTTGGAATGTTATAAAGGAAATGTGGGGTAAGGGAAGTACATTGAGTACCGTTTATGAAAAAATATCTTCCAGCTTTGAAATTCCATAATTCCTTGTTTGATGGAGTATAGATAAATTACACATGCAATGAAGGGCCATAAGTCGAGAAAGAAATTGTTGTTGCAGGGAAGCATCAGAGGTGGCATTTCCAAGGAGATGGATTTTGAACAAGTTGTGTAGAAAATGGCTAGGTAAAAGTGGTGGAACAGCAAAATAATTTTATTTATGACCACTGGTGGATTTTCTTGTGAAAAATCTGCCAGTGAAAAATGTCCTTGGAGATGGAGACTTCACAGACAAGTTTTGTATATGAGATACACATGCACACATACACACACACAAACACACACATTTTAAATTTACTTTTTTAAGCTCAAAGAATTATTCACGTTGATAATTTTTAATTTTGTTATTTAAGAACATGAAGGAAGAATGTTTCTAGTATCTATTTCCTAAGAAAAGGAAAGCAGGAAAGGAATCATGTCAGAAAAATCAACTGATGGCTGGGCACAGTGCTTCATGCCTATAATCCCAGCACTTTGGAAAGCTGAGGTGGGAGAATCAATCACTTGAGCCCAGTAGTTCAAGACCAGCCTAGGCATCACAGGGAGACCCCATCTCTACAAATAATAATAATAAAAAATTAGCCAGGCATAGTGGCATATGCCTGTAATCCCAGCCACTTGGGAGGCTGAAGTGGGAGGATTGAGCCTGCATGGTAGAAGCTGCAGTGAGCCATGATTGTGCTACTACACTCCAGTCTGGGTGACTGAGCAAGACACTGTCTCAGAAAAAAAAAAGTTTGTCTTCTCAAGAAAAATCAATAAGGGATCTTATCATCAACATAACCAAACACATATAAACACAGTTCATGCAAGTGTATGTGTCATTGCTTCATTTTCTTCATTTCACTTCACACTGGCACTGTTCTTCAGACCAGAATTTGGGAACCATTGAGTTCACAAGATCCTTTGATGGGAATTTGGGGAATTTAAGACTTGTTCTAGGTTATACTCAATAACAGTCAATTTCAAAATCTCAGTGGCTCATCGCAGCAAGCATTTCTTTTTCCCTCACATTACATGAAGGCTGCGTGTTAGCTGCTGTGGCTCTCTTCTCCACATTCTAGATTGGCTTCAGATCTCATCTGAGATGTGCCCTTCTTATGGCACAGGAGTAAGAGATGCTAAGCAAAACTATAAAGTTACCATGAAAGCTTTTACTCAAAAGTAGCATATATCATACCTATTCATGTTCCACAGTCCAAAGTAAGTCACATGGCCAACTCACATCAATACAGTTGAGAAGTATATGTGTGC
This sequence comes from Homo sapiens, assembly GCF_000001405.40. Classification (NCBI taxonomy): domain Eukaryota; kingdom Metazoa; phylum Chordata; class Mammalia; order Primates; family Hominidae; genus Homo; species Homo sapiens. Next base: position 156,578,018 of record NC_000002.12, read on the forward strand.
GTGTGTGTGTGTGTAGCATAATATATATATGAGGAAAGAGATTTGTGAACAATATATGCTACAATAAAGTCATTTCAGAAGTTTTTAGATGGGAAAATGACATGATGAAAACTAAGAAAAACAATATTTGCAGCAACAGTTAGTATTAATTGACACTGAGGACATTGAAAACAGGAAGAGTAACTTGAGGATAGCTTATTTCTTCTCATGACTCTGTAACTTCACCTAAGTATCAGAATCCCAGTGGCAAAATCTCAGCACAGCTAATCTCATGAGATATACCTTCACACTTCATGTCACATTATAGTGACAAGTCCAAGTTGTTCAAATCCAAGATAGCTTCACCTTTAATTACTTTTTTTTTTTTTGTCACCAAACTACAAGAATTTGATCCTGTAGATTTTGTCGGTCAGTTTCTGTGTAAGAATACTCAGCAGTACAAAGAAACAAAATATTGAAACATGCAGCAACATAAATGAATCTCAGAATTATTATCCTTTGTGAAAGCAGTCAAACACAAAAGACTACATACTATATGAAACCTTTTGTAAGAAATTCCAGAAAAGGCAAACTCTGGTGACAAGAAGCCAGTCAGTGTTTGCCTGTGGCTAGAGATCATGGGAAGGGATCAGCTGCAAATGGACATGAGGAAAGTTTTAGGGTGATGGAGATGCTGTAGATCTTAATCATGGTAGTAGGTACATTTTATTCAATATAAATTATACTTCAATGAAACTGGAAGAAATAAAAAAATTGTGCTGGTTAGATAAGTAAGGATCAACTTCATTTTCTGAAGATCAACAGTAAAAAAAGGAGGAAAAAAATCAATATTTCCATGTGTCTTTGAACTTTGTGTGTATCTCTGTTTTAGGAACAACTTGAAACAGCCAGGAAGTTTCTATATTATGAAATGGGCTATAAATCTCGATCAGAACAGTTAACAGATCGCTCTGAAATTAGCCTACTGCCTTCAGACATTGACAGGTACTTATAATAAGTGTCTATCTATCTCTCTTTTTTTTTGGCCTATGTAAGTATATTTTTCCATTATTTAATCTTGTGTTCCAGGTATAAGAAGAGATTTCATAAGTTTGATGCAGACCAGAAAGGCTTTATTACCATTGTTGATGTTCAGCGTGTATTAGAGGTAATTTTCTTTGGTTGATGTCAGCCTCTGATACTAGAAGAATATAAAAATATTAGATGTTTTTCTCATCTAGGGTTTTCTACAAGTAATATTTTTGTTATAATTTTTAAAAGATTTAGTAACATTAGTGAAAGCATATTTATAATTTTTTTTCTTTTTTCTTTCTTTTTTTTTTTTTTTGAGACAGAGTCTCACTCTGTTGCCCAGGATGGTGTGCAGTGTTGCACGATCTCGGCTCACTGTAACCTCCTCCTCCTGGGTTCAAGCGGTTCTCCTGCCTCAGCCTCCAGAGTAGCTGGGACTACAAGTGCGCACCACCATGCCCGGCTAATTTTTAAAATATTTTTTGCAGAGATGGGGTTTCTCCATGTTGGCCAGGCTGGTCTCGAACTCCTGACCTCAACTAATCTGCCTGCCTTGGCCTCCCAAAGTGCTGGGATTACAGGCATGAGCCTCCTTGCCCAGCCAAAGCATATGCATAATTTTTAATCAAACTGTATTATTCTATGCTTTTCTTTTACTTAGAGTATCAATGTCCAAATGGATGAAAATACACTCCATGAAATTCTAAATGAAGTTGATTTGAATAAAAATGGACAGGTTGAACTCAATGAATTTTTGCAGGTGAGTTGTGGTGAAAGGAAACAAGGATATTTGCTTTTATCTTTTGTTTGTCATGATCATAAATGCATGTTCAAGAATGGATATTTAAGTCCACACAATTGTCAGATTATTCTGAAGAAGAAGAAAGCTCGAAGCCAGCAGAGGTTGATATGTCTGCCCTCAAGTGTAAGGCTCTACTGTGGTGCATATTCTTTTCCTTTTTTTGTATAAGAAACATTCCATTATGTTGGGCAATTTAGATTAAATCCAAGTTATTTATCATAAAGGGTTGAATATGAAGCATGCTTTTTAAAGACGTATGCCATGGCATATCAATGCTGGACCTTTTTCTTTTGCTTACTTTTCTTTTTCTTTTCCTGTACTTCATAAGAGGCAACACAAGATTTCTAATCTTTTATGTAGAAAATTTTTAAAAAGTATGGTTCTATTCACTAATGAATCATATTCATTTGAGAATTTAGTGATTAGATTCTGTCATTATAAAGAACTAGAAAAACATAAGGAAGGAAACTTGTATTTTGGGGTCAAGACCACATAATTTAAGTATTTCCATTTCCAATTGTTAATTTATTCAAGGCTCTGTTGTTTAATCTTTGTAATCATGCAGGAAATAAATTTTGTTACTTTAACTTCAAACTGGATGCTACATATCGTTTCTTAAAAGAAATTTCAACAAACCCATACATTATTTCTAACTGTCCATATGACTCTGATCATATGAAGAATGTATTGGGTTTCC